>NC_000016.10:53956439-54259469 GCF_000001405.40 Homo sapiens
AGAAAGCAGATCTAGTCACTGGAGGAGAAGAGGAAAATTAGTGGAAGAAGTAGGTACTTCTTCCTTACCTTGTAAGGTTCAGGAGACCATCAGGATGAAAAGATCATGAAGACTATTGCAATTAGAACACATCTCACCGGTGTATTTCCCACAGACAAGCAGAAATGCTATAAAAGGAGGCATAATACAGTCATGAAACATCTAAATTTTCCTTTTTTTTTTTTCTTCTTTTTTATTTTTTAGATGGAGTTTCATTCTCGTTGCCCAGGCTGGAGTGCAATGGCACAATCTTGGCTCACTGCAACCTCCACCTCCCGGGTTCAAGTGATTCTCCTGCCTCAGCCTCCCAGGTAGCTGGGATTACAGGCGTGTGCCACCACGCCAGGCTAATTTTTTTTTATTTTTAGTAGAGACGGGGTTTCTCCATGTTGGTCAGGCTGGTCTCGAACTCCCGACGTCAGGTGATCCACCCACCTCGGCCTCCCAAAGTGCCGGGATTACAGGCATGAACCACCGCACCTGGTCCCACTTTGGTTTTAGAACTAAGGCAACCCTATTTAAAATGTATTTCTATAATATGTAGATGTTTGCTTCAGGGATCCTTTCCTTAGATTATCTTTTTAAGGGTTGGCCTGGGCATAGATAGGTCAACTTTAAGATGATCTTTTTTCAATTGAGGGCATATCCCAATAAAATTTTCTTATCCCCTGGCTTGCCCGGGGCTGGCATTTCTGACAGACGTGTAAACAGATGCAAGCATTGTTGCTAATGACAGGTGATTATAAGAGGCATGGAGGCCAAGGTAATTAAACCACGATTTGACAGGGACATTTGGCAATGTGATATTTCAGCATTAGAACTCTCTTTGCAACGCACTTCCTCCACTTGGCTTGGTGAATATAATTCATTTTTATTCTTCAGAGTGTGTTGCTTTGAGATCTGAAACTGTCCTCTCTGAATTTCTTCATGGTTCATTGTAGAACGCTAGAAAATGATTACCATTGGACGTTGTGGGAATCTAGTCAGTATCTAAGACCCTATCCAAGGTTCGTCCAGTAGTAGTGGAATAGGGTCTGTGACCCTACTGCTGGCATTGTATTTGAATATTATTATGCCCTATGTGATAGTGATAGTGCCTTTGGAGAGAAACATGAGTTATTTTCATACCACTCTAATTTCAGTTTCTCTGTTACCTGGATTTACTTGACGTTGTTCTCATGAATCAAAAGATAGCTTATTCAAATCTCTTCTTCCCTAAATTTCCACTACTGGCAGTAGGAGAAATCTCAAATTATCAGTAACCTGGTATTAGGAGGAATGATAGTAGAAATGATCATCAAGACATGGAATTTATTTATTCATTGGAGTTGAATGTAATTTTTTTAAAGTACCTTCTTTTTGCTATCAGTAACAATGCCTCTTTAGGCATTTAGAGACCACCTCCTGCTAACCGCTAATGTGGCAAACTTATGAATATATATTTGGGGGAATCCTATCTTCTATTGTTTAAATAGCAGACCCTCATGGACTGAATATTTATAGTTTTGATATTGACTAGCTACATGAATTATATTATTTATAGTGAACATAGTAGTGTGGTTTCATCTAATAAAATAACAGGTCACATTTACTATTTGTTATGGTCCTGGCACTTGTCTAAAATAGCAACTTTTCCCAAGTAGGTCAATCCATTCCTTGACTGCAAAATCAGCTTTTTAATACTCTTGGTATAGGGCATGCGTGGCCATTTTAAGAGATCAGTGAATCGGCCCACTTAGAGAAGGTTAACCACTAGCTAGATAGCTGTTACTTTTCCTCGACCAATTTTGATTTTCCCCAGAAAGGGATGTAGAGGGAAATGAACTTGTGAGTATAGTTTCTTATGGCAGAGGAGTGCTGAGTGATTGTGCCTCTTCCTGGGTTGCCTCCTCCAGCGTGGAAAGCTTGGGAACACTTCGGCGGGCAGCCTGGGAAGCTGGCGGCCGGCTTTTACATTCTGCTTCAGGCTGCAGTCTGTTTCTAAGCAGAGGCTTTTTTAAAGCTTTGTCAGATAGGTTAAAAGGTGTCCCACCCCCGGTGTATAAAAAAGAGAGAGCGAGATTAAGCTTACTAAGCCTGCCATGTTCCCTGTAAAATATCAAGTCAAAATGATTTTGAAATCCAAAGTTACCAGGCTTAGGGGGTGTGACCTTGAGTGGAAGCAGCCTGGGAACTGGGAAGGAGAGATCTGTGCAAAAGACAATTGGCCACAGGCTGGTGGCCTCGGGAAAGCTGCCGAAGCCAAAGTGAATTGTCTCATTTCTCTGCCTTGCAGCCAACAGAGCACAACCCCAAATAAATACTCAGCCTGACATCTAGGCCGGTGGATTCACCATGGAGCTCCAGGCAGCCAACCTTTCTCAGAGTGCCTGCTTAAAGCAAAGCCTGGGTTCAGCTCCAGCAGCTGATGGGGGTGAATAAGACAGGGTCTCTGCCCTCAGGAAGCTTAAACTCAGAAGAATACCACTAAAAATTAAAATCCTCATTGAACCCCTACAAAAGCATCCAAATCCTTTGCATGTATTATGAATGTGTTTAATCCTAAATAATAATAATACTAACTAGTACATATTAAGTGCCTCTCTGTGCCAAGTACTTTTTAAGTGCTTTATGTGAATTAACTGTTACAATGGTAGGTATGTTTATTATCTCTAATTTTAAGAAAAGGGTACGTGGAGCCAAAAGATGTCAAGTAACCTTCCCAGGGGCACAAGGCTGGGAGGCAGGGGAGCTGGGATTCCCAAGCAGGAAGTTTGGTTCCAGAGCCCATGCTCTAGGCCAGTGGTTCTGTAATTTTAGCATTAGAATCACCTGTGGGCTTGTGAAACACAGATTGCAGGCCCTTCCTGAATGGGCTTGAATAGTTGCAGTCCTAACAAATTCTCAGGTGATGTGGATGCCCACAGCTCTATGCCAAGTGGGAAGAGCACAGTGGAAACCAGTCACTATAAAACAAGGAAAAGTGGAACATCCTGTTACTGATGTAAGCAGAGTGCTTTGAGAATGTCAGTAGTAGCTAATAATAATATTATTTATTATTATTATAATTATTATTGTCATTATAACTGTCATTTATTGAGTGTTTGTACTGGACACTTTTGTAACCATGTAACCATTATAACTGTTACTGTGGGTAATCTCATTTAATCCACACAACAACCATATGAGGTGTTAACTGTACTGTACAGCTCAGGAAACTGAGGCACAGAGAGTTTACAAACTTGCCTAAATGACAGGCCAAGGATTCAAACTACCCCAGCCTAATTCTGGAGCCTAAGCTTTTAACCATGAAGAAGATAGTGAAAAGAAGGGAATCAAACACCCATCCATAGAGCAGGTAGGGTACAAGCTGGGTCCTGAAGGAGGAAGATGCCCAAAAAAGGCTTCCCAAATGGAATGGATATGTGCAAAGGCCCAGGGGCATGAAGGTGCAAAGTGTGATAGAGAGTGAATAACATGGAGACTCGTGTGTAAACTGCATGGCAAGAAGTGATGAACCGTAAGGATGGGAAAGCAGGTTGGTTGAACAGCCTTGAAAATGAGGAGTCAACAGTATTCAAGACTGGACTTGGGGATTTTTGAACCTGTCAGGGACACACTCAGCCTCAAAACTCATTTTTTGAGACTTCCAAACAGAATGACAGTCATACTTTGTTAAAGATGCAATGGGGTCATCTCTTCTCTCCTTTACATAGTTTGAGAGTCTCAAAATACGTTCAGAGAAGAGCTGGATGTCTAAGGTTACTAACCCTGTGACAGTGAATCACACCCTGCCAGGGGAAGGGTATTTTGTACACAGCCACATCAAAAAACCAGTGGGATCATGTGTGCCCAGCTGTGAGTGTATCCGTGTATAAATCCACTCACTACACTTAGAAAATGCCTGCCGTGCGTGGCACTGGTGCAATGGTATCGTTGGAGCTGCCAACTTGTTTTATTTCTGATAGTGCTTGGCAGCCCCTGAAGGAGGGAAAGTATGAATTTTTATCTCCCATTTACTAGACTTTCATTGTATTGTGCTTACAGACACAGTGTCAGCACATAAAATGTTAAACATCACTGGTCTGAAAGAGGCTCCCATTGTCTTACCTCTGGTGCTGGGGGAATCTTGCTAGCTTTGCTGTAGTGGTTCTGTCAGTGTAATATGACATGAAGCATTTCTCAGTAATGACAGACATTGAATATGAGTGACAGGAACCCTGACCACAAGGAATGGGTTCAATTACCAGAAATGGGGGTGGGGGGGGCGCGGTTACCTGAGATAAAACCAAAGGGCCCAATTGTGCTTGGTTTTGACCCCTTGACTCCCAGATCCAGAGCAAAGACAAATGGCTGATTAACCAGCCCCTAACCCTCTTTTTCAGTGATAAACTTGTTTGGATTTCTCTGTCCGAAAAAAAATCTATGGGTGGCATGGTTTCTAAAGGAAATATGATCAGAAACAGGAGGACTGGTGCTCGTCATTTTTGTCTCTTGCAAGCACAAAACTGAAAACTGTCATTCTATCTTGGACTGGATCTAGGACGGTGTCCAGAAATCAATACAAGATAAATGATTGCTCTCTTCACCCCACCTTTCTTCTGCTGCAGTGCCTACATTGCTCCAGTTCACCTGTAGCCAACCTGACGCCAGTGTAAATGAGAGATCCTGCCATCAGAGGCTCTCCTTTTTTTTTTTTCCCCTCTCCTGCAGGCTGTTCTGCTCTGCATCGAGTGCAGCTTTGTGCTTGTTTATAGTCCACTGCTTACAGCCCCCAGATAGAGTTATAGCGAGCAGACCAATTAAACTGTCGCAGGCTGCCCTCACTTGACTAGCTCTGCAGAGTCATTTAGCCAGCAGACATTCCTGACTATTAAAGCTAGTAGCAGCATGTCTCCAGTGCTGGAGATAAAATGAATGAAATTTGTTATTGTGGGCTGACACTTGATCCTAGCTGTTGAACTAATGCTGTTGCACCTGAAGTTTTTCTTTATGGTAATTGCTGTCTATGTTATTATTTCATATACTAAATTGGAGAAAATTGCAACAAGTATTAAATTCTTTGAGCTAATTCACGAGAGTTCTATTGTGCATTCTTCCAAGGTAGATCCCAACTTCTGTTGAAGCCTGGGAAGACAGATGTAGCTAGCCAGATGCACTGGCTTGTGTTTCATCATTATCAGAGACATTTCAATTTCAGATCTGGCCAGGCATTTATCAGCTTTACCTGAAATCTCTTTTAAAATACACTTTCGCTTCTAATTCAGTCAGCATATGTTGGGATCTACCCTGGGGAATTCAGTTATGATGACCAACATTGACAGTGATTTGCGCTAGTCTGGCTGATTCAGTGACAGATACTTGGTGGTATCAGTAAGTCTCTGGCACAGTATACGCTTAGGTAAGTGGGCAGTGTGAAATAAGACTTCCCACCGGGCACCTTTGGAATCCACAGCTCTAACTGGGAGTCCTTGAACACCTCAGGTAGTACCACTTCAATGAGAACCCATCAGAACAGGTACATGCAAGGTACACCGCCTCCCAAAGCATCCGAATCACTAGTCCTCACTGCCCTGCCCATCTCCTAATTTCTGTTAACTCCTTTTACCAGATCTCTTTCCAGAATTAGGGAGATTATTTTAGACTTTTCAATATAAACCATATTCAGAGTTTAGTGAAATCTCTGAGGCCTCTGTTTCTGTGGTAGATTGCATAGAAGATCATTTCTTTTACAGCATTCATTTGTATGCTTAGCTTGTGGTCAGAGCTCGTGGTGAAGGCTCCAGACAGGACCCAGAATAAGAATTCAGGCCTGGTTTGTGGTAGAAGTACTATGCTTGCTTTCATGTTAATGCTTTGGGAAGACACTGACCCCAATCATAACGTTACTTTAATTTCTACCTGAAGACCACACCTGACAGACATAGCAGGGCTCTGTCAATTACAGGGACATACATCTCTAGAACCCCAAGACTTTGTCACCTCCCTACTAGGAAACAGTAGGCTGGTTGTACTCCATATTTTGATTAGAGGCAAATGTGAGAGGCCTGAACGTCGAAGTACTAGAAGAGAGACATGGGGTTTTGTTATTATGTTTCATCATTCTGCCCCCAAATTTAGGGACAGTCCACAGATAATGATGCGTCCTGCATAAGTGCTTTCTCTCTTGACATAGACAACTGTAATTTGAATGATAATGGCTAGCATTAGTGTCTGTGGTGGAGGATTTAGATTGCAAGTTGAAGTCCATATAGTTTGTGAGGTCCCAAATATACTGAATGTATGTTGGTCTGCATTATTTCTGATATTCATAACCTTTGTTTAATAAAGAAGCTCTTTTAACAACTCAAATCTGCTAAAATTGAATTACTGTAATTTGCAGCAAAGTTCAGCATGAGAAATGTATATTTTCTTTCCCCACTGAGAAAATGAAAGAAGCATTAGTCTTTCGTTTATATATGAGATGGGTAGATTATGTATAGAGTATCAAGTTTAGAAGATTTATTTTCCCACGCTCAAATCCAATAGGAAAAACTGGCATTTTCATCAAAACTAAACTAAGACTAATCTTTATTCTATTTTCTGAAATTGCCAAATGTACAAGTTTTAGGTATTTTAAAACAGTATAGTCACAGGCAAACATTAACTTGTTCCCAGCGGTCCTTCAGATGCACATTCATTCTTGTCTTTGGTATTTGAGGATCCTAATGATACCATAATAACACAAGTAAAAGTTGCTGTATAATAGCTGCATGTGTGCATTTCAGACCCAGAACTAATTCTCCATGTTTCTGTCTCTGTGTCTCTCAAGCAGGAGTGGTAAGCTCTTCTCTCCAAATCTTACCTGGACTTACTTTTCTGTATATTTGTGTTATTGTTGGGGCCTAGATTGACCTCTTTTGTGTGGACAGCACAGAGAACATAGGGAAGACCTCAGCATGCAAGCTGATTGACATCATTTGGATCTGTGTCTCTGACCAAATCTCATGTCAAATTGTAATCCCCAGTGTTGGAGGAGGAGCCTGGTGGGAGGTGTTTGGATCGTGGGACAGAGTTCTCATGAATGGTTTAGCACCGTCCACCCTTGGTACTGTGTAGTGAGTGAGCCCTTGTGAGATCTGGTTGTTAAAAAGTGTGTACCACCTCTGCCCCGACCCTTGCTCCTGATCTGGCCACGTGACGTGCCTGCTTCCCCTTTGCCTTCCACCATTGTAAGTTTCCTGAGGCCTCCCCAGAAGCTGAGTGGATGCCAGCATCATGCATCCTGTACAGCCTGCAGAACCATGAGCCAATTAAACCTCTTTTCTTTATAAATTATCCAGTCTCACTCTGTCTCCCAGGCTGGAGTGCAGTAGCACGATCTTAGCTCACTGCAGCCTCCGCCTCCCAGGTTCAAGTGATTCTCCTGCCTCAGCCTCCCAAGTAGCTGGGATTACAGGCACCCGCCACAATGCCTGGCTAATTTTTATATTTTTAGTAGAGACAGGGTTTCACCATGTTGACCAGGCTGGTCTGAAGCTCCTGACCTCAGGTCATCCTCCTGCCTTGGCCTCCCAAAGTGCTGGGATTACAGGTGTGAGCCACCGCGCCCGGCCTACCAATGTATTTCTTAAAATTTAAACTTTAAAACTGTTTTCCTAAGTGTGGATAATTTAGAATGGGTTGAGCTGATATGGTCCTTCCCATGTGAATTATAGGCCTTTGTTCAGGTCAGGGATCAGCAAACTTTTTCTTTAAAAGGCCAGATAGTAAATATCTCAGATTTTGTGAGCCATACAGTTTCTGTGACAACTGTTCTCCTCTGTTGTTGTAGTTCAAAAACAGCCCTGGACAATATGTAAATGAGTAAGTGTGGCTGTGTTCCAGTAAAACTTTATTTACTAAAAGAGGTGGCAGGATTTGACTGTCAGGCCATAGTTTACCAACCCCTAGTTGAGGCCAGGAGGAAGGGTTATGTTTAAGGGAACCAGAACACAACCAATATGTTGTATTCTTTTTTCATTTGTTGTTCATGTAAATTGCTGGTGAGAGAGATGTTCTCTCAGCAGAACTTGAAACCATTTTCATTGGCTGGGGTTTAATATTTTTTTAAATCTCTTGTTTAAGCACATACTAAAAGTGTCCATGTTCTTTCCATTAAATGTGTTGGTTGCCTTCCCAGACTTCAAATTGCAGTGAATTTATCCCCAAAAGATGTTTGGTATCAATTCTCAAGATGCAATTTGAATGTAGTCTGCTTCTATAATGGAAACAGTATTCCAAATCTTCATTATTTAAGTTTCATAGAAAATAATGAATCATTGAATTGGTTATTACTCAACATTGTTAAGGCATATACTGAATTCTTTGTTTTCTTGTCTTATAGCCTTATATCAGCTCAAAGGATAAAATAGTATGAAGATTTCATTTTATGGATACATATGAGACATTAGATTATTATTTTCTAGCTAAATCGTGGTAAACACAAATTATATTATAATGAAGCTTTTTTCCCAATAAGCATTTTATAAGAGGAAAACCTGAAAACAAACAACAATCAGCAAAAAGTTTATGAGTCATTCACCCTAACAATTGTAATAGTTTCCTTGTTACTCCATTCCTGTAGTGATGAACCCCCCGCCCTTTTTTTGTTTTGAGATGGAGTCTCCCTCTGTTGCCCAGGCTGGAGTGCAGTGGCGTGATCTCGGCTCACTGCAACCTCCGCCTCCTGGGTTCAAGCGATTCTCCTGCCTCAGCCTCCCAAGTAGCTGGGACTACAGGCATGCGTCACCACGCCTGGCTTGTTTTTTTGTATTTTTAGTAGAGACGGGGTTTCACCATATTGGCCAGGTTGGTCTTGAACTCCTGACCTTGTGATCCGCCCACCTTGGCCTCCCAAAGTGCTAGGATGACCCCCTTTTATAAAACGTCCCATCATGTTAGCTCCATATAGTAGGGATTAGTGACATCAAATTCTTTTTGGGAATTTATAGTGGCACTAGGGGTAGCAGTATCATTTAACTGTGTGGCATGTTTGGGTAGGTAGCTTTTCTGTTTAAAAGTAATCACCCTTCCCCACCCAAGGGCAACTGTACTGGGGATGGAGGAGAGGTGTCAGCAGAAATTGCATTCTCAACATCTCAACTTCCTTGCTCCCTGCCTAAGTGCCTCCTGAACCATCAGCTTACTATAACTAAAGTTTCTTGTGTTCTCTTGATTTATCTCATGCTGTACCTGTGAAATATTTAGTTACCCTCATTCTCTCTTTTCTCTCTGTTTTCTAGAGCAACGACATAGGGCAGTGGAAAAAGAATGAGTTTTGGAGTCAAAACCCCTGTTATCTTGGAAAAGCCATTTAACTTCCTTGACCTTCAGTTTCATCTTGTGTAAAATCAGAATAATAATGCCAACCTTATAGAGTAATTTTGAAACTTTTTTTTTTTTTTTTTGAGTTAGAGTCTTCCTCTGTCACCCAGGCTGGAGTGCAGTGGCACGATCTCGGCTCACTGCAACCTCTGCCTCCCGGATTCAAGAGATTCTCCTGCCTCAGCCTCCTAAGTAGCTGGGATTACAGGCATACGCCACCACGCCTAACTAATTTTTGTGTTTTTAGTAGAGATGGGGTTTCACCATGTTGGCCAGGCTGATCTCGAACTCCTGGCCTCAAGTGATCCGCCCACCTTGTCCTCCCAAAGTGCTGGGATTACAGGTGTGAGCCACCATGGCAGCTGTAATTTTGAAACTTAATGAGGATGTATATTTAAGTGCTTTGCAAATTGTGTTTATAATGTATTTGTTATTTTTACTGTTTAATTGTCTGCCCCTACCCTGTTCTGGAGAATCTTGTACCATCATTAAAATAAGTAAATCCATAGTGCTATTAATCTTGGAACATTCTATGTGGAATTGCCCATATGAAAAGCAGTTTGATTATGACAGAATGCCAGGCAGCAGTGTTCCCATTGTGTTGAATAAATGGCATCCCCACAATCACAATCTCAAATACCAAAATCAACAAGGAAAATTCCAAGCAGCTGCCTTTATAACTTCTGATTTGTGGGCCACATTTGAAACCACAGTTTGATTTCTCAGTCTACAACATTTTAATTCATAGAGCAGGTCTTTCTCTATTAGCACATTCTCAAGATCTTTTGTTGATCTTGGTTTCAGTTGCTCTGGAGAACAACTGCCTTCCAAAGCTCCCTTTTAAAGTAAATTTTCTTTTTAATAGCTAATTCTATTTAGAGGTGGACCAAGCCAAGAATAGCCTCCAAGTTCAGTGACCATCTTTGCAGTCATATACAAGTGATGCAATCACAAAAAGAAAGAAACTTAATTTTATGCCGCTAGATATGAAAGACAGGTAGCTATGAATGCATGGCTCCAGGACCTTCTGCCATGTCAAATGAGCTAAACCCTTCCCCGAAAGCCAGCCAGGAAAACGTATGATACCATTTGCAATGGTAGAATGTTGCATGCTGTTCTTCTGTAATTATAATGGCCTGATCCGTGTGGAGTGGGTGAGTCCTGCTTAACAATCGTTAATCTACTGAGTCTTCGTATCAGCCTCCCATCTTGAGGAGCAGCAGTTCTTGGCTGGATGAGTCGGTCTTTGATTTCATTATAATAAGGATAGCTTTGTTAAAATTCCGCTGCGCAGTGGTGCCTAAGGATTCTGGGAAAAGGTTTTTCTTTTTATTTTCCCCTTTTTTTGCACGGTGGGGATGAATTGTTTCTCTCTCTTCCATCCCCTAGGTTACTGTTTGTGCTCTCCCTTGATCTCCTGCTTGTCCCTTTATTTCTCCACGTTGTGAAAGTTTCTTTCTGTGTGACCAGGAGTCTGTTTAGCAGACCATATTGTGAGTGAAGGGCCAGCGTTTGTTGCCTGATTTTGGCAACGCTGGGTAGTCAGCTGGGATGTAATTAAGACTCTGAGAACAGGCTGTCTTCTCCACGGGAAGGGCATGTTAGATGGTGCTGGGATTTGGGGCTGTCAGTTTGGCCAAGGATGGAGACAGAGAGCTAGGGACAGAGATATTTCCTTTCATTTATAATCCCTTTATGTACAGTGTGTGCACTTGGCAAAGTTTACATATAACCTAGTGGCTAGAGCTTACAAGCCAACGCAGTGAAATTAGCATATGTTACATGTATTTTTTAGTAATATTTTAAAGCAAGTGCATATTTCCAAAGTGAATTATGCATGGATGACAGCAATAGGGTTGTGTTGCACTGGGTGTCAAATCCCACAACTTTTTGTCGAGACTGTGGGTTTTACACTAAAAAGGCAGAAAGACTAAACGAAGTAAAACAGTTTTAATTTTTAACAGTTTGGTTCGGCCCAAGGAGCCGGGCTGTGACAGATATAACTGACATTTGAATAATTGGATTAATTTAGAGAAGGGCAAATCCGGTTTTGACGGTTGTGCTTGTGTGTACATCTTTTTTTATTATTATTTGCAGGAATGGAGTTGTGTGGTTTAAATATACACTTTTTGTGCTGCCTAGCAAATCTTGAGAAAACATCACAAAATTTATGAAATTATCATTTAATTAATTTGTTTTAATTTATATGTATGTATATGTGTGTGTTCACATATTATGCAGCCTTCATATGTATATAAAAGAAATTCACCATATATACTTGATTCGGGTCTATCAGTGATATACATATATACACATTGCACATACAAGCACATTGTATGTGCACTTAGGAACTTAGTAAATCCAGCTTGAGATAATGTGCATGACTTCATAGGATGTATAGAAAATGTGCAGACAAGGAAGCTCACTGTGACATTGGCAAGCCCCTTTCCTCCCCATATCAATGTGTTGCAAAACATCACAGTGCAGAAGCAGAAAAGCCTAATTTGGTATCTGGGGTATCAGTAGCCAAATTCTACATGGTTGATTCCTCAGTCCTAAGTTCCTTCAGATTCATATGGCTTTTTAAGTTTCATATATGAAGATAATCTTGGCAACATAAAACCAAGTACAGCACCATCATCGCCACCCTCCTCCAGAAATTCTGGTAATGAAATACACCATCTAAAATCAGCAGGCCAAGTCTAGGACTCGTGGCAGGCAGTCTTGAATTGTGGCTGTGGGCTGGCTCTAAGAGCCTTTTCCCCAGCAGGACATTAATAGACATTAACACTCTCGGACAAGAAGTGTTGATGTGTGGTTTATAATGTTAGCACCCAGTTAGGCAGGTATAACACATGCTGTAGGAATCTTGTACCAACACATGTGTGTGTTGAGTCAGATTAATGAGAACCATAAAAGGAGAGACATTTCACTTGAGCTGGGGACCTCATCCTATCCTTTTACCAAGTAAACCAGTGCTCAGCTGGGTGGCAGTGTCCTGGTGGGATGTTTTCAATATTAGCATAAGGAGGATATTTGAAAGTTTTGTTTTGCTTTGTTGTTATGTGATCATGAAGCCCAAACTGTTAGTCAGTACAGCACATTCAAACTCCTTTTCATCTAGTACTGTTTGGCTCAGAGGAAAGGAAACTTTCACGATATTCACAACTACACTATGGGGCAAAAGTTATTATTTTCCTCTCTCAGATTTACCTGACCCTTCTTCAAGTGTTTCTGAATGATTCTGAGACACTTTCTGGTTTACTTTGTAAATGGGGCAATGAAGCATTCTTATCTCCTGACTGGTTCTCCTTAGAGAATTCTCAAAGCCTTTTAAAATTGTGTGTTTTTCTGGGGCAGCCTTGAAAGTCCCAGGAGTGAAGTTGCCATCTGTCCTTTATATTAAAAGAATCTTCTGTATTGTATACCTGATGTGCTTGTCCCAGAGATAGATATTGTTAATTAAAGGACAGCATTTGTCCTTTATCTGAAATAACTCTCTTGCCTGAATAACAGTTTCCCAAGCCTTAGGAAACAGGTAAGGACATTCGGCCCAGAGCCCTGATGTTTACTAAAGGTCCTTGGTCCAGGAGCTGTCCCTCAGCCTTCACTAGATCAGACATGTAGACTAGAAAATTACTTGCTTATTTTTTGGGGGGGGCTTGTTTTCTATTAATTCATCTACCAACATTATGGCCTTTTGCATGCGTGTAAGTAAATGAACATAATATATACTGTCATTGGTAGTTTGTGCTTTTTTTGTGGCGACTCACAAACAGCGAGTTCCCAGACATTCTCACCACACTGCATCTTTATGCAATAGATGTGACAGGACCTATATCCTCCAGTGTCACCTCTCTACTACTGCACACTCTCTGTTTCTATACCTTCTGCCCCTGGGAAAAGAAAAATGCAAACATCTGCCTACAGCAAACAGAGCCAGAGTTCTGCCAGGTGATAGCTAGAATATGTATAGGGAGAAAGAAAGCCTCGCCCGTAACCTGCTCTATCTCTGTCTCAGGAAACGCAGAAAATAATTTGTCTCTGTAATATAGAAAAGCAGTTAGGGTAACGTGGCTGTGAACTGCTGCCTAAAAGTGTGCTGTGTGCTCGCCTCTGTAGTTGCTAAGCACGGAGGAGGAGGCTAGCCAGGGCCTTGCCACAGACTAACTTCAAGAAAAGAGGAAAAGAGTGCACCAGCAGACTCTGGACTGAGGAGCATGTCCAACGGAGGAGGCGAGGTGTGGCCAATGGTTCTTTTGTTGATAAGAAAGACCCTGAAATTGCCTGTTGCATGGTGAGGAGAGTAGTAGATTGGACCGTAATTTTCTGGTGACCTAACAAACCAAACTAAAGCTCAAGTTTAATAGGCAATGATTCCCGTTTAAAAGGGAATTCAAATTATTTACAGTTCTCCATCATCATTTGCCTCCCTTAATCATATGGACTAGGAATTGGGCAGGTGACATACAAGAGGGAAGCCGACTTGGGTGAAAAACAACAGGGGCTGGGCGCGGTAGCTCAAGCCTGTAATCCCAGCACTTTGGGAGGCCAAGGCGGGTGGATCCCCTGAGGTCAGGAGTTCGAGACCAGCTTGGCTGACATGGAGAATCCCCATCTCTACTAAAAATACAAAAATAAGCCGGTTGTGGTGGTGGGCGCCTATAATCCCAACTACTCGGGAGGCTGAGGCAGGGAGAATTGCTTGAACCTGTGAGGCAGAGGTCATAGTGAGCCGAGATTGCACCATTGTACTCCAGCCTGGGCAACAGGGCGAGACTCCATCTCAAAAAAAAAAAAAAAAAGAAAAGAAAAAAGAAAAAGACAACAGGGATGGTGGTGGGTATGGCAAACAGGTGGGCACTTATGCTGTCTACAAGGGACAGTTGCTTCCAACTCCAAACAGTTATTACCTTACAGAGGTGTGGGCCCAGGATTGCAAGACTAGATTTTTCGGTGAAAGCCGCCAGTGTGACACTTTTTGAGTTTTCAGTGTTGGCAGATAATTCACTGTTTTAAAACATGCAGATAAAACTCAACTGTAGTTGGATGTACTTTACGGGTTGCTAGTTTGCACACACTTATATACATAATGCAGAACATAAGTGGGAATATTCTAAATAATAGACAGTGTGGAAACTTTTCTTAATAATAGTAAGAAACTGAGCCCCAAACAACTATTAATATGTTTAGATGTTTCCCTTTGGGTCTTTATTTACTGCATATACATTTTATATACATGTTTTAAAATAGTTGTAATCATAGGAGCCTGTGATTTTTCACTTACTGTTAGAAGCAGTTTCTTTATATGATTTATAATGGCTACTGGATATTCCATGTAGAGGATGTATTACAATATGCAAAATCATTTCCTTATTGTTGGACCTTTAAGTTGCTTTTGATTTAACATAGTTATAAGTAATGCTGCAATTACATATTTGCTTATACCGCTTTCTCCTTTTTTTGGATTAGATCCTTAGAATCTAAAAGGAAGATTACTAAGTCAAAAGATATGAACGTTTTTATGGCTTTTGGTACATATTACCAGATTGCTTTCCAAAAGCGTTGCACCAATTTACACTGCAATCAGCAAAGTATACATTTATCCTTGAAGCATTATTATATTTTTGAGGTTTTTCCTTCTAAACTGGTAGGTGAAAATTGGACTTCATTGATGTTTGAGTTTGCATTTCTTGAGGTTTTCCCGTTAATCTGTCGACTAATTGTATTTGTTCTTACAACATCTGTATTTTCTAAGGTTAAATTTTGTGGAGGTTTTGTTTGCTTTGTGTATATGTGTGTATTTTTAAAGTTCTCTTTATAACAATTGATAAATAATTTGGGAACAGCCCCCTTGGCAAGGCCTTCCTCTAGGGGACCCCCTGTCTCAGCAGTGCTGCAGCTGCTACTTTTAACTGTGTGTTAACTCGGAGTTGGGCCAGGGCCTAAGCAGGATCCCCTTCCCGAAGAGGGGCTCTTTTGTGTCTGGTGAACCACAAGCTCAGGGCTGTATCTGCCAATATGTTTTTGGCAGAAGCCATCTAATAAAATCCCATCCGCGCTGTTCTATGAAATGCAGTCACAAATTTGGATGATGATTGCCTGATGCCATATTTTGGTAACAGCTAATCTCCATGTCTTAGATGGTTTTTATTCATTGCCTCCCCCCTTCCCTCCTTCACCACTCTGCTTGGTGCATGTTTTAACGACAAATGATGTATAATCTGAGTTTCATGTAGCATGGTCTAATGGAAAGGCACTGAGCCAGTCATATGGAGACAGGGGTCCTATTATTGGCACTGCCCTTTGCTTAATAATAGCTTAACAACTACAACAAATATTTATCCTGTGCTGAAATGCTCTTTCAGCATTCTTCATGTATTCTTGAATCTTCCTAACAGTCCTGTTAGACAATATTATTATCCTCGTTTAGGTGAGGAAACTAAGGCTCGGAGTATTGGAAATTTCCAGTACTTGTATTGGAAAGTATGATATTGGACAAGTATTTTCAATACGTGTGTTGAAGATATTGGAAATACTTGTCCAATATCATCCTTCATCTCTCTGAACTAAAAATGAGTTTTTTATTTCTAGTAATCTGTCTCCCCATCTGCAAAATGGAGTTGCTTCTCTTCAACTCAGAATGGTGGCATGGAACTAAAATGATGCCATGTAGATATTAAGTTGCCTTGAGTATTGAAATCCAAGACAATAAATTGGTAATAATATGTAGTTATTAACTAGTTCACCTCTGTGACTCTCAGCTTCTTCATTAATTAAATGTAGGGACTGAACCAGATTCATTTCATTGGTTACTTTCAGCTATCACATTTTCCCATCAGCCACAGACTCAAATGTTGGTGGATAAAGCCTGCGTGGTTCCCAGAGGCTGTGCATACTGCCTACATTTCAATCAGCTCTACATTTTAGGTACATCCATCCCTCTCAGCTAGTGTTCTTAGGAAGAAAATGCAAACTTTTAGGAAGGAGAAATCTCACTCTTCAGTGTTTGTGGAGAGTGCAGGGAAATTCTCTTAATGGAATAGTAGAGATACCATTGTCTGACAGCCACTGTAAAGCCATATGGAGCTGCTTGCTTTTGGCTCTGGAGATATTGTGACCTCTTAAAATATATTTTTCTAAAAAAGGAACATGCCTTATTTCTGTTTTTCTTTATACTTCATCCCCAGGTAGGAATTTAACCAAGATGGTTAACGGAGAAAGTAAGGCATTGACTCAGCTCCATACAAAAATGCATTCTGGCTTGTTTGCATAAATATCACAGAAAAATAGGGGTTCAGGATCCCATATGGCACTTAGCCTCCTAAGCAAAGATCATCAGCCATAGACAAGAAGCAGGTGGCCTGGCATCGAGAGCAGAGGTTATTTTTGCTGCTGGGCTCCCGCCATTTCAGAGTTTAACAGTGGCAAGTCTACTCAGCAGGAGGCTGACCCCAGATGCTCTCCCCTTGTCGGACATGGAGCCGTCCCATGTCCCACCTCCACTGCTGGGAGTAAACCTGATCAAATCTAGGCCACAGTTAGACTCCCAGATAAGTCTCTGTTTAAGCTTATTCCCATTTGCTACTTAAATACCACTTCCAAATCTGATTCATTTGGGGTGAAGTCACAGACTTAATTGTTCACCCATCCTGGGTGGCTCTTGAAAGCCTGTGATAATGATATCTTGGCATTTTCTTTTAGGTGAACCCTAGTGCAACAGGTTGGAAAGGGCTAGTTTTGAGGATAGTGTTAGAGACCAGAGGTGTGGAAACCTGGATTCTGCCTCTGGTTCTGCCTCTCCCTAGAGCTCAGTCTCACTGTGTGTAATATGAAGAGATTTGGACCGTGTCTGGGGTTTCAAATTCAGTTGCCAACAGGGAAGTATAAAAAATGAATGAGAAGGGAAAAGAAAGGAAGAGGGAGACCCAGTGGAAAGGTGCATGAGGGAACTTTGGGGCGAGTGTGAAAATGCATATCGTGATTGGTTGATGGTTATATGGGCATATACATTTTTCAAAACTTGTAGAACTTATACTAAAGATCTGTCCACTTTACCGTATGTAAAATAAGTGTAAAATGAGTGAAATGGACTAGGTAGTAAACTGCAGAGCATATACCTCATTTAAAAGGGGCGAATGATAAGCTCTAGCCAATGGCTTCTCTTCAGAATAGAGGCCCAGTGTTGCTACATTTTCAAGTAAAGCCAGAAATTCACATATTTATATAAAATCTCAGGATATGTAGATTTATGGGCCCTGCTTGGTCAAACAAAATGCCAGTTTTGTGATCTCTGAACTTTGGGCTTCTTAATTTGAGTCTGAGGATCATTTTAGCTTCAACATTGGATGATGCCGACTTGCGGTGAGACCTCAGACAAAAAGATTAAACTTGCCTACACCTCAGTTTTTTTCACCTGTAAGATGTTGATAATTCATGACTAATAGTACAGGGGTCTGATGAAGAGCATATGAGGTACCTTGTACAAAGCCACTTTGAAACATGAATAAATAACATAAAAATGCAAGTCACTATTACCTTTTTTATTATTATAAAGAATTATTTCCGTTTTTAGAATTGTTATTGTTCAGAATTGAAGCACTAAACTTAGTAAAGATGGCTAATAAAAACATCAAGATTCACCATGAGTAAATGACTTGCCTGCAAATGATCATGCAAACCTTTCACTATCCTTAGAGGGGAATGTTTCTGTTGTGTGTGACAAGAAGAAAAGGCATTTCATTTGTACAGCTACTCATATAAATTGCAAAAACCATGGGAGCTGAAGTCCAAGGTACAGCAATAGCATATAACGAAATGAACTTGATGCTGTATTAAAGATTCTTTGTCACACGCACTCACTGCCTAGGAGTCGTAATGCTCCCAGCCTTGTCACTGACATTTTGTGAACAAGCAGCCTGTATTGGATGGTGATAAATGGATTATCTTAAATGTCATTCTGCACTGTTTTAGAGTTGCAAAGAGAGTTTTGATATTGAGTTTTTGGTTAGTATATTCTGTATCAATCCTTTCTGATGAAATAATCTCCTCAAGTTACATCCAGAAATGTCAAAGTTGCTTATTTCTTCAATCACCCATAGCAATGTTTCCATTACAACGTATGCAGAGAAGATTGTGTAATAATGTCAAACTATTTATAGAAACATTTCCTAGGAATCTCTACTCTCCTTGAGTTGTTTGTGTATTTAATACTAGAGATTTGTTTTTATATGTATATATATATTTCTATTTCTAAATTGACTTCAGCTGAGGATGTTGTACTTTAGTTTTTATATAGAGCACATTGAAAACTTGGTAATATTAGCATTCGACAACTAAAACTAAAGCCACGCTAACATTTTGTAAATAGAAAGAGTCACGTATTTTGGTTTTAAATATTGTAAGTTTTTTTTTTTTTGGTGTTGCAGTTGCAGCTGTGTCCTAAAGGTTGTAAGGTTGTTATATTCATAACAAATTTAAACCTATTTATTTAGTCTAAAGTAGTATGGAATACTTTGCCCAAAGAAGTTTTCATATTTATTTTATGCTAATTTCTCCATTATTTTATCTTTAATATTTTTTGACTTTCCAAATTTAATACAATTATTGCTATTACACAGAATTTAGTCATTTGTATAAAGATTTGGTCTGGTGGACTTGTGTGGAAAGAAGCACAAAATAGATTTTGAAAGCATATCTCACATTTTACTTGGCAAAGTTATTCTAAATATTGGCTTTCTTCCCTAAAGATAAGATCTTTCTAGATACAGATATTGAAAATACTCAGTTAGCATATACCGAGTGGCTCCCTTCAGACTCTCTGTACTCTACGAATCTTACCCTCATCCTGTCATTCTACAGTCCTCAAAAAAAAAAGACATGTAATTTATATTTTAAAAATCCAAACAATATAAATAATATTAGATTGGACCATATAAAATTACTATTTTTTGTAGATCCAAACAGTCACATAGGAGCAATTTTATGTGGCTCACCCAAGCAATGAAGATTTATATTGTATTTACTACATGCCAAACATGTGCTGGATGTATATGAATTCATATACTGATTATAGCAACCCTATGAGTAGGTGCTATTATTTCCCCTAACCTACAGATGAAAACTTTGAGGCACAGATTGATTAAGTAAGTATCAGAACCAGGCAGCCTGCCACCAGAGTCTTTGCTGATCATCAGGACTCTGTGCTACCTCTCCAAAATAGCAAAGTTCCCTGGCTCTCCCACCCCAGTGTAGTGCTTTTCACTGTAAAAATTTAATGATGTCTTTCATCTTACATGTCTTAATGTGATATTCCTTTCAGCTATTCTAATCAAATATATTATTCTTTTCTCTTACAGTTTTTGTGCATTATATCTTTCTTAAGATCAACTTTCTTTAAAAACTATGTTTTTAAAGAAATTCACTTTAATGGAATTCTGATGCTTTCATAGTTTTGTTTTCAGTGTTTACCTATTTAATCCACCTGAACTTTACTTTTGTGACTGGTTGTTGAGTAGGGATTAACTTTATTATTAGGTTTTCAAATGGACGGGCAATTGGCACAACACCTTTTATGGAATAAACCATTCTTGCCTCCACTGATTTGAAAAGACACTTTTATCATATACTAAATTTGCAGAAATTTATGTGTCAGGTTTTTTTTTGCCTAATTACCAAAACTTTGTGTGTTTTTAGATATTATAGGGCCTTCCCTCCTCCATTTTCTTTTTAGAAAATTTCGTTAACTGTTTTCATGCCCTTTTTGTCAGATGAATCTTAGATTCCGATAGTCAGATTCCATAAAAAATTTTAAATCCTGTTGGCATTTTAATATAAATGCATTGAATTTATAGGTATATATGTTGGAGAATTTTTTAAATGTCACCTCATCTATTAACATGTTTTATTTCTTCATTTATTTATGTCATCTTTTGTGTTCTTAAATGAGTTTTAAAATTTTCTTCACATTCTCCTTTATTTCTAGATATTTGTGTTTATTGCTGTTGTAATGGAATTACAGATATGTCTGGTAGCTGTTGAGTTTTTGCATTCATATAGTTACCTTACTAAATTTTATTAGTTCTGGTAGTTTTTCATTTGATTCTTCTGGAATTTCTAAGTAAGGAATTAAATAATCCAAAATAAAATGATGTTGCCTTTCTCTCTCCAATGTACTTTTGTTGGTCTCTTTTTCCTGTCTTGGCTGATATTTTTTGGAATAATGTTAACTAGTAGTAGGGATAATAGGCACCCTTTGATTTTTTTTCCTGTTGTTAATTAGGATATTTCAAAAGTTTTGCAGTTAACCTGGAGATTTGCTGAGATTTCTGATCAATATCCTTTATTAAGTAAAATAATTCTTATTCTCTTTAATTCTCTTTAATGGTTGTTGCATTTAATCAGATATTGTTTTGAGGGGAGGAGGTTATCTACTGAGATGATGACATGGGTTTTCTCCTTTGTTCTTTAAATGTGGCCTATTACATTATTGGATCTTATATTGTTGAATCATCTTTCCATTTCTGAAATAGAGCTTACTGTATCTTGAGGTAATATATGCAGGAACTTAATTTGGTGACATTTTATATATAATTTTCTATAGGTGATATTTTTCTATAGCAGTATTTTCTGATGCTCTCTGACCCTGGTTAACAGGTCTCAGTAGAACTCATTCATTCCTAACATTTCTGTGATGTTACTGTTTTGAAGCTTATCCAAAGCTTGATTGGCTTTTGATTATTTTAGCATTAAGGCTTTTGCATGCAATTTCCCTCAAATCTTTGAAGTTTATTTCTGTTTATAGCTTTCCTTAGGAAAGGCATGAGTTTACTCTTTCAACTTTTTTGCTCTTGCCTCCTATCTTCTTTATGGGGAGAGAGTATACATATTTCTTTGAAGCATGATGAGTATAAATATTTCTTTGACATCTTTATGAAACCTGGAATTGTCTCTTTTCATTTGGAAAGAAATAAACTTTTCTTGCTCATCATTCTTTATGCATAAAACTATAGTTTTAGTTAGTCCTGATTTATATGCAGTGTTCCCCTAGAAAGAGATATTTATTTATTTATTTATAGACAGGGTCTTGCTTTGGTGTTCAGGTTGGAATGCAGTGCTGCAATCATAGCTCACTGCAGCCTCAAACTCCTGGGCTCAGAGGATCCTCCTACCTGTCTCCCAGGTAGCAAGTACTACAGGCATGCACCACTATGACTGGCTAATTTTTAAAAAAATTTTTTTTGTAGAGATAGGGGTCTCACTGTATTGCCCAGGCTAGATATTTAGTATTTTATAATGAGAAACAGTGAGGTTAGAGAAGACACTATTGTTTCATTTTATGCATGTATGTCACCCTTGGCAAATATCACTAATCTCGATGCACATTTTCCTTCTAAACTTGTATATAGCCTTCTTAACATGGCACACCAAATAGTTACTACCAATTGATTGGTACTTGCAATTTAAATGAGACCTATTTGCACCCCCTAGTATGGAAACAGCAGTCTTTGGATGCCAGGAGTCCTAAGCTTTCAGTCTCTAATTTGCAGTGTGAAACATCAAGCTATTTCAAAATTTAATCTTAGTTTTCACAGCTATACAATGAAGAGATTAAACTGGATAATATAATGGATTTTCTGATTCTGTTTACATATGCTCCTTCATTATTTCAGGGCCAAACATCGTTTTAGGTTTTGTAAATTACGACTAAACTGTGTATTTGTAACTTTATTATTACTATTTTGTTGTTTTCTTGTTCATTTGTGGTTTTGAGATTGTAAATACATCTGCCATTTAGCTAATTCTCTTTTGTGGCCAAGTACTTTTTCTTACTTTTAAAATTAATAAAGGCTCATTGTAGAAAATTTGAAAATTGTAGAAAAGCACAAAAGGAAAATAAAAATTACCCATAATCACCGGGTGCGGTGGCTCACATCTGTAATCCCAGCACTTTGGGAGGCCAAGGTGGGTGGATCAGTTGAGGCCAGGAGTTTGAGACCAGCCTGGCCAACATGGTGAAACCCCTTCTCTACTAAAAATACAAAAATTAGCTAGGCATGGTGGCACACGTGCCTGTAATCCCAGCAACTCGGGAGGCTGAGGCATGACAATTGCATGAACTCAGGAGACAGAAGTTGCAGTGAGCTGAGATCATGCCGCTGCACTCCGGCCTGGGAGGTAGAGCGAGACTCTGTCTCAAAAAAAAACCAAAAAAGTACCCATAATCCTACCACCCAGAAGGTTAACATTTGGTTATGATTAGAAATATTTCTGTTTTTAAAATCGTTATACTCTTTTTCATAGAATATTATTACATACATCACTGAAAAATAATTTTCCTCAATATATACAATCATTTATTTTTATCATATCTCTTTAGGGTTTCACTTTTAAATATTATGACAGACATCCTTTTATAAGAATCTTTGAGGCTTTCTTGAACAGATTCCTAGATATGGAATTACTAGGTAAAGGAGAGTGTACATTGTAAGTTCCTAACAAATTACAGGTTCTTGAAAAATATATCTGGAATGGATGTTTGAATAAAATATTGCCAATTTGATTTCTAGAAAGATGGACCAATTTACAGATTCATCAAGAGAGAATGCCTCTCCCATCTCAAGTTTGGCAGCATGGAATATTACAGTTTGAAAACATCTTTTCCAATTTTATGGACTAAAAGTAACAGAATTTCTTTATCACTACTGTGATTGGATCTTTTTTATGTTTATGGCTGTGTGTGTGTGTGTGTGTGTGTGTGTGTGTGCGCGCGTGTGTGAATTTCTTGTCCTCTACATTTTCCCCTTCCTTTTGTGGCGTACATGTTAACTGTTAACAGCTGCAGTGCCTATGAGCTCATTATCAAAGTGTTGCTCCATAATTTACAATTATACCTAACTTTGGGGGCAAAATCCCAATTTGGAGGTCAAAAAGAGACCAAAGTCTCTGTACATCTCACATGACTTTACTTGCATTAACTTTGCCTTCCTAAATTACAGTCTATAATTAAGAAGTGCTAGTCTCCTGGCCAGCTCTTATGGTTATTTTTGAAGCTCCTTGGGTGCTTGCACCCTTCCAGAGGGCTGTTACTTTGCCCCCTCTCTGGAAGCTCATTTGCTTCCACAGGAAGCCTTAAGCCAAAGCACATTGGCTTATTCAATCTGGTGTCTGGATCTTAAAACCTGGCTTCTCAGTTTATGATGCTCACCAGTAAAACACTCATGGCTCTTCTTGCCATGAAGCGAACCAGGCTTGCTTAGCTTAGCTTCATGTGTGGCCTTCGTGAATCAAAATAAGAAGAAGGTAGAACTAGTCCCACCCTTAAGTCAAGAAGAACTGGTTAGTCATGAAGTGAAGCCACATGACTTTGCTCTTTTCTATTATGTCTTCTAATTGTTTCTGACAAGAATCCCTGGATTTCTCTCACACTCTTCTAGCTTGATGCTATTGGGCTCCTTTTACCGAACAATTGTGAAATTAGTAACTAACCTCTGCTTGCTGATGAGATTGTTTGACAGCCGTTTGCTACCTGGAAACCAGAATGGCTGGAAAGAGACCTGTTTATGCATTTTTCATGTTAAATGCTAGGCAAAGAGGTTATACCCTACATGTGGACTCTAAGCTAAGGAAGCTGACACGTGGGGAGGGAAAAGGGCTGAAATCCAATGCATACGCCCCTCTTCAATCCTGGGAGATTGTATTTGCCCGTCAGAGGCACCTTTTTCTAATTTGCCCAGAGGTGCTGAAAAGGCGGCTGAGGCCCTGCTCAACTGCCTGAACAACTTACAGAAGCACCTCTCCTTCCAACCAGGTTAGGATCCAAAAAGCTGTATGTAAAACCTCTTGTTTATAAATCCAAGGTGGCATTAAGCAGCCACTGGGAGTATGATCTGTTAGGGACAGGCTTTTGCTCCAGTATTTAGGCTTGTTCTTATCAGTAAATCTAAATAGAAAGTTCCTAAGTAAAGAAGCTTCCGTATTTAAATAGCTCAAAATACGACAGCCTTATTTTTTTAATAGCGGCATTGTTTCTCTTTCCCAAAGCAACCATAACTGAGACAGGATTAGATGCAAAAACCACTTGCTGATACAGTTTAGAATTGCAAAATTCTAAATTCCAACAGATTCATATTATACACAAGTATAAACAGAGTGTAGCCAGTTTTCCTCAAAGAGATAACATGGGTTCTCCACAGTATTTTTGACCCAACAAGCCATTATTAAATTTGGAGAGAAATTTTTGCCTGGGAACCTTGGCTCACACCTGTAATCCAGCATTTTGGGAGGCTGAGGCAGGAGGATCACTTGAGGCCAAAAGTTTTGAGACCAGCCTGGGCAGCATAGCAATGCTCTGTCCATACAACAAGTTTAAAAATTAGCTGGGTATGGTGGTGTGTGCCTGTAGGCCCAGCTAATCAGAAGGCTGAGGCGGGAGGATCGCGTGAACCCAGGAGGTTGAAGCTGCAATAAGCCATGGTTGTGCCACTGCATTCCAGCCTAGGCAACAGAGCAAGACCCCATCTCTAAAACAAATGGGAGTAGAGTTCTAATGGCATCCAAAGGTAAAGGCCCATATTCCCTGGTGTTCCCCAAATCATTGCAACAAAAAAGCAAAGCCATTTACCCTCTAAGTAATGTCAGTAAACAATGAAGGAAAACCTGAAGCCTTCCTGCTTAAGAGCCATTCTGAGGCCTGGCATGGTGGCTCACGCCTGTAATCTCAACACTTTGGGAGGCCAAGACGGGCGAATCACCTGAGGTCAGGAGTTTGAGACTAGCCTGGCCAACATGGTGAAACCCCATCTCTACTAAACATGCGAAAATTAGGTCCGGGTGCGGTGGCTCACACCTGTAATCCCAGTACTTTGGGAGGCCGAGGCGGGCAGACCATCTGAGGTCAGCAGTTTGAGACCAGCCTGGCCAACATGATGAAACCCTATCTCTACTAAAAATACAAAAAATTAGCCGAGCGTGGTGGCAGGCACCTGCAATCCCAGCTCGTCATGAGGCTGAGGCAGAAGAATCGCTTGAACCTGGGAGGCGGAGGTTGCAGTGAGCCAAGATCGCACCACTGCACTCTAGCCTGGGCAACAAGAGTGAAGCTCTGTTTCCAAAAAAAAAAAAAAAAAATTAGCTGGGCATGGTGGCATATGCCTGTAATTCCAGCTACTCAGGAGGCTGAGGCGGTAGAATCATTTGAACCCAGGAGGTGAAGTTTGCAGTGAGCCAAGATTGTGCCACTGCACTCCAGCCTGGGCGACAGAGCGAGACTCTGTTAAAAAAAAAAACAAAAAACAAGACATTCTTAGCTTCATTTCAATATCTCCATCCTAAGCCTTAGAGAAAACTTCAGTCCTCACCTCACCACATTCTGTTATTAGAAGGCATTAAGAAGGAGGTGTTCTAAGTTCTTCTCAACCTTATTGAGGATGAAGGTGAAGGGTTGTACCCTTACAATAGGGCATGGTATACCTCCAATACACCTCTTTTCTTTTGTCTGCCCATGTTTGTGACTATGATGTCCTAAAGCACTTTATGTGAGACTTAGATTTTCTTTTTTCATGGTGTAAGTTAAATATGAAGTAATCTTGATTAGGCCTTTTGTTCACAGAACCAATGAACTGATGAAAACCTTGATGATATTCATGTGTCTAATGTTATCATCGGAGGGGTTTCAGTGAAACAGCTTAACTTTAGGTTCAGAGAGGTTTCATTCTCACACCAGATCCAGAAGTTACTATTATAATACCTGCTTGCATGAACTTGTTCATGGTACTCACTGGTACAAATTTATGGCTTCAAGTGATAGAATGCTCAGTAATATTGCCCTCTTGGAAGCTGTGCCCAAGAAACTTAGTTTCCTAACTGGGCTCTGCAGCTGTTGAAACTTCATCACCTTTCACCTGAATCTCTACAATGCTTTGCAAATGAGGAGCTGGTGAGAAAAATATGCAGCTCGAAGCTGGCAAAGTTTTAAGTGGGTAAAGCTTGCAGTGTTAAGATCATAGCCCCAAATTACTTAAGGGCTTCTGCTAACATGAAAATAAGACTCTTGACTGCTGAGAGATTGGATATTCAGATAGATTTTTTTATGAAGGAAATAAATATTTCAACATGCAAACACTACCCAAGCGGGTAGTGATGCTTCAAAACAGGGTCAGAGGTCAGGTTTTTTTCTGTTTGTGTTTTTTGGGATGGCTCCAAGTTTAAAGGTATTACACATCACTACCTACCCCGAGCCTCACATGGTAAAGTAATTACTGCTAGCTAGCGGAAAATATGTACATTCATTTTTATTTCCAAAGATCCTGAGATTTCTCTCTGCGCTTTTTGTGGTCCTCATTATAAAAAATATATCATGAAGAATGATGGTTTTTCTCCATCCTAACGGTAAAAGAGTCAAGCTGAAAATGCATGTCTGATACTCAACTTTTTTAACAAACTTAATTTTGGAGGAATAAATAAGCATAGAATGTATTTATTCTTTAGAGAATAGTAGAGTTCATTTTTATAGTTTGCCTTTAAAACATGCAACAGACCCCTAGGGTATTGGATAATTTTTAGAGGAGATGCTGACCTGGTGGTCAGCCATTTTGACGGAACTGGGGCCCAGGATATCTTCAGGCAAGCATAAAGATGTGTGGCATACATTGTTCTGAAACTTAAACACTGACTTTCTCAGTGGAGTGGAATTTGGGTGACTGTTGGAATTGCTAAACAGGACTTAGAGTTTCAGAAACCCTTTTCTCTCTGCCTTCAAGTAGGGAAAATAATTATTTGCTGAGCAATTAATTCGAATTCACAAACACACACACACACACACATCAGATATGGTAAGCTCAGATCTCTGCAGAAGCCGGCAGGTAATGTCAACGAGTGAAGCAGGGGTTGGTGTAATACATTAGGGAGTTGTGGGGACAAGAAAGAACTAGAAAGCACACCCCCGGTCTAAGAGGACAACCAGCACTCTGCTCCCAGCCAGCTGCTGCCATGAGAGAATATGGGCCCACTGTTGTGTACGGCTCAGGGTTTTTGTTTTCTGTTTTTCCAAAAGAAGCCAGAAATCCAGATGTTTGTATGAAAGGTATTTTTATAAAAATTTTGACAACTAATATAAAACACTATTTGAAAATGTATTTGAGGGCTAGCTTTGGCCTACAAGCCACTAGGTTGTAACTTCAGCTTTCAAAAATTGCAAAAGGTAGAGCCAGCTGCTTAGTGGCCATACCTTCTCATTCTCCAAGGGAGGTGTTTGGAGCCTGGTGCATTCTAAACAATGACTGTTCTGTGGCTTAAAACCCTATTGTGAAGAACACAGTTACTCTGAAATTGAGGGCAGCTTGTCTCATTTATATCATTTCTTTTTAGTGACACAGATCCTTCGTTAAGGCCAACTTTTAAGGGAGTCAAGTTGCAGAAAAGTTTACAGGGCATAACCACCCTCACCTTGCTTTTCTTACTGACTTTTAACCATCACAAAGTAATTACTTTCCCTCCTCTATCCCTCCCTTGGAATGGGTCTTTTTTTTTTTTTTTTTTTTTTTTTTTGACTCACTCTCTCGCCCAGGCTGGAATACAATGATGCCATGATGGCTCACTGCAGACTCGACCTCCCCAGCTCAAGTGATCCTCCCACCTCAGCCTCCTGAGTAGCAGGGTCTACAGCGCCCACCACGATACCTGACTACTTTGTATTTTTTTGCAGAGACAGGGTCTTGCCATGTTGCCTAGCCTGGTCTCAAACTCCTGGGCTCAAGCCATCCTCCTGCCCCAACCTCCCAAAGTATTGGGATTACTGGCGTGAGCTACTGTGCCCATCCAGAATGTGTTACTTTTTAAAGTACATTGTGAGGCAGGACAGTATTCACATTGCCTTTCCCAGAGCCCCTAAAGCATCAACTGAAGATGGTGTCCCTACTGCAGTCAAACAGAAATGCTGAGTAATGACTGGTTTAATAATGATCAGATAGACGAGAAAAGGCCTTGACTAAGTCAGTGATATTGGGATATGATTATTTTAATTATTTTAATATTGATTCTTTTGGTGTCTTTTGGATTGTTTAGCTGTCGCTTTTTCTCTTGGCTTTTGAGGTTTCAGGACACGGAGTAAAATGATGGAAATGTGTTTGTTTTTCAGGGCAGAGAGGAGTGTTGGTAAGTAGAGAAATTACATTGTGTCCTCAGCTGCCATTGATGTCCTTCCAAATAGGTGAAGTTTAGTTTAAAACCTGCCGTTAATTTCTGGCCTCTGGCAAGAGTGGTACAAGGTTACCTGTTTGTTCCAGTATGTGTAGGGAGGGGCTGGGGGTTGGGGAGAGAGAAGGGTGGCAATTAGTCAATGACATTTATGACCCATTTATAAAATACAAATGAAATAATTGGTTACAAAATCATGACAAGCCTTCACTTGTCTTTTACAAACTTGTTCTCAACACACTGTGAAACTTAATGGACACCCTTTGTAGAAAGTGAGGAACAACAGCCATTCTGAAGAGACCGATTCAAAGCGTTCAACCTGAGACTAGCTGTGGTGGCGAAGATTCTCTGAGTATGTTTCTCATTCTCATCTCAGATACCCGCATTATTATCGCAGATCCAGAGGCAGGGAATTTGTAGATTCCTCAGCCAGGGAATTGCCACAGTTTTGGTGTAGGATGACCAGACATGAGAAAGAAAAAAATTTTCCCACAAATCTTTAAATGCATGGGACCCTTTGGGGTCTTTGCTGAGATTAGAGCACTGTGTGTTTATAAATAAAAGAAGAATAAACAAAGGCAGCATGCACTGGCAGTCCCCTCCTTCCTGCCCTGTTAAAATGCTGTGTGAGGTGGCATCGAGAAAATGAACGCCAAGGTTGACACCAAATGTAGGGCCCGAGTGATTTTTCTGTTTTTCAAATCCGCTGTCAGTTCTCCACCTCTGACTCTTAGTCTTTTTCTCCTTCCCCACCTCTAGAGAGAGGACATTTCCTGAGTAAAATGAAAATCAAAGCTAGGAGCTAATCATATTTTTAAAGTCAGATATGTTGGGGGTATAACTGGAAGCTAATTTTTAAAAGAATCCTGCCATATCTTTGATAAGGAAGTTCTATGGCTTAAAGAGTGTAACCACTAGTTTTAGCAGAGATGTTTCCTTTAGTTTTGAAACATTCTTCAACATTTCAGGTTCATGATGAAAAATGGCTGACTGGATTTAAGTCCTTTATTTTCTATACTCCTGAGCAAAATTCTGAAAAACTGGCTGGTCTAGTTTAGAGAAGAACGCTGATGTGGGAGTATTTTCACCATGCATTCCTGCTCTAAATCCTTTGCTTCTACTGATAGACTATTCTACTTTCGAAATAAGTTCACATTGCTCTAACACTTCATAAGTTCAATCTTTTTCTCATTCTGTTTAAAATAACCACCATGACCACCAAACGCCTGAAATTCACTGTAGTTAAAATTATGACTGAAATAGACAGGGAAAACCTGAGAGTGAACGTTACCCAGCAAATCTGGGTTAAACAGGTTCGAGTTTTTCCAGAGCACACTGTTTAGGATTTCAGCTTCCTGTTCAACCATCTCGGAAACAGGGTGTTTCTCTGCTCCTTTGTGAGGACTAACCATGTGTCCCCGCCACTTTGCACCAAAGCTGAATATCATCCCAAACTCTGGATCCTTCTGACGGGCATTTGTGTGGTACACAGGAAGGGGTGCATTATGAATATGCAATTACTGGCATGTAATGCTGTCTTCTGCTAAAAATACAAAAAGGGTACTCTGATCTCAGAGTTGGGAGCTGATTTCTGATTTCAGCCTAGACAGGTCTGCTTAAAACTATAATCAAGCTGATTGTATTGCCCTGGAATTCTAATTTCCAATTTAGGGTTTTGCTATATAATCTCTAGTAGAGTGTGTCTAATCTTTATGAAACCCAGAGTCTTTGTATAAACTCTATGGATTTTCTTCCATGCGTCTAGGCTGAGCTGAGCTGTGTCTTTAGGCTGAGCTGTAGAGACATTAAATTACTGAGTAAATGAAGGTAACGTTGTTATGTCACTCTGTTTCTGAAAGACCAACTCAAATTCTGTCTGCTGTAGCTTTGATCCTTTTCATTTAATTCTAAGTACACTTGTTATTATAGTAACTGTTGTTTGTATGTTATTTTAGCTTTTTACTTAAGTAGCTATTTAGCAATTTAAATGAAAATGTAATTAGGTTACATCTGTTTTACATGCATGTAATACCACGCAGATGTAAACTTCTATTAAAGCCATATTTTCTTTTTGGCAAGAAAAGGCAGAAACAAAATCGTGCCAGTCGCTGGAATACGTCTTGCTCTAAAAAAATTAAAAAAAAGGATATACAGAGCACTGTGCCATTATTTATATGGTGGTTAGAGTACATCACTTCTATTTTTTGAAAATTAAAAAAAATATTAACAAGTGAAAAACAAGCATTCTATTCCATGTTCCCTCTTACAGTTTATCTGGATACGGTGTTTAAAATGACAATACAGCCAGGCGCGGTGGCTCACGCCTGTAATCCCAGCACTTTGGGAGGCCGAGACAGGTGGATCACCTGAGGTCAGAAGTTCAAGATCAGCCTAGCCAATGTGGAAAAACCCCATCTCTACTAAAACTACAAAAAAATTAGCTGGGCATGGTGGCATGCGCCTGTAATCCCAGCTACTCGGGAGGCTGAGGCAGGAAAATTGCTTGAACCCAGGAGGCGGATGTTACAGTGAACCGAGATTGCGCCACTGCACTCAAGCCTGGGCCACAGAGAAAGACTCTGTCTCAAAAAAAAAAAAAAAGAAAAGAAAAGAAAAATGACAGTATGGCTTCCCCCCATTCTATGGGTTTGTGCACACAGAAATACACCCATCCTCCCATCATAAACACTGGTTCTTCCAACTCCACAGATAGTGGAAAGAGTCAAGAAGCAGCCGAGATTCTAACCTAGCTCTGCTTTATGACTTTGGTAAAGCCATTTTACTCTTCAGTATTATTATTTTTTAAAACCAAGAGTAATATTTGCCCAGTTTGCCTCATAGACATGTTGTGAGGCTCAAGGGAGATAATGAATATGTAGGTACTTTGAAAAGTATAAAATGCAATTGTTAGAAAGTATTATTAGTATATTAGTCTGAAAACAGCATAAGCAGTAAGCCCCCCAGATACCCCCACATTTTTGTGTGTACAATGGGGATTGAACTTAGAAAATTAATTCTCCTGTTTTGGGAACCATTGCCTCCCTTATAGCCTGTTAATAGGATTTATAAAACATCATTTCAGACAAAGTCATTTATCTTATTTGCTAATGAGACACAAAATTTGGACTGTCTGGAACCAGGTAACATTTTAAGAGTTGCCCATTTGTTTCATACACGTTCAGCTTTTCAGTGCAGTCATTTTTAATGGTGGTTTTTATAGCATCAATAAAAATATTTTCATATAATTCTTCCTTGTAAATATGGTTAAACTTTTAGCTTTCTACTACTTGGTGACCTGTTAAATAACTTAATGTACTTTGAAATTGATTGTTCAGTGCCAAGACAATAAGAAGCCAGGAGGAGCCAGCTTTATTTTTTACGTTGGGGCCTTAAGTTGGGCTATGAAGAAAAAATTCTGGCAGGGTTTGCCACATCCAACTTTTAAGGGTTTTTTTAATCTGTAAGAGGGAACATGGACTAGAATGCTTGTTTCTCTTTCCTGTCTGTCTTAAGTAGTATCTTAGATGGCAAGGAAAGGAAATATTCTACCCATGTCATAACATATCTACCATTTATTGAGCACCTACTATGTGCCAAGTTGTATTCTAAATGCTTCATGTATTATCTCATCTGATCCTTAAGGCAGACTCATAGGTAGGTACTACTGTTATCTCCTATTTTATAGGTGAAGAAATTGAAGTCTAGAGAGGTTAAGAATTTTCTCAAGGTAAGATAGCTAGTAAATGGTAGAGCTAGGGGTTTAACCTTGGCCATCTGGCAACCAAGACATAGGTTTGAACCCATTATGCCTCATCATACCTCATAATACCTAGTATTATAAGGGGTTTTGTTGTTTTTTCTTTGTATTGGTTTTGTCATCTGAATCAAACGTCTTTGACCTAGAAAGAATCTTAAAATATGCTTCTGCCGCCTCCCTCTTTTATCCCAATTCAGAAAACCATTTTTTGGGAGACCTAGGTGCCATAAAAATGAAAAGAAATGAGGCATGGTGCTCATGGTACTCACAGTTCAGTTAGTGAGGGGGGTTGGTAAGTAAAGGGGTATGGCTAAGTAGCCCGCCAAGGAGGATGACATGTGCACTAAGCTGATACTTGGCTGATGTGCTCTGAGAGGCCAGAGCAGGCAGCAGTCAAGGTCAAGCAAAGCTTCATTTGACCTGGGCGTGAAAGAATGTGCAGGACTGTGGTAAGCAAAGGAGACAGGTGGCATTTCAAGCTTCAGGAATAGAATGAACAGGGAGTTGGAGGAAAGAAAACACAAAATGGCCTGTTACAATAGTTAAGGCAAGAGATGGGGAAACCTTCAACCTGGTCACCAGCAGACGACATAAAGCAGGAAATAAAATGACATTGCAAAGGCAAGGTGATGGGATTTGGCAATTGATTAGCAGTTGGGAGGGAGAGCACTGGAGGCAGGTACTGGGGTCTCGAACCCAGTAGGATAGTAGGAATGTTAATCATAAAAGGCAACTCCGATTTGGGAACACTCATTGTAGTTGGGGAGGTAGAATAGGGTAGACGGCAAGAACTTGGACTCTATATTCAGATGGTCCTGGGTGGCAATCTGTGCTCTCCCACTTACTGGTAGAGTTACTTTCAGCAAGTCACTTGTTTAGACTCTAGTCTCCTCATCTATAAGGCGGGAATAATATTAACACAGCTGACACTTGAGCAACACAGGTTTACACTGTGCAGGTCCACTTATACGTGGATCTTTCAAAATAAAAGCTGCACCAAGTATGCCTGCCTCTCCTGCCTCCCCTTCCACCTCTTCTGCCTCTGCCACCTCCAAGACAGCAAGACCCACCCCTCCACTCCCTCCTCCTCCTCCTCCTCCTCTTCAGCCTACTCAAAGTGGAGACAATGAGGATGAAGACCTTTAAGATGATCCACTTCCACTTAATGAATAGTAAATACATTTTCTCTTCTTCGTGATTTTCTTAACATTTTCTTTTCTCTAGCTTACTTTATTGTAAGAATACAGTATAGAATGTGTGTGTACATATAAAAAATATATGCTAATTGACTGTTTATGTGAATCAGTAAGGCTGCCGGTCAACAGCAAGCTATTAATAGTTAAATTTGGGAGGAGTCAAAATTTATACATAAATTTTAGCCTGCAGGGGGTCGAGTGCCCCAATCCCTACACTGTTCAAAGGTCACGTATAGTGACCTCATAGTGTTATTGGAGCTCAGGTAGTACCTGTAGCATGCATAGCACAGTGCCTTATAGCATACATTCAATAAATACCACTTAGTAGCCTCTTGGCTACTACTCACTCATTTGGGTGAGTAGGATTTTATCCCCATTTTATAGATGAGGATGCTAAAATTTGAGTAGGTAGAGTAGCTTTCCAGAGTCCTAAAGCCAGTAAAGCCTGGCAGGGGTGAGTAGAGACCCAGGCTCCTGCCTTGTGGTGTAGTTTCTGACTTCAATTGTAGGTCACTTGCTGCCCTCACACCAGACAGCGGCAGGCCAAGTCTTCTGGTGCTGTTACTTTGACCTTCCTCCCATAAAGGCTGGATGTAGCAGAGGCAGGCACTGTCTCTTCTCTTACCTTCTGTGGCCATTTACTGAGCATGTATGGTGTGTCTCACATGCTTTTACATGCTTTGCATACATTTCTTTTTCCTTTTCTTTTTATTTTATTTTATTTTATTTTATTTTTGAGACAGAGTCTTGCTTTGTTGCCCAGGCTGGAGTGCAGTTGTATGATCTCGGCTCATTGCAACATCCACCTCCAGGGTTCAAGCAATTCTCCTGCCTCCGCCTCCAAAGTAGCTGACATTTCAGGTGCCCGCCACCACGCCTGGCTAATTTATGTATTTTTAGTAGAGACAGGGTTTCACCATGTTGGCCAGGCTGGTCCCGAACTCCGGACCTCATGTGATCCACCCGCCTCGGCCTCCCAAAGTGCTGGGATTACAGTGCTTTGCATACATTTCTAATGACTGAGTATAGGTTTTCATTTTCTCCCTTTGCTTTCTTCCTATAAATCAGACAGTCATTTTTTTCTAGAGTCCTTTTCAGCACCCCAGAGGGAGTTGTATCCTTTTGTGTGTGCCCTGTGGAATTTTCATGGCAACATAAGTTGTATTTCTTCATGACTCACTGCCATAGGAAGACCACCCAAAACATACCCTCTTCTGTAACCCAAATCTCAGCGTGTGTCCTTATTTTCCTTGTTTTCAGCATGTCCAAGTGAAGCCATTAAGTAGGTAATATACTGTTAGACACAGATCGTGGTGCTTGGGAAAACAACACCCAAGCCTCGTGATTAATAAGCACTGTTAATTGTTAAGCTGCTCTTGCTGGTGTCTGACCTCACGGGGTTTGTGCTGTGACAGCTCTTTCATGTTGATGAGGTAAATGAGTCTCTGCCATGATGGCCGGGAGAAGCCAGGACAGAGTATCAGATCGTGTTTCACCAGGAAAACAAGGTTGATTTACTGTGTTACACGAGGGTGAAGTGGACCCAGCACCACTGCACCCCGTGCTTTGATTCCCTTGTATGCTAAATATGCAAGCACAAAACAGCTTTAACACAATTTTTTACCTAGAAAGGAGCCTGGGGCTGCATCCAAGTACATTTAACATGTGAAAATTGAGCTGCTTTGAACTTGTATGTTTTTGATAACTGCTTGGTATGCTTCCTGGAGGATCACCTGTAGGCTTTTCTTTCCAAATCCTAATCCCTTTGATTGAGTGCCAGGACAGATAGCTCTCATTGAATAACTCCAGTCTCATAATTCTTCCTTCATTCAGAGTTGAAAGGGAACAGCTCCAGATTCAATAGGCACATCCTCAGATTTAGCTGAAGTCATTCAAACACTTTAAAACTGAAATTGTTTTGTTCTGAAGTAGGGTTCAGTTGGGCTACTGAATGTTTACACAAGCCAGTTGCTGCCAGGAACTGTAGGATGGGGAAGAAAACCACACTTCTCCCCGCCTCCACCCAGCCCCCTTGCCTTGCTTCTCTCTGCCTCTGTAACCAAGAAGGATTACAAGGACGACTTTGAGCGTTAGAAGTTTCAAAGCAACCTGGCAGGATTGTTTGTAAACGTGGGCATAAGAACGTGCTTGACTCTTCTTGTTTTCTGTCCTCCATGAGACCAGGCTGAACACTCCTCCCCTCTCCTCCCAACCCCCTTTTGGAGGAAGGAAAACAACCATGTTCTTTTTATCTTTACAAATGTGCCTGGTGGGGACTAATCTAAACCAGTTCAAGATGCTTTTGCTTAAGCCTGTTTAGAGGAACGGAAGGTGCTGCAGAAATGGAAATAGAGTGGTATATGGGCCTCTTTGCCACCCCGCTCCTGAGCTCGCTGCCTCTTTTTTGTTTTTGTGGGTTTCTTGGCACCTACCTAGATTTCTGCTGAGATCTCTGTTTCAGGTCTTTTCAGAGATCATGTTTCCTAAAAGATGGTTCCTTTCTGCTGGACATCCTGTCTCTGTCCTATTTGGCCAGATAGTACTTCAGTTGGGAAAAGCCATCTTTCTCTTCGTGCCTGGTGCCCTATTTCAGAAGGAAGCCTGAAAAGTCATTTCCATATTCTGTGTGTGATTGCGTCCTGCCTAGCTTATCACAGTGGTTGTTCCCTCTCGGATGAACAATTCCTACCCTCCTCTTTGCCCAGCAGATGAAGGCAAGGATTGTAACCCATTATTAGAGTATTGAGGACCTGAGTTCCCCACTCATGTTGAACTTGAGGCAAGACTGGGCGGTTTATTCCCCTCTGGCTACTCTCCCACTTGTAAAATGAGGCGACATCTCTAATCATTGACACCAAACAAGAACATAGCCTAATAATAAAATGAATGGTGTTATATGGTCATGAAGAAGGTTCAAGACTGGAATCTACTCCATAAGGAAGGACACAAAAAGATTCAACAGTGATTTAGACAAATCTCATCTGAACACATTTTACAGATGCCTGTTGAACTAAAAGTTCTGTCTAGGACTGTAGTAAGATTTGACCCGGCTTAGCCTGGGAATTTTGACCCACTGATGGTAGAAGTTTATTAACAGCCCTATTCATTTAGATCCTTCCCTGTTTCTACTTTTCTCGTTCTCTCCCCGGAGGGTTTTTATGACGTTGTAATCATTTATAATTTTAAAATGTCTTCAATCGTGCTTAAAAACAGCACTTGATTTTAATGGGTACTGCTTAACCATAGAAAGATTGTGTCTGTATTACTGTCGGTTCTTACAACAATACTTTGGAACGAAAGTAGAAAGTTTATGACACATTTTATTATATTCCTAAATGTGAAAGAGGATTCTAATTTAAAAATAAGTGGCCATACTTTTTAATTCTTATTTAGCCTCTGTAGCTGTTTTAATATCCCTTTTATGGTTGACTGGTCGATGTTTTAAAACAAGTTCTTCAGGGACTCTGCCCATTAGTCTTTGGCAATAAAATCTGAACTTTACTAAAATAAAACATGAAGCCATGGAGTAATTAAGAGGGGAACTTTCAGAGATGACCGTGAATATGAAATACAGTGATTTGTATTATTAATGGATTTGGGGAAAACCAGCCCACCTCTTTTAAGCTCAACTATGTGTATTTGGGGGGTTTTATATTTTTAATTTATTTCTTTGTTTCTCTCAAGGCAGTAGGGGTTCCATCGCAAGCTCTTAAGATCTACCAATCCTCCTTTTGTAGCCTGCTGCTTCTGAATATGAGCCTTTCTTTTTTCATTTTATTTGGAAAATGGGGTGATGTCACTTAGGAAAGCATTTTTCCCAAAAGTGGTTTCAGGAACCAGAATCTGGTGAAGTGTTATTTAAAAGCGATAACATAGTAAAGCTCTGCTTTGTGCTTCAAATAATTGTAGGATTTACGGGATATATCCCTAACCTGTTCAGTTTTATGGAAGGACAAAATACAGGGATTCATTTTATCATAGTTTCTTAAAAACTTTGAAACCCAGTTGACAGTCATTTCTCTAGCATTATAATAAGCTCTTTGTGTTTATAAACCTAGTTCATAGTAATTTTTGGAGTGCTGCAATTTGGTAGTTATTTAATTTGCAAATGGGATTGGCCTCTCTAACCTCTAAAGGAACTAGTTCCTTTTAATGCTTTAAAACTTTCATTGACTCTCAATTGCCAACTGCAGGAAAAAGTTCAGGTTTTAAAAGTCCTTACATGCGTTTCAGCCTCCTCTCCCTGTTTCCTTTATGAACAGCCCCCTCCCACTCCCTTTCTTTCAATGGTAGGTCTGCTGCAGAACATTCTGCATCTCTTAAACTTTATATGCACTGTATTTTTCAGTCTCCATTCCTCTGCTCATATTGTGTTCTCTCCATGGATTCTTTCTTTTTATTATTTAATTTTTTTTAAGGGATAGGGTCTCACTCTGTTGCCCCAGGCTGGAGTACAGTGGCACCATCATAGCTCGCTCGTAGCTCACTGTGGCCTCCAACTCCTGAGCTCTAGTGATCCTCCCACCTCAGCCTCCTAAGTAGCTGGGATACAGGAACGCACCACCATGACAGGCCAATTTTTAAATTATTTTTTGTAGAGACAGGGTTTCACTGTATTGCCCAGGCTGGTCTCAAATTCCTAGCCTCAGGCAATCCTTCTGCCTCAGCCTCCCAAAGCGCTGGGATGACAGGTGTGAGCCACCAGGCCTGGCCTCAGGGATTTCTTCTTTACCATGTCATAGTCTCCAAAATTGTGCCCTTCCTTTCTGTCAACTCAAGTGTTTCCTCCTTTTTTTTTTTCTGAGACAAGGTCTCGCTCTGTTGTCCGGACTGCAGTACAGTGGTGCAATCTCTGCTCACAGCAATTTCCGTCTCCCAGGTTCAAACAATTCTCGTGCCTCAGCCTCCCGAGTAGCTGGGTTTACAGGTGGACACTACCACTCCCAGCTAATTTTTGTATTTTTTGGTAGAGACGGGTTTCACCATGTTGGCCAGGCTGGTCTCAAACTCCTGACCTCAAGTGATCCGCCCGTCTCGGCCTCCTCTTAAGAGGTATTTTTTACTCTGTATCCAGAGCTTCCTCATATACCCATGCAGCATGTGGAAAACAGCCTGTACTGCTGTATGCAGTGGCCCTGTTGGAATCCTTCTGCTTCCCAGCGAATTGCCCACACCCCAGACCATGGCACTGTCTCCAGATCTTCAGCATTGCAGTTATCATGTTAAACTTAGCTATTTGTGTATATGATTGTCTCGTTCACCAAACAGTGAGCCCGTTGAGGGCGAAGTTGTCTTAAATGGCTTTGTGTCCCCAACTGCCACCAGGGAGATGCATAGTAACTAGCCAATGAATGAATGTTTTCTTCCCTTAAAAAATACCAACAGATGCCTAACATAAGCAATTAAGTGAGGGAAAGCTTTTTTGCCATTTTAAAAGTCATTCGTCAGCCCACACGATACCACTGAGGAAGCCTCATGTGAGAGCTAATGAACATTAAACCCAGACACCATCGGGAGCTCACCAGAAACCCATGGCTGGCTAGTGAGAGACCCGGGGCTAGAAACTTGATATTTTGGTTTCACAGCCAGGTACCCTGGCAGCCACACCAGTGTTATGCTGGCAGGCATGCTTTGTCTGCTATCTGTGGCGTGAACTTTACTAAAATGAAACATGATGCCATGGAGCAAATTAAGAGGAAAGCTTTCAGAGATGACCATGTATATGAAACACAGTTCCTACTCCGCCTCCTTCACCCCAATGAGAGAATCCAAATTTTATTTAACTGGTGCATAGAGGTCTCTTGATTTGGGGGAAGATGGGTCCCTCTGCCAGCCTGAGATGGTAAATCACGCTTGGGTTAAGCCAGTCATCGAATTCCTGTTCCCCTTTGCTGGATGCTCATTTTCCCGGGTTCCCTTGCAAGTCAGGGGCTGTGTGACAAGTTCTGACCTGTGAGACACAAGGCCAAGTCCACTAGGAGAATTCTGGGAAGGATTTTCTTCCTGGTAAAAAGACAGAGCCTCATGTTTGCCAAAAGAGCCTGATTCTCTGCCCTTTCAGAGGCTTCCTGCCTTTGCACACAGTGACAAGACATGATGCTGGGGCTTTAGCAGCCACCACGAGGTGACAGGTAGGAGGACAAAAGTGATTACATTGATGTTGGTGAAGCAGGATAGAAAGAGCCTGGGTCCACAATGACCAACCTTGAAACCTCCCATTTCCAGACTTCTGGTTCAATAAGAAGCACCCCGATGGTTTCATCTTTTGACGGTTGGTTTTTTGCTGCTTGAAACAGGACACATCCTAACTGATTCAGTTACTTTTAGAAGGAAAAATAAAAGTGGAGACAGCATCCTAAGAGGAAAGGTGGTGACTGGATAAACTATATGGAAGTCCTGACAACATCATATTTAAGAAATTTGGTGGCTGGCCTCTATTCTTCTGTTAGGTGTAAGGAAGACCCACTGAGTAACACTGGAGCATTCATCATTCAAGAAACATTATATTTTAATCTTGGATATTCCTAGCACTATGCAGGATTCTGAGGATGCAGAAATAAAAGGCAGTTTCTATCCTTAAGGAACTTGGAGCCTAGTAAGGGAGACTAGTGAGTAAACAATTACCTGAGAGTATGAGGATCACTCTCTTTTGATAGGGGTATTGTATTAGCTCTTATGCTGCTGATATGCCTGAGACTGGGTAATTTATAAAGGAAAGAGGTTTAATTGACTCACAGTTCCACAGGGCTGAGGAGGCCTCAGGAAACTGACAGTCATGGCAGAAGGAGAAGCAAACACATCCTTCTTCACATGGTGGCAGCAAGGAGAAGTGTCGAGCAAAAGGGGGAAAAGCCCCTTATAAAACCATTGGATCTCAGGCCGGGCACGGGGGCTCACACCTGTAATCCCAGCACTTTGGGAGGCCGAGGCAGGCAGATCACCTGAGGTCAGGAGTTCAAGACCAGCCTGGCCAACATGGTGAAACCCCGTCTGTACTAAAAATACAAAAAAAATTTAGCCTGGCGTGGTGGCGGGTGCCTGTAATCTCAGCTGTTCAGAAGGCTGAGGCAAGAGAATCACTTGAACCCAGGAGACAGAGGTTGCAGTGAGCCGAGATTGTGCCATTGCACTCCAGGCAATGGAGTGGAGCAAGACTCTATCTAAAGAAAAAAAAGAAAGAAAGAAGGAAAGAAAGAGAGAGAGAGAGAGAGAGAAAAGAGAGAGGGAGAGAAAGAAGGAAGGAAGGAGAAAGAAAGAAGGAAGGAAGGAGAGAGAGAGAAAGAAAGAAAGAAAGAGAAACCATCAGATCTCGTGAGAACTCAATCACTATCAGCATGGGGGTAACCGCCCCCATGATTCAATTATCTACCACTGAGTCCCTCCCACAACACATGGGGATTTGGGGAACTACAATTCAAGATGAGATTTGGGTGGGGACACAGCCAAACCGTATCAGGTGTGTTTGGGGTACTATCGGAGATCAGATCAGGACCACAAAACCTGGATAGGCTGGGGAACAGGAGAAATCAGGAAATGTTTCCTGGCAGAAATAATGGCTAAGTCAAATCTTGAAGAAGGGATAGGATTTTGCCAGACCAAGAAAGACAAGGAAAGAAGGGGCGGGGCGGGGTGGGAGTGGGGGGGTGGTGCAGTATACAAAACAGAGGGGACGTGTTATAAGGCAGAGAGGTATGAGAGAAATAGAACATTCAGAAACTGTCCTTCTTAATATTTTTGCCATATTTGATTTGGATCTTTTTTTTTTTAGGAAAAAGCTGCTGATGGCTACAAATGTGTCTGTTATGTTATTCTCTATACTTGTTATTTCAAAAATATTTTATAAAAATTTGTGAGTGAATAAATGAGAGGGGAGAAAGGAAGGCAATGAGTATGAATCATCATTCTGATTTTAAGCATAATAAAAGCAGGAGGTGACTTCCACAGTCAAATACATTTGGGAAATAATAGAAAATTAAATAGTGTTCATTATTGTGAGAATTCCCAGAACCCTTAATATTCCCATGTTGATTGTTACTGTCCAAGATGGGGCCACTGTCTAGCGCACTTCCTAGGATAGATTTGTCCATAGGCCCCTCTTTTATGTAACCATCTGCCGAACTGAGGCCTTGGAAAGGCTTGATGTAGACCGCTCTTTCAGAAAACTTGACCGAGAAGGGAAGTACGCTTCTAGGGTAGCATCAGAGCAGAACATGGGGAAAGGGAGACATTTCACAAGAAGGGAGAGTCAAGATCATGTGTATTTATTTGCCAAGGGCAAAAAGCAGTAGTGAGGAAAAGCAAACAAAAACCAGTTGAAGACACAGCAACAGAGGAGAATGATTGACAAAGTAAGCAAGGTGCTTGAGGTTACAAAAGGGATCAGCTATTAAAGGACTTCTGCTAGTGTCTACTTGTCATCTTCAAGATGGCACAATTTTTACAGTACCATGTATCTGTGTTGCAGGAGAAGGTAGGCCTCTCAATCAGAGACTTAGCCTATAAACCAGCATCTACATAGTGAATCTAGGTATCCCTCAGTGTTCTTCTATTTATAAGGAACAGAAAACCCAACTTAAATTGACTTACGTAAAAAGAGTTTGTTGGTTGGTGTAATTGAAAAGTACATGGTTAACTAGCTTCAGGCATAGCTTGATCCAGGTATTAACTATGTCACCAAGATCCATCTCACTGCTCATAAGCCCTCTCAGTTGGCTCTATTCTTATGTTCCTCATGGCTCCTGGAAACTTTAGCCTCTTTCCTTCTGGTTGCAGGATGGTTGTAGCTCCATAGACATCACATCTGCCCTCACACTGCAACTCCTATGAAGAGGAAACACCTTATTTCTCAGGAGCCCCACCCTCTTACTATTAGTCTGATTGAATTATATGTCCATCCTTGAACCAATTCTTATGACCAGGAATAAGGCATAGTCCCCATGTATGTAACTTCTTTCTCCTGAGTTGTACAAATTATCAAAGGAAAACCAAGAGGATTATATCTCAAGAGTGGATTATGTTAAGAAAGTAACCCTTTCCCTCCAAAAAAGGAAACTTCCATAACAGAACCCTTAGATTTTTACCCAGTGTGATTTTAAACTCTAAATGCTGGAATGTTTAGGGTCCCAGGTCTGACAGCATGAATTAGATCCCTCCATGTGGAGCACCCAAGTAAGTGAAGGGTGTTGACAGCCATCATGGGGAATGCTGATGCTTACTGAAGAAGCCATGCAATAAATCCTCTTTAGAAATAAACAAAAAGCAGCTTTTGAGAACCCGGCTTTTACCCAAGACCAAAACCTGTCAGCCACAGGCAGAAGTCATTAGGCAGGATTTATATGTGCTGGTATCCAACACTGAGTCAAAAGGAGATCCGTAGAGGGGATTTCTCTCTTCCGGAAACCCAGCAGAGGAACGGGGAAGACTTTCCGGGTAAAGTTTCAGAGAACCTAATGCATAAATCCCCTTAACAAACACTGGGATTTGGGTTTGTAACTCATCTCTCCCAGCTTAGGTCCTGTGGAGACAAGCTGTCATAGGGCTGACACAACCAAATCAAGAAAGGAAAGAGTAGAATTTATAGTGAAAATCAGGAAGCTACTTAAAATGGTGGGTTTCTCAGAATGTGGTACTGCACATTTTTTGCTTGGTAGTCCCTGAACAGTTATTAAAGACCCCATGGAAGCAGATGGATGCTGGCCAGTAGGCATTGTCCCCTTTTATATTTATAACTTCACTGACCTTCATTTTACCTCTAATAGAGATTGTACCATTAATTGGCTGGATTCTCCCAAGCTCTGTGGCAAGTAAGAATGGAAAAGTGGATTTTCTCCGTACTCCATTGCAGAGGATATCATTAATTTGCTAGGTTTCGTTCCCACAGGGAAATGTTAAAAACCAGTACAGTTGGTTCTTCGCCACTCTGGATTGACAGACATTCTTTGTGTAGGTGCCTCTGGCTTTGAGAAACGAGGCCAGAGTCTATATGCAGACAGTGAGCAGTGATCTTCCGTTTCCTACTTGTTGCAGTAGACATAAAATCAGGGCAAATGGTGAGTTCCAGAGGAAAGGATCCAGCATGCAGCCTGCTGAATAAGAGAACAGGAATGATCTCGAATGATGATAAATGTTTATACTCTATTAGAGCTTTGGCCATGGGTTTGGCCACCATTCAATTGCCTCTACAGCTGATTTTTTATGTGGCTTTTCTTTTCTTTCTCCTGTTTGGTTGCAAACTTATTTTGACTGAGGATTTACTTGTCACCTCATGTTGACATTTCAAGTTATTGCATTGAGAAAAACATAGGAGAAAGCAAACAAGCAAGTATATTCCAACGGTCAACAGGCACAGAAGTCATACTCACATTTCAAAGAAAAACAGGAGAGTTGAAATAGAGAATGGAGAACAGATGTATTTATGAGGGGGGAAATCTTCTTGGCATTTGAGCTCAAGTCAGATTCTGGATTCTGGATAGTTTTCTCAGCTAATGGTGATTCCTAGGACTGCTAAGCGGGGGACATTCTGGTCTAACCGAAGTTGCCATGTAATTCTGTGGAATCATACTAACATTTTGATTTCTCTGATTATAAGTGACTGCAGCAACAAAGAGAGTAACTCTGTTGTAAGAACTGTTTCCACAGTGTCTCTAGGGACAGTTTTGCTTTAGTCTGTAAATTCTCCAAAGGCAAGCTGAGACTATGTAAATTAAAGAAATAGAGCCAGTGACAACCAACCCTGTGGTTTTATTTGATTTTCCAAAACACATGTCCATCGGTATGTCTCAGACAACACGATATGATTAAAGCACGGTAATAATCACCCATATATTGCATTTTAATTGGTATAATGTATGATGAATAGTGAAGTTGGAACCATGGGGCATACTTTCACATTTAAGGTATTTCTTTGATTTATCAGAATTTCTAAGAACATAAAATAGAAGTCAGAAAGTCTGTTTTCTGAGCTGGGACCTGCCATTCATCAGCTGTGTGATCTTGGGTATGTTACTTTATTTCTCTGGGCCCCATTTTCCCCAGCTATAAAATGAGGGGTTTAAACTAGATGAGCTCTAAAGAGCTTTTCACTTCGGAGTTTGGCTATTCCAAGACCTTTTCTAGTCTTGTGAATTTAATTACTGAATTCTGGGATCTTAAGTCTCTTTATCAGTTGAGTCTCCTCCTTTGTGGTCTTACAGCAAAGATGACTGTTGGCCAAACTTTGGATTTCTGAGACTGATTTCAGTGAATTGCATTATACATATTTTTAACTAGCTTATATTAAATGAGAGAAAGTGCAAGGAAGGAATTGCAACCACAATTTAAATAGTTTTTTCCGTGCCATTCTATTCCGTGAGCACCTGCCTTGGAGTAGGTGTGAAACGGGAGTCAGGAAGTCTGTGCATGCCTCTCAGAGGGTGGTATCTTCGTCTTCTGAGTATGATTCCGTACCATGAATATGTTGGTTGTGGATTTTTCTTTTCTGTACAACATGAGGCCCCTAAACATAAGGAAACTACTTCCTTTGGTGCTTAACCTAAGAAGCATCTATTCTAATGATGGAGGAAAACCTAGCTGTATTACACATACTGAAAGTGATATAGTGGGTTACAAAGTGACAGGTAAATATTTGTGTTCCATTTAAGTGGTTTGTGAGTATAATTTTGATTTTTCCTAACTGTTGCTTTCTCTAATGATTTTAGAACCGGATAACCCCTCCCCTTTCCCCTACTCTCCAAGCATAGGATAGAGCTCATCTATAAAATTCATTGGATTTTGTGTTTTTGCTCTTCTAGTTGGTCTCTGAAATGGTCAGAATGGAGTTGGAAATGGGACAGCCTATTAGTCCAATCTACTTCTAAGGCTCCTGAACAGCCTCACAAGACTCCATGCATCCCAGCATCCCTTGGGACCTGGGTGATTAGTTTGTGATCAACAGATTGTACTCTCAGAAAACGTGCAAGCCACCAGCCTCTCGTTCAAACTGTTTATAGGCCCCAGAAGGGGCTTCCTTTGGGCCAGATGATTAGTCACATTTTGTTTCAAACACCCGAGGAAAGGTACAGCAGCTTTCTACTTGAATGCATGCTTTTACCACCTAAAGGCAATTGGTTGGGAGAAGATTTGGGAGAAGACATTGACAGTGTCCAGCAGTCCTTTTATCTGTTATAAAGCTAAATGCATGTTTATCAAGTTTTCAGCAAAGATATATGTTCCACTTTAGCCTCCTTATTCTTATTTTCCACTTAGAGGTAGAGACTGGGTCTCACCATGTTGCCCAGGCTGGTCTTCAACTCCTGGGCTCAGGCTCAAGTGATCCTCCGACCTCGGCCTCCTGAAGTGCTGGGATTACAGGCATGAGCCACTGTGTCTGGCCACAATACACACTTGACTGTCATTTATAAACTCAAATGACTCAGCTATCAAGATGCCAAATTGGATTTTAGAGAGCCTCCTCCTAGGCACCTGATACTTTCATGCTTGGCTTATTGTACGAGGTAACTCCACTTTCTGTTCATCTCAAAAGTGTTGGGAAGTGTTTGCAGGTTACCTTCCTAGCACCTGCCCAACCTTCTAGAGAAGTGGAGAAACCTGTGAGGAAAGCAGCACAGGCGTTGCCACTTAGGGACAGTTTCATGGAAAGAGATCTCTACTTCTTGATGTCACATTACCCTTTAGAATTCCAGAATCACTTCAGATCTTCAAAGCTTTTAATAAGCAGCGATGGCCTTTTACAATTATTTTTTAAAGCAGCAATACTTAAAATTTTATTAAGTGCTGTCGTAGAAACTTGTGTCTACAAAAGACAGATAAAAACAAGTGTTGATGAGGATAGAGAAAAATTGGAGCCCTCATACATTACTAGTGAGGATGTAAAATAGTGCAGCCACTCTGGAAAATAGTGTAGAAGACCCTTTTTAAAAGTTAAATATAGAATTACCCTAAAAAGCACAGGCTTTTGTTGACTTTCCCTGGGGGTCAGGTGGGCTCACCTTGGTGCATCCTCCCCTGGGGGGCTCTGGTGTGGGAAGCCAGCTTTCCTACCATTCTGCATGCAGCCTTGTACTGGGTCCTTGGGGAAAGAGAAAGACTGTGAAATAGATGTTTCCCTTTTCCCAGAAATACCAACCCAAGATCCCCAGCAGTGACCCCTTATGGAATTCTGGGAAGAACTAAAGAGATAACAGTATTCTTTCCTGCCTTTTATCAACTCTGGATGGCAGGAGGGACTCTGGGGCTTGGGACTGGCTGCCCTCAGGAGTTCATGGCCTAGTACTGATGCCAAGGGGCAGAAATTTGTGAGAAAGAAGGCCTCCTCCAGGAGCTGTTGGTATGAGCCCCTAATGGGATCATGATATCCTACATATGCAACTATGGGAAGAAGAAAGGATCTAGCCAACATCTGTTATTATATTTTAAAAAGTAATTTAATTTGTTTACATTACTTGTCATTATTGTCACCCACTTATATTTGATTATTCTTTAAGCACATATAGAAAGATGAGGTTTATGTTGATTTTTCTGGTATTACATTTCCCTAGGCTACATCTCCATATAGAGCTTTCCTTTTTTAAAATCTGTTCTTTATTTTTTATAGAGACAGGGTCTTGCTATGTTGCCCAAGCCAGTCTCAAACTTCTGGCCTCAAGTGATCCTCCAGCCTCAGCCTCCAAAAGCTCTGGAATTACAGGCAAGAGCCACTGTGCCCAACCTCCCCATATAGAATTTTCTATAGCAATCTTGTCCTAGGAAATATCATAGAAATAGTTTAGGTTTTAAAAAGAAGGGCTGTATGTCATCTAAACTCTTATTTAACCTATGGTTGACAGCCTTGCTATTAAAAAAAGATCTTAAGTTGTTTTACATTTTATAGTCTTTTTAAAAAAAGATGATGAGACATCTCTTTAGTGGTTGCCATGTTTAATATTGTTACTTTCTAAGAACAAATATAATTTTTGTGAGAACATTATATTACTCTGAAACAGAGAACAGTACTCTCTGTCCTTTTAGTCCCTCAATTTTTGATAAGGTAAAATAAGATTATCTTATATGACTAGTGTATACTACCTTATATTTGTATGACACTCCATGTTTTTCAATGACTTTCTTCCAGAGTTTTTGTTGAAACACAAAAGGATTTGTACCCAAACTGACTTTACTTTCAATTCTGGATAATAGATAATTATTATTGCATTACAACTTTTAAAAATAATTAAGAAATCAGCTTAGAAAATGCTTGATGATTTTTACTTAGCATGGTACGTCTTTAGGGAAAAGACCGTATTATGAATTTAGCAAGCAAGTTGAGCATGGTGACATCCGCCTGTAATCCCAGCTACTTGAGAGGCGGAGGGGGGAGGATCACTTGGGCCTGGGAGTTCCAGACTACAGTGAGTTATGAAGGGACCCACTGCACTGCAGCCTGGGCAACAGAGCAAGACCCTGCAAATAAATAAATAAATAAATAAATAAATAAATGTCGTGGTTTTTTTTTAATTTAGCAAGTAAAGTAGCAGAATATCCTATGTTGGATTAGTCAGTGGAAAAAAATATCTTTCAAATCGCATTTGATGTTTGCTCACCATTATTATGAACTAAGCTACTCCATGGAACTAGAGCATAGCTGTCAAGTAATTATGAAGCGCCCATGCTAGGGACCGCATGCCATTTAATGAGTTTACATCAGTAAAAAGAGAGGACAGATTCAAAAATGGGACATGTCACACATACATGTGAGAATTTTCCCATAGGCCAAAGGGCCTCTTTCTTGGTTTTGATATCAGGCACCAACTCTAATAGGATGAAGCTATCTGTGTAGCTTGATGAAGTAGAAATTCATTGGAGTGGCCGGGCACAGTGGCTCACACCTGTAATCCCAGTACTTTGGGAGGCTGAGGCGAGCGGATCATGAGGTGAGGAGATCAAGACCATCCTGGCTAGTACAGTGAAACCCCATCTCTACTAAAAATACAAAAAATTAGCCGGGCATGGTGGCAGGTGCCTGTAGTCGCAGCTACTTGGGAGGCTGAGGCAGGAGAATGGTGTGAACCTGGGAGGCAGAGCTCACAGTGAGCCGAGATCGCGCCACGGCACTCCAGCCTGGGCCACAGAGCGAGGCTCCGTCTAAAAAAAAAAAAAAAAAAAAAGAAACAAATTCATTGGAGTACCTTAGCATTATGGGATATCTCTAGGCAGCGCCAGGTTTCTTGTCTTCATAGCTAAGATAGATGTTAAAGGAAGGGGAACCTTTTTCTATCCCATTTTTCTAGTGGCCTTTATAGGACTTGGCTTAATATTTTTATTTTATTTTATATTATTAAATTAATATATTTTTATTTTATAAAATAAAAATATTAAGCCAAGTCCTATGAAGGCCAGCAGATTTTATTTTATATATATAAATTTTTTAAAATATGAAATAAATATATAATACATATATAAATATATTTTTAAAATATGTAATATACATATATGTATGTGTACACACAGTGTGTGTACACTTGTTATATTATTACTTATCCTAGTATATTAATGGCTATATAACATAGCTGTGTCCCAAATACATGTAATACATATTACTTTTCATCTCATTTAAACCTCACGAGAGTTCTTTGGTGAAGATATGATTACCATTTTACAGATGAGAAAACCTGAGAAGAATAGAAGTTAAGTAGCATGCCAAGCTTACCCAACTAGCTCTCATTCATTCATTCATGATTCATGAAGTATTTATCAAACAACTACTATATACTGTCATTAAAGATACAAAAAGGATCAAACATAATCCTTGCCTTCAAAGAAGCCACAGTCTAAGGTTAACAAGTGGACTGGAGCGGAATTTGGTTTTATCATTTCAAAGGCAAAGGAACCCAGATTGGAGAGTTTTCTGGCAACTGCCTTAGGACTTTTTGGCCAAGATTAATGTAATATATAAAGGTAAGCATCAATGTGTTGGTGGGAAGAAGTATCCTAGAAATGTTTTTTGTTTTTTACTGTATCTAGGACTCTTATGAACTACTAATTCATTATTAAGTTATTTGATGACACAGATTATTGTTCAAGAATTTCCTCCCAGAGCAATTGATAAATATCAAATAATTTTTATGATGAGCAGTTCCAGAAAGGGTTAAAGTTAGCTTCTCTGGGACATATGATGGGAAAGTAGCTGAACATGATTTCAAAGGGATTTTTTAGGAGAAAATTCCAATTAACAGAGAAGTAATTTCCCTTTCTAGCTTACTAAGCCCTATTTCAGACTAATGCAGTTTCAAGATCATCTCCCTTCTCCCCTTATTTCAACAGATATTTTGAATATGAAAATCTTATGTCAAAACTTAGCTGAAGCCTTCATCAGGCTTTTGAAAGGCTAAGTAAGAATTCTGTTTCTAGGAATAAAAAGATTTGGATCAGAAAGATTCTTTGCTGGCTAGAGTTCCTTTTCGGATGGTAGTTCAAGCAGTCTTTAATCATATTTTTGTTGATTATTTATTAGTTTCCCTGGGAAATCAAAGACTCAGTAACGTAAAATGTGTTTTCCTTAAGATATTTTATGAATCAGAACCCACAGTAAAGAAATAATGGGAAATACATTTCCTTTGCTGATATGGACTAATTGAGAATTAAAATCCCTTTCTCTAGTCATTATCCCACATGGAAATGCTGAATGACCCAACTGGCCCAATTGCACCAACCACAGTTTCTGCCTAGACAAAACTCTTATGCCACTAGTAGATAAAGAGAGAGCTTTCTCAGTAAATCAAAACTGCAGAGAACTAGAACTAATTTAAGTGAAAGGATAGGCTCCAAGCCCGCTGTTTGGGTAAACCCACACTGAACCAAGTGAGCGATTGATGAAACTTAATATATGTGTATTCCAGTCATCAGCCTGGAGTATGTGTAATGCAAGCCCATGGTGTTTGTCACTGTGAGAAATGGAAAGGCAGACCTTCATTCTCAACTGTGTGGGGCTGCTAGCCTGTGGCAGCTTTGGTCAACATCGGGCTTGCTTTTGGGTGAGCCAGACTTTGGCTGGTTTCCTGATGGAGGTTAGGGGAATTGTGAAATGTGTCTCCTTACACAGATCGTCCTGATCAAATGAAATAAAAAGGTATTTTAAAAATAATTTGCTTAGTGAAATACAAAGGAAATAGGATGCATTTCATACTATTAAGGCCGATATGGTTTTGGGGGATACGAGGTGTACATACGTGAAAAATTTGAAAACAATTCAGAGTGAAAAAGAATGGTCGTATAACCTAATGTAAATGACGAGTTAATGGGTGCGGCACACCAGCATGGCACATGTATACATATGTAACAAACCTGCACATTGTGTACATGTACCCTAAAACTTAAAGTATAATTTAAAAAATAAAAGAAAAAACAAAAAAGAATGGTCGTGTAGTAGAGACAGTGGTGAAGAGCAGGACTCTGGAGCCAGGTGTTCTGAGTTCAGAGCCCACTCTGCCACTTACTAGATCTGAGACCTGGAGGAAGTTATTTGCCCTTTCCCTGTTTGGCTCTTTTGTAAAATGGAAATATAAGAGTACCCACCTCCTAAGGTGGGCTTATGAATTAATAGATATAAAGGTATGTAAAATTATTGCTATCATTAGTTACTGTTATTAATAGATCAGAAGTCACAAGCTCCAATGCCTGCAGTGCCCATGCATACCAAAACAGGGATCACTGGCAACAGAGACATGGCCCCAGTGGCGTGGAGATAAAAGAAAGTGGTAGGGACAGTGGCAGACAGCCATCACCCTACTCCCCATTGATTGTGACCCTAAGGGAATGCTGGTCCTGTGTCGCCAGAGCTTCTGGTATTGCCAAAGAAGCTTGAAATCTGGACTTGGTCAAAAAATCTCTCAACTTGTAAAGGTGGTTGCTTTATTTTAAATTACTCTACAAGCCAAATAAAACACTGTCTCCAGGCTATTGGCCACCAGTGAATGACCTCTTTGGACTAACAATTAAACTCAGCTATGGAAATTCATCTGATTACTTTATTGTCACACTGTGAAACAGGGATTCATTGTCATTCCAGAAACAGCCATTGAGTCCCTGCTTGTGTCCACCCCTGTGCTGGTGCAAAGGATGTGCCCAAGAATCAGGCAGACAATCCAAAGAAGCCACCTGCTCCTTTACAAGTTGTTGACAATTAAGAAACACCTAGCACTTAATAGATTCTCCATAAATGTAGGTTCCAACTCCTTCCATTACCTTTGATACGTCTAGACCTGATCCAGTGAGTATTTGAGGGCCAATCTCAGTTTCTAAGTAGGAATAGTGATATTGTTGAAAACTAATGAACCCACCGACAACATCACAGAAATACTCCTATACTTCTTCAATGTGAGTTTCCTGCTTTTTGTGTCATTTATCATCCCCTTTTATTTGATGTCTCTACTCAGGACTTAGGACTCGGGCTGTGATATTGTGTATGTTACCTCACAATTTTTTTTCTGTTTTTTTTTTCTTTAAGTGTATAAGCTTCGTTTATACTTCCAAAGGATCTTCAATGGAACTCTACTTCTGTGAGCTAAACCAGTGTCATACTGCAATGAAAACTGCAGGTGATAAACATTGTCTAAATAAAATTTCCAAAAAGTATTTGACCAAGAAATACCTTCCCCCTGCATTCCCCACTTAATGCATCTTAATATGCCAAGTTACTGATATTGTTTGACCTATTTGGGGAAATGCTGGCTTGCCAAATTATTGCCCTTGTTAGGAACTACAGTTTCTTGTAATTTCTTACCCACTCCGGCATCCACACAGGTATCTTCCAAAGCTCAGACTTTATTTTCAAGAGGTCTATCTGAGACCAGTCTGGGTAACCAAGTGAGACCCTGTCTCCACAAATAATAATAATAATAATAATAATAATAATAATAATAATAATAATAATAATAATAAATTAGCTGGATGTGGTGGCATGTGCCTGTAGTCCCAGCTACTTGGGAGGCTGAGGTAGGAGGTTTGTTTGGTCTCAGGAGTTCGAGGTTGCAGTGAGCTATGATCATGCCTTTGCACTCCAGCCTGAGTGACAGAAAAAGACCCTGTCCCCCCCCCAAAAAAAAAGTCTAGCAACTTGAGTGTGGCAGTGGCCAACTTGATGGTAACTAACAATGGGATTGCAAACTCTTTGAGGAAAGGAACTGTCATCCTGAACTCGGCATAGCACCAAGCACTGGGTTGTTACATGGTGGGTGTTAAGCAAATGCCATGGAATGCAACAGACCCCTTTTTCTGCTGCTGTAAACTGTGGTGTTTGAACCTAGTAGTGAATGGCCCAAGGAAAAAAATACTGCAGGAAATATAGTAATAGATGAATTTGGATAAAGGGTATATGAGTGTTTTGGAGTATTATTCTTACAACTTCTCTGCAAGTTTAAAATGATAATCTAAATTTTAAAAACTTATTTTCCGTTCATCAAACTACTCTTAAAATGTGTAAAACTATACCTGAATTTAAAAGCAACAAAACTCATATTGCAAGTCTTGGCAAACTGAGAGATAGGAGCAGAAAACAATGGTGGATGCCTATAAACGGATCAAGAAAAGGGAGTGAGAATTTACTGGAAAGAAGGACAAATGAGCATCGAATTCAGCAGGTTTGGGTTTTTCCAGAGATCAGTGCCTGATACTGGTTCCCAGATGATATCTCCCAAGAGCCCGGTTCCCAGGGTGTGTTCCAGCCTCTGTCCGCCAGGCTTCCCACCAAGTCTTGTGCCAATAGTAGTTGCCAGCACATTCTGCCTCACAAGTTGCTGGCTCCACCACTACTACCCTATCCCACCTACGTCCAAGATACGCATCTGGCTTTTCTGCTTTGAATTCAGCAAGTCATCTCCTTTCCTGTCATGTAACTCCCTCTGTGACTCGGCCTACCCAGCCACACTCCTCAGTGCTTTGTGGCAAAACTCAACCTGACCCCCCTTCAGAGAAAGAGAAATAAGTGTCGGGGTTGAAGGTTCAGCTGTAAAGTGATGTTTCCCATACTCATAAACTTACATAGCAATGAGGAACTGGAGTCTATTTTTGACTGTTGTAGTGACCTTTGTGCATACCCTAAAAGACAGAGGAACATTGAGCTAATGTAGCCATCCCATGAAGCCTCAGTAGCTCTAATAGGTCCTTTTAGTTGTTGCTAGGGTGCCAGTTCTTGCACTTTAATACAATTCTTGGCTGGGCACCATGGCTCACGACTGTAATCCCAGCACTTTGGGAGGCCAAGGCAGGAGGATCACTGGAGGCCAGGAGTTCAAGACCACCCTGGGCAACATAGCAAGACCTCATCTCTGCAAGGTAAAAAAATTAACTGAGTGTGGTGGTTCATGCCTATAATCCCAGCTACTCAGGCGATGGGAGGATCCCTTAAGCCCAGGAGTTGGAGACTGCAGTTAGCCAAGATTGCGCCACTACCCTCCAGCCTGGGTGACAGAGCAAGACTCTGCCTCAAAAACCGACCAGCCAAACAAACAAACAAAAAATGCAATTTCTCCCATCCTAACTCTTCATATTAGTAAATCTTCAATAAAATGTATATGGGAAATCAATATGGCACCCTCAAACCTAGTTGTAATAGTCAGGAGAAGACCATTCTAGCCTTTAAAATCAGTCCTGTTAAAAAAAAAATCAGTCCTATTGACATCAACGTTTTTACCTCCAGTTCCTCTCCACCCTTCTCTACCTCCTGATTTCATGTAGGCGAGCAATTTAGGACAATGAGAGTCACAGGATTTTAAATAACTTAATTCCTAGGTGTGTTTGGTACGGAAACAAAGATAACCCTGTTCAACAGTGAATTTGTGCCCCTGGGTGAACGGCCAGGTGTTCTTTCAACTGAACTGTGAGACTAATTTCTTCCTGGCCTCTGGAAACCAGCTGAAGCAGTGGGCCAGCTGGTCTATCTTCAATCTTGCATACCAACATCTTTCTCTGATTCACAGATTTCCTTTATCCCCAGCACTTCCTCTGGTATGTGCATCCCCGAAAGTAAGTGATATCTATTATTGGATTTGGGCGTTTTAAAATCATTAGCCTTCTGGAGGGGAGGGGAGAGGAAGGAGGCTGGATGGTTACATTAGAATATTTCCAGAGGGAACCTCACTTTAATCTCATCCACCTCTGACTTCTGCACCCCAGATAACCCCCATATTTGGGAGGGATGACATCACAGTAACTGACAATGGAATTATCACCATTGCTCTTTTTAATATTTAAATGATACACAGACTCAGAGAAAACAAAATGAGTTTACATATAGTCATAATATCCATAACTAGAGATATAAAACAAAAAGCTATGGAGATTCTTATCTAGTGAAGAAATCTCTTTTAGAAAGTTTCTGATGACTTTCAGTTGCAAAGCATAGCTCTTTCACAATATATCAACCCACTTTCAATGATTTGAGATTTGGAGAGGGCCCAGCCATAGATTTACCTGGTGAGTCACAGAGTAGAACTTGATATGAGAAAGCAGGACCCTATATCTATCAGCCTAATGGTTCTCAGAATACCAGGTCATATCCATCATTTCTTTTCCCAAATAGCTGTAACAGGCATACCTCGTTTTACTGGGCTTCACTTTCTTGTGTTTTGGAGATGGTATGTCTTTACAAACTGAAAGTTTGTAGAAACCTGCATTGAGTAAGTCTACCAGTGCCATTTTTTCAACAACATGTGCTCACTTCGTGTCTCTGTCACATTTTAGTAATTCTTGCAATCTTTCAAAAGTATTTATTAAGATAAAAAACAAAAGAAACGATATAAAAATAAAGAGAAAAAGGAAGAAAATTTGTTATTATTATACCTGTCATAGTGACCTGTGATCCGTGATCTTTCATATTACTATTGTAATTGTTTTGGGGCACAATGACCCTCATCCATATAAGATGGTGAACATAATAAATGTTGTGTGTGTTCTGAGTGATCCACCAACCTGCCATTCCTTCATCTCTCTCCCTCTCCTCAGGCTTCCCTATTCCTTGAGACACAACAGTATTGAAATTAATTAATAAAGTTATAGCGTCCTCCAAGTGTTCAAGTGAAAGGAAGAGTTGCACATCTCTCACTGTAATTCAAAAGCTAGAAATGATTAAGCTTAGTGAGGAAGGCATATCAAAAGCAAAGACAGTCTGAAAACCAAGACTTTTGTGCCAAATAGCCAAGTTGTGAATGCAGAGAGAAAGATCCTGCACCAAATTAAAATGTGACTCCAGTGAACACATGAATGATAAGAAAGGGAAAAACAGCCTTGCTGATACGGAGAGAGTTTGAGTGGTCTGGATAGAAGATCAAACCAGCCACAACATTCCCTAATGTTTGTAAGCCAAAGCCTAATCCAGAGCAAAGCCCTAAATCTTCAATTCTATGAAGGCTGAGAGAAGTGAGAAACTGCAGAAGAAAAGTTGAAAGGTAGCAGAGGATGGTTCATGAGATTTAAGAAAAGAAACTGTCTCCATAACATAAGTGCAAGATGAAGCAGCAAGTGCTGATACAGAGGCTGCAGCAAGCTATCCAGAAGATCTAGCTAAGGTCATTGATGAAATGGTTGCACCAAACAGCAGATTTTCAATGTAGACAACCTTCTATTGGAAGAAGATGCCATGTAGCATTTTTATAGCTAGAGGAGAAGTCAATGCCTGACCTCAAAGCTTCACAGGACAGGCTTACTCTCTTTTTAGGGGCTAATATAGCTGGTAACTTTAAGTCGAAGCTATTGCTCATTTACCGTTCTGAAAATCCTAGGGCACTTAAGAATTATGCTAAATCTATTCTGCCTGTGCTCTATAAATGGAACAACAAAGCCTGAATGATAGCACATCTGTTTATAGTATGGTTTACTGAATATTTTAAGCCCATTGTTGAGACCTCCTTCTCAGAAAAAAAAAAAAAGATTCCTTTCAAAATATCAGTGCTCATTGACAATGCATGTGGTCACCCAAGAGCTCTGATGGAGATAAATGAGATTAATGTTGTTTTCATGCCTGCTAACACAACACCCATTCTACAGCCCATGGGTCAAGGAGTAATTTCTGCTGTTAAGCCCTATTATTTAAGAAACACATTTTGTAAAGCTATAGCTGGCATTCCTCTGATAAATCTGGGAAGGATAATTGAAAACCTTCTGGGAAGGATTCACCATTCTAGACACTGTTAAGAAAATTCATGATTCATGGGAGGAAGTCAAAATATCAGCATTAACAGGAGTTTGGGAGAAGTTGATTCCAACCCTCACGGATGACTTTGAGGGGCTTAAGACTTCAGTGGAGGAAGTTACTGCAGATGCGGTGGAAATAGCAAAAGAACTAGACTCGTAAATGGAGCCTGAAGATGTGATTGAATTGCATAATCTCATGATCAAACTTAACAGATAAGTAGTTGCTTCTTATGGATCAGCAAAGTGTTTTTTTTTTTTTTTGAGATAGAATCTACTCTTGGTGAAGATACTGTGAACAATGTTGGAATAATAACAAAGGATGTTGAATCTTACATAAACCGAGTTGATGAAGCAGTAGCAAGGTTTGAGAGGATTGACTCCAATTTTGCAAGAAGTAAAATTGTGAGTAAAATGCTATCAAACAGCATTGCATGCTACAGAGAAATCTGTCATGAAAGGAAGAGTCAACTGTTGCAGCCACCTTCATTGTCTTATTTTAAGAAATTGCCACAACCAGCCCAGCCTTCAACAACCACCACCCCAATCCATCAGCAGCCATCACTGTTAAGGCAAAACAATTGTGACTTGCTAAAGGCTCAGATAATTGTTAGCATTTTTTAGCAATCGAGTATTTTTAAGTATGTACATCGTTTTTTACACTATATTGTAGTCTGCTATGCATGCAATAGCATTATGTCTAAAAAACATAATTTTTATATGCACTGGGAAGCCAAAAAATTCACGTGAGCTACTTTATTGCTATATTTATTGTGGTGGTCTGGAACTGAACCTGCAATATTGTCAATGTGTGCCTGTATAAGATTCTCCATGCACTAAAAAGGACATTTGAAAGTCATGAGTAAGTTGTAGAGGAACTCTGGTGACTTGAAGCTTGTTTACTTTTAGCAGTGTGTACCTGTTGACACTTCTAGTATAATTTATATTCTTTCTCTCATGAGTATTTTACAGGAAATGCGTTTTCCTTTGCTAGTGATATATGCACTTTGGTTTTCAGGAAGCTGTGGTGCTTTGGTTGAAGCTCTCTGTCTGTTTTAGAGAAAAGACTTACAATGACCTCCTGATATAGTTTGGATATTTGTCTGCTCCAAATCTCATATTGAAATTTGATCCCCAATTTTAGAGGTAGGATATAGTGAGAGGTGTGTGGGTTATGGAGGCAGATCCCTCATGGACAACTTGGTTCTGTCCTCTGGGTAATGAGTGACTTCTCACTCTATTAGTTTTTGTGAGAGCTGACTTTTGAAAAGAGCCTGGCACCTTCCTCCCCTCTCTCTCTCTTGCTTCCTTTCTCTCTCTCCGTGTGATGCCTGCTTCTCTTTGCCTTCCACCATGAGTGGAAGCTTCCTGAGGCCCTCAGCAGAAGCTGATGCTGGTGTCCTGTTTCTTGTACAGCTTGTAGAACTGTGAGCCAAATAAACTTCTTTTTTTATAAATTACCCAGCCTCGGGTGTTCCTTCATAGCAAGGCAGACAGTCTAGGACACCCCCCAAATGTGAGCTGCACCATAAGGCAAACTGGGAAACCTCCTTTAGTTTTGCATATGTGAGAATTTTGATTGACTGAACCAAGGAATCACCCTCCTAACTCCACTGCAGAAGGCCATTCTCATGTCATTTGCACACGTTTAGCTTGCCTGAAGTGTGTTCTATAAAATGCACCCAGATTTTCAGGCATTTAAAATTATTATTATTTTAAATCTCCTACTTTCTCTCTCTCTCTCTTTTTTTTTTTTTTTTTTTTTTTGAGATGGGGTCTTGCCCTGTCATCCAGTCTGGAGTGCAGTAGTGCAATCACAGCTCGCTTCAGCCTCCAACTCCTAGCCCCAAGCAATCCTCCTGCCTCAGCCTCTCAAGTAGCTAGGACTATAGGTACACACCACTGCACCTGGCTAATTAAATTTTTTTTTTCTTTTTAGAGACATGGTCTCACTCTAGGTCTTGCCTAGGCTGTTCTCAAACTCCTGGCCTCAAAAGATCCTCCTGCCTCAGCTTCCTAAAGTGCTGGGATTGCAGGCATGAGCCACCATGCCCAGTTGCATGTTTTAATGGAGAGAGATGTCCTGGGCATTTGAACTGCAGATTCCCTTAAACTGGACATTGTCAGCTATTTATGTATTACAAAAACAATTGTGTTTCATGTAAAGTATTAAACATCAACATTACGTCACCACAAGGGTGATTACAGCAACCTTCACTCCTAAGTGTGCGTCACCTACACAAACAGAGTTGTTTGTCTGCAGCATTGTTTTCATTTGGTAACAATTGTAAGAGTTGAAGTAGCACCTTAAGGAGTAATTTTCAGAGGTGAAGCAATCAGTTTTCAAAAGTGAACTCCTTATAGTTAATAACTAACCAATAAAAAAATAAAGCTATCTCCATGGCACAAATGCCCATGGCACAAATGCCCATGGCAAAAGGAAATAAGACGAGTCGTTTTAAAAGGTAGCTTTGAAAAACAAAAAAGGATTTAAAATTCAAAGACTTTGGGAAAATTCAACTTAACCAATAACATGAGTAACGACTATTACTATTTCCTGAGTCCTTACCATATGCCAAATACCGTTGTACATTGTACCTGCTTCACATAAATTATTTCATCTCATTCTCACAACATTCTGTGAAGCGCGGGTACTTTATTATCTATCCCTGTTTGCCAGATAAGGAAGCTGAGACTTCATACAGTGACTTACAAGTTCGGACAGCCTCCAGCAAACACAGGAAACAGGATTCGAACCCATGCAGTCTGCCTCAGAGCCAAAGCCCTTGGCCATTTTTCTATCCTGCCTTCCACAGATCATTTCTGCCTACAGCAGAGGTCAGAAACTGACAACCGGCTGGCCTTACCTAGCCTTAGGTAACAGTAATGGCTATTGAACACTTACTATGTGTCAGGATTATTTTACACACATTCATGTGTTCCTTCATTTAATCTTCAAAGCAACTCCATGAGGTAGGTGGCAGTTATTATCCCCATTTTACAGATGAGAAAACTGAGACCAAGAGGAAGTAACACTTCCCAAATGTTAGCAGAACTAACATCCAAATCCAGACTGTCTCATTCCAGAATCCCCTCCTCTTCACCATTATGCTAAAAATACAGTTGTCTGCCAACATGACAAACCTGGATGTTTCCCCAGAAAATGAAGGCTTCTGACTTGTCATGAAAAAAAAAAAAAAAAAAAAAAACTGGAAGACTTGTCCTCTTGGACCGAGCAACAGTCACTTGTAACAATGGGCAGCTGCCCATTTTAGATGAGGTATCTCCTACCTAGTTGCTACCACCCCTCATTTAGGCTGCTTTGCTCTTTGATTGCCGGTCTGAACTTTGGGGACATTCTATTTTGCAGTCTCAGTCTAAGGTATCCTTAATACTGGATCTGCCTCACTTAACAAGCTAAATGTCTGTGTGTTTTATGTTTTTTATTGTAGCACAAGTTGTTTAATGTTCTCTAAAAAGCATTCCCCACAAATAGCAGTAAATGCCTCTTTCCTATTTTCTTCCCTGTCCCTTGCCCCGAAAGTAAGGCAGCTCTGCAGAACTAGTATTTGTGCCCAACGAAGTGGGAAGATATGAGGCTGATAGCCTTTTCTCTCTCTTCTTGGTTGGTGGCACTCTGGTAGTGCTTGGTTAGCGATAATGGAGCATCTCATGGCTTTGTTATGTGTCATAGTAGGCTATTGTGTGACATAGAGACACCTGGCTTTTGTACACGCCAGAGCAAAATTCAACTACAACATCCAGAATTGAAGAGAAGGATATTGGCAGGTACATGCCTCCTTCTCAAACCAGAGATTTATATATTTAAAAAGGGCTTTTCTAAGAACTCAATCTTGATTATTTGTTCCATGTTGGGCCAAACCAGTGCATTATTGGGAAGATAATGAGTGGCATTCACCCAAGGGTAATCCTTTCAGGGATTTTGATGATGCAGTAAATCATGAGTGTAAAGCCTGAGTGGTTTATGCCATTAAAACCTCAAGATAGAATTAGACTTGTAATCACCACTTGCCCATGTTTTGTCATTTATGATAATTATAGTAGTAATAATCCATGTATTGTTGAGAAGTAGCAGTCAGAAGCATCCATCAATTTTTTATCGACACCAAATCAAGTTGATACTTCATCTTTGCTGCAGAAATGTAGATTGAACCAATTAGTCTAAAGAAATTGGGCAGTCATTAACAATGAAGCAAGCAGTTAATCTACAGAACATTTCTGGCCCCTCTGATGCCAACAATTCCTCTTAATTATGTGGAATATCATGAGCTTCTTTGGGACTCTGTCAACAGTGCCATTGTTGGCTTACATTAGAAGGAGCATCTATGTCCCTGCTTTTATTTAAAAGAATGCAGTGCCTTCCAGCCCCCACCTTGCACTCTTAGGCGCTTCTAGGCAAATGTATTCTGAAGCAGAACACTTGAATCAAAGCACTTCGCATTTTCTTTCTTATTTAGAAATAAGAATTTTCCCCAATGGGCTTCTTTCGGTGATGGCACGTTAGCTCACCATCCCATATGTGTTAACTATTTTTGTTCACCTTACCCAAATCATGGAATAATCATCTCCTTTTAAAAAAGGAAAGAAAAGAAAAGTCAGAGTTTAAAAGAAAAATCCAACTATTTGTGAAGAAATCCTGGTGCTAATGAGCTTTCTGCATCTGCCTCAAGTCTTTTCCCCAGGCTAGCCCAGTCTCCCTCTCTAGACATTTTCAATCAGCCTCGCCCGCAAATTGTACTAAGCAGCTGAATAATGCAGGGTAGAAATTTCAAATATAAATATTATTTCCTATTTAGGAAATTTGGAAAAGAAAGCAGGAAAAAAATAACTCACCCCCTGGTCCCCCACCATGACACTACCTCTGTGAACATTTTGGTAGATATTCTTTGGGCTCTGACACGTACACACATGTTGACTTTTATCATCATCATCATCATCATCATTATTCTAGTACTCTCTTTTTCACTTTGCTAAAGTTTGAATCATCTTTTGTAATGGATGCGTAATACTCTACCAAATATAGAGTATGTATTTGTCCATGTTTTGAATTATTTCCCTAGGAGAGCTTACCCAAGGTAAAATACTTGGTCAAAATTTATAAGCCTCTTCATAGCTCTTGGTACATACTGACAAACTCTCTCCAAAAGGATGGTACCAATTTTTAAAATCTCACCAGTAATATATGCAGATACTGGTTTGATGTTATTGAGATTTAAATTCAGTTGTGTTGGCATGGTTATAGCTTAGATAGATAGATGATAGATAGATAGATAGATAGATAGATACATACATACATACATACATACATACATACATACATACATTCATTCATGTGTTTGTGTGTGTGTATGTGTGTGTTACTCCTCCTTAATGGACAAATGGTGATATGGATTGGCTGTGTCCCCACCCAAATCTCATCTTGAATTATAGTTCCCATAATCCCCACGTGTGATGGGAGAGACCCAGTGGGAGGTAATTGAATCATGGGGGTGGTTCCCCCATGCTAGTCTCGTGATAGTGAGTAAATTCTCATGAGATCTGATGGTTTTATAAGGGGCTTCCCCCTTTACTGGGTTCTCATTCTTCTGCTTCCTGCTGTCATGTGAAGAAGAATGTGTTTGCTTCCCCTTCTGCCATGATTGTAAGTTTCCTGAGGCCTCCCAAGTCCTGTGGAACTGAGTCAATTAAACCTCTTTCCTTTATAATTTACCCAGTTTTGGCCGTTCTCTATAGCACTGTGAGAATGGACTAATACAATGGGCACAGTATCAAATTGTACCCTGACTCAAATTACTGTAAACAATGCCAGTTGTTATCTCACATCACAGGAAGTTCGGAAATAGGACAGCTGTAGGTGTGATATGATCATAGGCCCAATGATGCGATTGGAGACTTGAGTTCTTTTCTTCAGTTTCTGCCATCATCACCACCCTCATGCTGGCCTCCTTTGGGCTTCAAATGCCTACAGTAGCTCCAGGCACCACATCCAGATGTAGAAACAACAGAGATAGAAGGAAATCAATTCTTCTTGTGTCTCCTTCTTAAGAGTGAGGAGATCCTTCCTAGAAGCTCCCAACTGAAACCCCTAAACCAAGACTGGCAAGGGAAATGGAAGCACCATTATCGACTGATTAACTAAGATTTACTCCCAATCTGGCAATGGAGTCAACTTCCTTTGAGTGCTGAATACCTGAATAAAATAGATTCTGTTAACAAGGAAGAAGGTGGGAATGGTTGTTGAGGCACCAACAGTGCCTCCCATAGGCATCATGATTTTTTTATGCCTCTGCCATACTCATAGAACCATATACATTTCTTTAGTAACAGTTGATGCATTTAATGGGCATATGCAAAAGTTGTTGGCATATCTACCAAGTACTGGGCTTTGTCCAATGTGGAAGGTCCTCCCAGGTAGTGATCATCCTCCACAATTCCTTTACATTTTCCTAAAAACCTATCTCAGTGTTGGGCCCTTCAGGTAGAAACCAGGAACACCTCGGTTTCTAGATTCCTTTGGCATATAGGTTTCCTATGGGAAAGAAATAGGAGAGCTGGCTTTCCTCTTTGAGAATCTTCTGTTTGGTGGAGATTTGACATCCAGGATACCATTGTTAGGACTTCCACTGAGATGAAAGTTTACAGCCTGATGAAACAAGTCTCACTTTCCACTTTGAATTACTCAGGCTCTGTGCATCTCTTTCCACTGCACAGCGTAGCATTTTGAACACTTCACTACTCATTAGCACCTCCAGTGAGAGATCAGAAAAGAAGGTGGCTGGGAGGGGAGGATTGAAGAATGCAGATTAGTCAAATTGTTTTTTGTTTTATCTAGTTAGAGAAACAGCTGAAATTACTGCCTCAAAAAAATTTGGAAAATTATCTGGCTTATAGTTTATTTCTATAGTTATTTTCCCACTAATTGTAAAAATTAGGAGTATTACATTTTAGAGTAAAATAATAAATAAACAATAACAAAAAATGGCTACAACAGAAGAAAACATGTTCCTGGATTGAAGAAACCAACCTAGAAATTATACTGTATGCCTCAGAAATTTAATACTATTTTGTCTTTCCTGTATGCAGTTGGATTATAGAGTACAGATATTGTCTCTTTATTAATGCATGATTTATAAATATTATTTGACACTAGGGATATCAAAGTGATTGTGGATCAAAGCTGCCCATCCCTTCACCCTGGTAGATGAGAACACAAAATATATCCATTTCCTATACACCATGAAGACATTGCTTCCAGTAGGTTTTCTTGCTGGAGACAAAAAGAAAAACAGAAGCACCTACTGTACTTGTGCACTTTCTGTTTTACAGTTTCATAAGGATTTTTACAACATAAGTACATGCTCTATGATATTACATACCTTTCCACCACTTATATAATCAAGTGCAATTATACTGACTGCTTGAATAGATGATGGGAAAAATGACTTGAATCAAAAATTACACAACAGAACGCTGTTTCAGAAAGGCTTTTGGAGTGTACGTGCCACAGACCCCAAAAAGAGATGGATCAAGATGATTATAATAGCCTTGAATTTTCCTAGGTTGGTTGAGTGTGGTGGCTCATGCCTGTAATCCCAGCACTTTGAAAGGCTGAGGCAGGCGGATTACTTGAGGTCAGGAGTTCGAGTCCAGCCTGGCCAACATGGCGAAACTTCATCTCTACTAACAATACAAAAATTAGCTGGGCATGGTGGCACATGCCTGTAATCCCAGCTACTTGGGAGGCTGAGCAGGAGAATCCCTTGAATCTGGGAGACAGAGGTTGCAGTGAGTCAAGATGGCACCACTGTACTCCAGCTTGGGCAACAGAGTGAGACTTTGTCTCAAAAAAAGAAAAAAAAAGAATTTTCCTAGGTTATGGCACCAAGAATAACTTGTACCATTTTGGAAGATTCATCTTTTTTCCCACATAACACAATGTAGCATGTAGTATATGTGACACATACCATAGCTACCTGTGCAGGAGCTTGGTGAGTTCTGGTTTTGTCTTTCTTCCCCTCAATTTCTATCCCTTCTTTTCTTTGTGCTTCTTCCACTCTCCTCTTTCTATTCTTCTACCATCCTCATCTTTTCATTTAGAGGCTTGGAGAAGAGCTTAAAACAATAGGTGATGGGGAGAAATGTAGTTTCTTCATGCAACATAATTTCCCCCTGCAGTAATCCATGGATCAACACATTTGAGGGCAGCTGGTTTAGAAGAGGCCCTTACAATTGTCTTAACTTACTCCTCAGAGGGTAGGCTGGGTGTATAGCCTACATGGCTATACATGGCCATGTAGGCCATGTAGGCCATTAGATTACATGGCCTTTACAAGGAATTTTTGGGTGGTTTTATTGTTTGTTTGTTTGTTTGTTTGTTTTTGAGACAGAGTCTCCCTCTGTCACCCAGGCAGGAGTGCAGTGTCGCAATCTCGGCTCACTGCAACCTCCGCCTCCTGGGTTCAAGCAATTCTCCTGCCTCAGCCTCCTGAGTAGCTGGGACTACAGGAGCACACTATCACACCCAGCCAATTTTTGTATTTTTAGTGGAGACAGGATTTCCCCATGTTGGTCAGGCTGGTCTCGAACTCCTGACCTCATGATCCGCCTGCCTTGGCCTCCCAAAGTGCCAAGATTACAGGTGTGAGCCACCGCGCCTGGCTTGGGTGGTGTGATTCTTATGTAGGAGAAAAAAGAGGAACATAAATGCAGAACACAATTATGCAAAATTAGGAGCCTTTAAAATGAAATATGATATTGTAGGTAGTTTCTTCAAAACAACATACTAGTTTTTTATACTTGTTTATTCATCACTGAAAACAAAACATATGGAAAAGGCAATTTTTCTCCCAGCCAACCCCTTTTCCTCGGATATTTTTTCAAGAAAAATTTTACAGCAGATGTTTTCAAATAGATTTCTATTTATTTGTGGGCTACCATTATATCAGTAGGATTTCTCTAGAACCTTTCCATCACTTCACCTGAGTTTTCTTTATCGGAAGAAAAAAACAAAAAAACAAAAAGAAATGTCTGATCACCTGCCCTAAGTCTACAGTTGAGAGCAGTTTTGGGGACTAGTAAGTCATGTTCTCTTAAGGACAGCGTCTCCTAGGTGAGCGGCTCGTAGTCCATATGGAGCAAATTAGACAGTGAAAGAATGGTGCTGCTACTGTTTCTGATTGGTTACGGTAGTATTAAAAAAGAACAACAACCGACTTGCCCAGCTCTGAAGAAGAAAGATGGATAAAATGCTCTTTGAACACACTAGTCTTTTTTTTTTAATGTCTGTACAGAAGGGTTGCATTTATATTTGGCTTTCCAGACCTGTCTCTTGACCTTCTAATTACTTTATTTGAAACAGCAGTGAGGGTATAATAAACCTGGAGGTTGTCTCTCCTTTGCTTTATCATAAATTAAAGCTGCTGGTTTGTTGAGGTGAAAGTGGAGGCTGAATGTTCATTACTGCTCAAGTGACGGCTTGTCAATAGCAGTGCTTTTTAGTTTGTTCTAGTCAGCACTTGCTGTGCATTTTGTTGGACCACTGGGAAATAAATACAACAAGATTATACATTTGGAATACCACAAGAGTTCACAAAAAAAACCACAAATGATAAATTATACACTTGGTAGAAAGTGACATGCTATCTTGTGCTATTAACAACCAAAGATAATTGCAACGAATTGTAATTGCAGTTTGCAACTTACAGTACAGTGTGTCCAACATCAATCTTAATAGTGAACAAAGCAATTTATATTAAAACTTAATTCACTTGGTAACTTTCCGCTGTATACACGGGAGCTAACAGATGTAGCTTTTCAGAAAGTTCAAAGGCATTTGAAACGTGGAGAGAAATGCTAATGCAGTAAGCCTTGGAGAAATATTGCATTACTACTTGTAATGAAAACAAATGTATGTCATTATCTCCTAGTTTGTGTTTATTTAATAAAATATGCAGTTTGCACATTGGTGAATTCAGTGTTTCTGAATGGATATGGAATAATGTTCTGTTCAGAATCAAAGGCCAAACAGGACTAGCAATTACGCATCTTCTGTAAATAGTCTGCTGTAGCATGCACCTTGATGCTTGAGTGGGTTTTGTATGAGGTGTAACAGCAAACCGGGGTAACTTTATTCATGACTTTCCTTAGATTGGATGTCTTTGAAGCAAGAAAGGGAGATCTCCTGGAATTACTTAAGAGAACAAGCATATTTGTTTTGTGAGCTTGACTGATGGCCGGTAGAGCAGTTGAGTGAAATCTCTAAACTGATTAGGGCTTTCGTTCAAATAATCTTCTACCGTTTTCATTAATTTATTCCTTAATGCTATTTTGCTGCTCTTCTACCAAGGATAATAATCTCACACTCGCTGACCTCCATGAGTGGATGACCTGGAGCTCATAACTAATCTTATTTACTCTTCTGACCAGCCCAACTTCATTTACCTTGACTGGATAAAGAGCCTTCCGTTGCTAAGCCTCCGTTCCTTCGTAGCATTCTCGTTAATCTACAGTGAAGGGGGAACGATGGGCTTTCCCAATCAAGATCCCAAAGCATGCTGGGGCACTGGGAACTTCGTGCGATTTCTCTTCCTTTCTTGAAAACATGTTTCCACTTTATTGTTCCCCCTTTTTGATTTGAAAATAATAGAGAAAAATGGGGGAGTGGGACTTCACCATGGTCCCACTCTCCTAATACAGCTATTTTTACCTTGAAAGTTAATTTCCAGCCATTGACCATAGGAATGTGTGGGTTAATTTAGGTATTGTTGTTGAGTACATGAAATTTTGTATCATGCTTTTTTATTTAATGCTACATTGTTTCCTGTGTTGCTTCATAATTTTATAATTATGCATTTTAAAGACTGATAATGCGTTGTTTATATACTATTTTGGGTTTAATTGTTCCCCAGTATTGAAGTTAGGTTACTTCTACTTAGTTATGCTATTAGGAATAATGCTGCAATAAAAATCTCTGTTTTCTTCAATTAGATGGTTTCTCTTGAATATAATATTACAAATGGAATTATTAAGTAAAAGGTATAAGTGTTTGTATGGCTTTTACTATACATTACCAAAAAAATGTCTAGGCTGTTTTTCTGTTTGTTTGTTTTTTGTTTTTTGAGACAGTCTCACTCTGTCACCAGGCTGGAGTGCAGAGGCACTATCTCGGCTCACTGCAACCTCTGCCTCCCAGGTTCAAGAGATTCTCCTGCCTCAACCTCCCAAGTAGCTGGGATTACAGGTGCACACCACCACGCCCAGCTAATTTTTTTTTTTGTATTTTTAGTAGAGACGGGGTCTCACCATATTGGCCAGGCTGGTCTCGAACTCCTGACCTTGTGATCTGCCTGCCTCAGCCTCCCAAAGTGCTGGGATTACAGGTGTGAGTCACCGCGCCCGGCCTTGGCTGGTTTTATGTTAGTTTGTATTGCCACCAGCGATAGAGAAGTATATAATTTTATCACAGTAGCTTTGAGAATTATCCTGACTCTTCCACTTACAAACTACATGGCATTGGGCAAATTACTTAACCATTCTCCCTCGGTTTTCCCATCTGAATAAAGGGAATAATAGCAATGCTTAACTCATAGGTTATTATAGGTATTATATTAGTTTATATATTTAAATATCAGGGAGTAGTGTCTGCCACAAAGGAAACACTCCATAAAGGTAAGCTGTTATTATTCCCAAAATTTAATTTTTCACCCAGTTTAATATTACCTTCTATTTAAGCTGCAGTTTTTAGAGTAAATGTTTTAATAGTCCATTGAAGCTAACTAGTCAATAGATTTTATAATCAGTAACTTCTGTATTTAATGAAAAATTTAAATCACTTAGGCAATAAGCCATTAAGAAGAACTTCTCAGTAAGAAATGTTCAGTCTGTAAGGTAGAGGCTTTTAGAAATTCCATCTCTTAATTTATAATAAAACAGCTTTTATTCCAGAATCATCTAAATGGGTCTTGAATCCTTAATGAAAGTCTGAAGGAGTTTAGTCTGGATCTCATACCTGCTCCTCCATTAGGGGAGGCCAGAGCCCCTTGATGACAGTCCCACTAAGACTGCACACTATAAGGGGAAGAAATTTCCCAGACGAAATTGGAGCACTGTTAATACTAGAAGATAGAGAAATGGAGGCTGGACAGCTAAAAATCACAAAGGTACACCAAACTTCTTAAAGACCTTATTACTACAGTATTCTCAACACTAGTGATTGGGAAAACAACTAAATGATTGTAGACACCTTGAAGTATTTGGGTCACCCAGTAACCACTGCCTATGACATTTATCCTAGAGATAAATGTTACTTATTTTTGGCCAGGTGTGGTGGCTCACACCTATAATCCCAGCACTTTGGGAGGCCAAGGGAGGAGGGTCACTTGAGGTCAGGAGTTCAAGACCAGCCTGGCCAACATGGTGAAATCTTGTCTCTACTGAAAACACAAAAATTAGCTAGGCTTGGTGACGCGTGCTTGTAATCTCAGCTACTTGGGAGGCTGAGGTGGGAGGATTACTTCAACTGGGAGGCAGGGGTTGCAGTGAGTGACCGTGCCACTGCATTCCAACCTGGGTGATAGAATGAGACTCCATCTCAAAAAAAAAGGTGGCTGGGCGCGGTGGCTCGCGCCTGTAATCCCAGCACTTTGGGAGGCCAAGACAGGCGGATCACCTGAGGTCAGAAGTTTGACACCAGCCTGGCCACCATGGTGAAACCCTGTCTCTACTAAAAATACAAAAATTATCCGGGCATGGGGGCGGGTGCCTGTAATCCCACCTACTCTGGAGGCTGAGGCAGGAGAATTGCTTGAACCCGGGAGATGGTGGTTGCAGTGAGCTGAGATCACGCCACTGCACTCAACCTGGGCAACAGAGCAAGGCTCTGGCTCAAAGAAAAAAAAATTACTTATTTTTATTAGTCAGCACAACATTGAGAACTCATATAATTAGGCATTTTGCTGGAGAAATGGCTCATGTTTGGCTGCAAATATCAAAGACCAGAAAAACGGTAACTTAAACAATATCAGGATTTATTTTCCTTCATCTGAAAGAAGTTCACAAAGAACAGGGTTATTCTGGTGGCTCCACAACATCACCAATGTTCATGGCCCCTTTGGTCTTGAGGTTCTGCTATACTTTGACTTGGCTTCTGGCTTCAGGTTTCCCTCACGGTCACAAAAGAACTGCTGTGGCTCCTAATGGCTCACCTACATTACAGGTAGGAAGAAGGAAGAAAGGGAGGGAAGGGTATAATGTGCCTGGCAGCTGAGCCAAACCCCAACCCCTTTTTAAGGAACTTCCCCAGAAGCCTTGCCCAACAATCTCTACCTAGACTCCATTACCTAAAACCTAATCACTTAGTTTCATCTATAGGTAAGGGAAAACTGAGAAGTGCTTTTCAGCTGGGTACATTGCTGCTCTCAACAAAATCAGGCCTGTGTGAGAGAGTAGAAAGGGAAGAATGGATGTTAGGAAGGCAACCTGCAGTTTCTGGCACAACTCCCTTGTGTGAAGGAGACAGTCTTCAGCTCTGTGAACTCTCCTGGCAGCCCTTGATGTTGGCCAGTATTATAGACGAGAAGCCAGGAGAGTCATAATGAAGCACTTCCTGGGGCAGAGAAAAAAGTAAGTGGAGTGAATGATGAAAACTTTAGGTCATTAAATAAAGTTCCAACATTTTCTTCTTGCCCAAAACATTCACAACAAACTCTGTGGAGTAGGAATTGAAGGAAAATGTGCCATGCCATTTTTCTTTAGCCTTTTTGCAATGCAACGCACAATCAATACAAATCTTTGCAGTAATCATATATTGATTTTCCTAGAATATAACTCCATTTAAAGCACTTTTATCCCCAAGAGTAGAAACATTGGAGGCTATCAAAGGAGGAAGTAGATTTCCTTGACCCCATCTGCAGTGCACAATTGATTAACAGGATAGTTATGAGAGTGTGAGAGAGAGACAGAGAGAGAGAAGAGAGAAGTCACCGAAAGGTTAATACCAGCTAAAGAGAAACATGATTATAGGACATTAGGCTTTTTGTAAAATCATAAGGTCAGGATAAGATAATGATACCATCTAAAATTACACAAGATTTTGAGTACTTAGTATCCTCTGACTGCCCCAGCAACCCAACCCAAACCCCAACAAGCATAGCTGAATTTTTGGGGTTGGCAAAGCCATGAATGGAATGATAGGTTTAGGTTCAGGCCCCATGAGCTGGCTTGATAAGGGAATGAGTAATACTGATTCGATTTATCCTGAGTCATAGCTGTGTACTAAACTAAAACTTTAGCATACATCACATCGAATGTTTCTTTGCTTCAGACAAAGCGAAAAGAAAAAAGGACATTAGGAACCCTCATTTTTATTCCTTTTCTTAGGAAAGTTAAACACTTCCTTTCTTCTACTTTCCCTCTTCCCTATCACTTTACTCCCTAAAGATTTAAAAAAAAAAATCTGCTTTCTGAAAATCCCATGAGTTTAGGTCTGCTGGGTATTTCTATGCACAGATGTCTTCATCCCAGAGACAAGAAGAGTAATTGGATGGTAAGTTGCAAAAAGCATGCAAGTTCTGCTCTGCCTCTGGCCTGAGTAACTGGGATGTAGCCAAAATGGAGAATGGTACCCCCTGAAGCAATCGTGAGTTAATGTCTCTTACATACTCCTTGCTGAAAAGGCAGAGAGTGTACTCTTGTTTATAGTGTATTGTTCTCACTGTATTTCTCTCCCTAAGTCCCTCTTGTTTTTTTGTATCAAGACTGAGTTCTCACAAACAAGCTCTTTATTAAATTAAATGGTTCATGTAGCCTCATTATCCTTCTCAATGTGCAATACTTGATAGTTTATTTTACTAGCAACTTCTGGAGTTTGTGTTTTTTTTTGTTTTGGGGGGCTTTTTTTAAATTTTGGCTTCGGGCAAAGCAACTAGTACACATTGTTAGATAAAGTATCTTATCTGTCAGCAGCACCCTTGTGAATTAATCATAATTCAATAGGATTACTAATCAAGATTTGAGATGAATGTTTTGATAGAGCTATCAGATTTGTCTAATCTGTCATTAGTTGACAGTCGCTGCAGGCAGAGTGAAAACTTGGCAATAGTAGACCTGTTTCTGATCCCTTTGGCTTGGCCCACCAGTTGGGTAGCTTCACTGATTATAGCAGTGGACCCAGGCATTGCAACTAATTAAGTTCTGTTTCTCACTCTCCAGGATCCTCCCTCCTCCTCTCACCGTTTTCAGAATATGTTGGGTGGAGTTCAGCTCTCATGAACCTGCCCATGTAATGAACAGATTTGGTAACAAGGTGTTCCTTTTGGTCATTTTCACTTGATAACAAAGATGTGCCAAGCCAAGTGACAAATCTCAAGGGTGATATGGTGTCACTTGCAAAAAGTGGTCAAAGAAAAAAGAGAAACTTAATCTGTTGTTAAACGATACTACCGATTACAACTCTTTCCATGTCACTAAAATCTGTGTCCCATTTTACCAAGTTGTACATTCTTGGAAGTAATTTATAGCATATCTTGCACATTTATTCAGTTTGATTAGATAAATGAAAGCTAGTGATGTAGATTGGTATTTTATTGTATACACTATATACAGTATTTAAAATTATATTAAATTTTGAAATAATAATAAATTATACTCTGCATATTATGTAGTACTCATTAATACAAAGATGGGATCATTTTATAGAGGAGTCCTTTACCAATTTTTCTTCCTCTCTCTACATTGTTATTAGTATAAAGATATTTCTTCATTATAGAAAACTTGGAAAATTCTAGAAAAGTCTAAAAAATTTTAATTTATCATAATCTTGTCATCTCAGAATGATCAATATTAACATTGTATCATCCTATTAAAATTAAATAACAGCACAAATACCTTAATTAGTAATTGCTTGACAGTATTGTCAATAAAATATGATTCTACCTGGCATGGTGTCCTGGAATCTGTAGGCAACACAAAGGAATCCAGAAAGATCGTACTTTCTCTCAAGGCTTCACTTTCTACATGAAAACCATATGGGAAAACTCATTTAGGCTGTTAGTGTATCCCATATGTTAGAAGTGACAACTTTTTAATTTCACAAGCATGTCACAGGCCTCACTAAATGAATGCTAGCCACACTGAGAGATTTGTAGCTTGGATGATTTAGACAAGGGATAGTTGAGAGTTACCTAATTAGACTCCAGGTGTAATTATGTAAGGCGTTCCAGGCAGCAGTGTGCTGTGTGTTAATTAACTTTCATGCTGAACATGCAGTAGCCCCTGAACAAAGAACAGTTCATGGAGGAAGAAAAGCTTCCTTACTTTGCCCTAGCTTTAGTTATTCTCCTACTAAAGTTAACCTCTCACACTCCCCCTTTTTTCTAGTTGAGAGATGGGCCATAAACACAAGCCACTTTGCAAAGTGTTCATTAGTCCCTGTAACTCTCTTCCTACCGTCTTCCATTTCCTTAAAACATTCTTTGGAAAGATCTTTTAAAAAATAAGAGGTGTATGTATTTATTTATGTACAACTCTGTTACTGGTTTTAAAAATCCAAGTGACTTCTAATCCTGATTTTTTTGCTGCCCATTAAACTCCACAAGTATCTTTCTGTGGTGACGGGGAGAATGATATTTACTGAACTACAAGATTAGCTAATATCCCATCAATAACTGAGTGCCACAGACTTCCTCAGTTCATCCCATTCCTGTCTCTAGGTAGCAACAGTGAGAAAAGCACTTATTAAAGAATATTTTTTCTTCTACTAAATTAGTCCATGACTTCATTTGTGCTGGTCTCTGTTTGTCAACTGCTGCCAAAAATTTTTAACTCATGCAGTAAAGTAAGCTTCGTAAATCTATATAATTCAACTCAACACTTGCATGAGAAAATATTTCAGGTAACCAGTTAAGCCCTGTGTATGGATGGTAACTGATTGATTGTCCAGTCCTCTCCCAGTTCTCAAGTGAGAAAATCCCATTTCGAGGTTCTCTCTTCCTCCTAATCCTGTCACCTTGACATCTGCAGGCTTTAGTTTTCTACTAATAACGTCTAGAATGACACACAGGACCACCTTGTTCATATGGAAGATAAATAATAGTTCTAGAATTCTGTCTACAATAGCATGAAATTAACGTAGATTAAGGATTTGCCTGAAACGTTAAGAACAGATAGGATTCAACATTTTTTTCTTCTAGTACCTCTTACCAATTATGAGAAAGAAACTACTTACTAAAACAGTCTTGATTTTTATTGTCTGTTGGAAGAAAGGTAAAATAAGGACTTCGTTGTATAAAAAGCATTATCTGGCAGCCCTTATAGCTATATGGGAAATGCCTCAAAGAGATGCATCCTAGTGAAGATGAGGAACATTTGGACAATTTGAGTGTTCTCTTTCAGTTGGATAATTTTCAGTTGGATATCTAGCAAAACTTAGTCCTCATTTTTTTTTGTTTGTTTTTCCTCTGATATGCAATGTAGACTACATCAGGCCTTTATAGTCAAAACCAGACCAACCAGTTTTGACCAAGCACTTCCTCTCTTCAAGGCTATGTTTAGTGCATCAGGAATCGAAAGACATCTAAGACATAAACCCTATCCCCAGAGAGTATACTATCTGTTAGGGAAGATTAGACATTAAAAACATGAAAAGTAAAACTCTAATAAAGGATTTAAAGAACAGTTCAAGATAACAGTAGGAAAGATATGCCACATGACAATACATGATTGTCAAATGCATTTACAGATTCCCTTTAGAACAAAAACTGTTCTTGAATCCTTCTAATAGAAGGGGTTCGTAGAGACCATTATGAAGCCTTAAAATATTAAGAAACTGAAGTATTATTCCATAAGAATGCCTTTCAATTTAGAAATTTCAATGCAAAGGAGAAATCTGGTTTATGTAACTGGTAAAGTCATTATTTTAGGTTATCACTGAATTGAAAGTGTAAAATGTGAAAATTCTTATATAACCAGTAGATCTCTGAGAAAGTGCCAGTGGACAACCCCACAGAGCCAGGAGAGGTAATCAAATCATTTCTTTTAGCAAGTTCCAAATATGATGAGGTTGTTTTAAGCTACATACATAAGATCTTAGGGAAAAAATGGATTTTTTAGTTGTCTAAATGACACTGCAATTTGTTACAGCCCAACGGATACTTCTTGCTTGCTGCACAGAAAAGCCAATGCACTGAAACAGTGGTGTTGCGGCAGAAAAACAGTTTAATAATCTCAGGACCAGCTAAGTGAGGAGATGGGAGATATTTCTCATATTTGCCTTCCCAAGAATTTGGAAGCTAGGGTTATTAAGGAAATTTGGTGGGCTTGGGGCTAGGGAATGGATACTGCTGATTGGGTGGAGATGAAATAGCACGGGCGTCAAAACTGTCTTTGTGCCTGAGTCAGTTTCTGGGTGGGGCTTACAGAGCTGGTGAGTCAGTTCCTTGGTGTGGGTCACAGATCTGGGTGGCATCGTTGGCTCATCAGAATGCAAAGTCTGAAAAATACCTCAAACACCAGTCTTAGGTTTTATGATACTGATGTTTTCTATGAAGCAATGGGAGAAGTTACAAATCTGTGACCATGAGCTATGTGACTCCTAAGCTGTAAGCAATTATAGAAAAGCAAAGCAAAGCAAAGCAAGTTATGAAACAATAACTGGTTATGATTTAACTATGCCCATACCTTAGCAAACCTTAAGTCCTTATCACAATTCTAACCTTGTGGGCTTTTACTAATTTTTTTAAGGTGGTTTTATAAGACATGGGCAGACAGATGGAAAGAGGTCATTCCAGTTAGGTAGAATTCCATATGAGAGTGGGAATAAGGTAGTGTACAGTAGGTTTAGTGTGTTAAGCTATCTGGCTGAAACAGAAAATTCAGGAAACTTAGACCAATATATGGGAGGCATCAAAAGATGGCTCCATTCTGGGAAGCCTTCAAAGGTTTCCGAGGCTAACAGTGACATGATGCTGGTGATATTACAGGCAGATTAGTCTAGTGGGCAGTGTCTACAATGGATTTGAGTTGTTCTTGCTTGAGGCAAAGGGATGTACCTAGAGAAAAGCATTGTTCCTGAAATGAGGTGATGTAAGCATGCATCTGACAGAGCAGTTATAATAGAAAAGACGTGAATTTCAGAGGACTTCTAAGTTGACAGAACTTTGTAATCAATTGGTTTGGAGGATGAAGAAGAGGAACGAGCCAAGAGTGATTCTCTGATATCAAACCCAGAAACAAGTGGACATTTGGAGGCTCCAAAACCAATTTGAGTATGGGAAGAGGTTTTAAAGATACAGCCATGTAAATTAGCTATTGGGAAGACCTAAAGTGCACAACATTCTTCTGGCTGTGAAAATTATGAAATTATTCCCCAAAGGACTACTTAGATCATTATGTCTGCTCAGTCATCTGAAATATATTGATATCCAAAGTACACATCCAGTAATTAAAAGGAAAAAGAATCCAAACAGTTTGTTGATTTTGATATTTTGTTATGGGTTAGTAATTGCCTTGACTATCTTCTTGCAGAGCTTGTAGTTAAAGGCTTGCTTATTTCTTCATCAAGTAACAGCTGAATTTCTTCTTTCTTCCTATTGATATAGTTTAGATACTTGTCCCCCTAAATCTCATGCTGAAGTATGGTCCCCATTGTTGGAGGTAGGGTTTGGTGGGAGGTGTTTGGGTCCTGGGGATGGATCCCTCATGGCTTGGTGCTGTCCATGATCTCATGGACAGTGAGTGGGGTCTCACAAAATCTGGTTGTTTAAAAGTGTGGCATCTCCCTCCCCTCCACTCGATCTCTCTTGTGCCTGCTCTGGCCATGTGACATAACCGCTCCTGCTTCACCTTCTGCCATGAGCAAAAGCTCTCTGAGGCCTCCCCAGAAGCCAAGCATATTCCAGTATCAAGCCTCCTGTCCAGCCTGCAGAACCATGAGTCAATTAAACCTCTTTTCTTTATAAATTACCCAGTCTCAAGTATTCCTTTATAGCAATGCAAGAATGTTCTCACACACCTATTTAGGTTAAAAGGTTTTCTTATCATCTTGGTTTTCAGAAATGGACAAATTGCCAAGGGCCTGTCAATTCTGGACTGACATTTTTTCACCTGCTTGAAGAGATACTGTTTTCTCTTAAGAACTAGTGATTTTCTTCAGTTGTGTGACTGACTTACATAATACTAGCAGAATTGGCCACTTAGTGTCCAACAGAGAAATGAAGTTGAGACTGTGGGGCTGGGAAGTCTCTGGGGCAATAGCTTCAGGTTTGAAAAGTGAGGAGAAATGAAGCAAAAAAATAAAAACACTGTACCTTTTGTCAAACCCTTTGCTTAGATCAAGGAATCTAGATTTGGCCAAAAGGTTGAATTTAATGCATACAGTTGTGTGGTATAAATTTGTCTTTGTAAAGGTCAGACTTGTCCAGACACAGTGGTTCATGCCTGTAATCTCAGCACTTTGGGAGGCTGACACAGGAGGACCCTTGAGGCCAGAAGTTCAAGACCAGCCTGGGCAATATAACGAGACCCTGCCTCTACAAAAAAGAGACAACTTAACAGGGTGTGGTGGTTCATGCCTGTAATACCAGCTATATGGGAGGCTGAGGTAGGAGTATTGCTTAAGCCCAAAAGTTCAAGGCTGCAGGGAACTATGATCATGCCATGTACTCCAGGCTGGGCCACCGAGCAAGACCCAGTCTCTTAAAATAAATAAATAAAGCTCAGATTCATCCCATTCCAGGGAATAGGGAAAGTTCCACATTGATCAGAACTGAGTCCTGTAAGCTCCAAACAATATGACTCGCCTTTAAAGTCCTTCTGACGATACCTTTCCAAGTGTCTGACTTATGATGTGTTCCTTGTTGTATAGACTTGTACGTACCTGGGCTATGTAAGTATCACTTCTGAGGGTACAGGTAGGAGGGTTGCTGCGAGGGCCCACTGTCACTTCGGGAAAGTGTAGCAGTACTTGCCAAATTTAAAAGCCATTGAAACAACTGAAAATAAAAATTAAAGGTGGTTATTTCCCCCATTACTGAAAGGTATATGTGAAATCTTGCATTTACTTTTTTTTAAATAGACTTTAAACATTGATTTTCCTTTCTCTGGGAAGGCAGATGTTTGTGTAACCAGGAAAGAAAGCTGCTCTCAACAGCAGTTTTCTAATAAAAGGCCTACTTGCTTTTCCATTTTAAAACCAGTGTTTAAGAGCTTTATGATTCTAAAATGAAAAGAATTCCCTTGCTATACAAGGAAAAGGAAGAGTGATGGAATATTTTTGCAAGAAAAACGTACCTTAATTTGCCACCTTACAAGTAGCCTGTTGGCATGAGTACATTGGAATGAGGAAGCTTTTATTAGGAAATAATCATTTCCAGTTCTGTTATAGTCATTATCCCAAAAGTTTCCCAAATTCTGTGTACAGTAGTGTGTCCTGGAACCTGTTTAGTCACACGTGGGGAATGAACTGAGCTTTTGAGACCAATAGGATGGTGTGAACATAAGACCAGGTAATAGAGCTGTTCTCCTAGTAGTTTTAGGGTCTTAAAAGGGGTCATTAATGCTTTCAAGTCACAAAACAATCTTTAAAGTTCTGGAACTATACTTTCCTACAATCATATTTCACATTTGCACATAAGTTAGCTTGAATGAATGTTTAATAAAAAGCTGGCTACATTCACAATGTTGCGCAAAAATAAAATAAAAAATTAAAGCTGGTCTCTGTAACTACTTATATGAGGTTCTCAGCCCCCACTGACAGTGTGTGTTTTAGGGAAGGAAGCACATTGAGTCACTAGCAAAACATAATTGGGAAAGTGCATCCCTTCCAAACTAATGATGTATGGTCACTACTCTAAATAAATAGGGGTTGGGATTATCCATTTTGATAACCTGTTTTGTGTGCTGTAACTGTTCAGTTTAGAAAATACAGAGTTGATTCCAAATTTTTCCTGCTGGTTTGAAAGAATTCATACATCTTTCAAAGTGTGACTGATATTCAGCAAGGAAGTGCCTTACTAGTTGAACAGGATCTGATTTGTCATTCTTGTTTTTGCTGTAAAGCAAAATCTACTTTTAGTTAAATCAGTAATTTACAGGTATATAAACTAAAGCATCAAGAAAACAGCAAAGAAGTTTTTTCCAAGATCATTCACATCCAGAAATGAAATGAAACCCCTACGAGGCTCCTTCTTCATTTTGATGGGGCCATTGTGGTTCTGGCCCCTCAGTTTGGTTGAGGGCAACATGCGGAGTATCTCAGCTGAACACAGATCCTTCATTTGATGTCCTGTCTAAACGTGACTTCACAAAGATCTTTTAGTCAGACACTGGATAGCAGAACTCCTCCCCTGGGAGAAAAGGTCTTTAAGGTATTTTGAGGGGAGGAGAAGGGTTAAGAGGTCTAATCCATAACTCTAAATCCCCATGCTTGGAGGAACTCATTGACATTGTCGGTTTTAAGGGCTCCTTTGGAGCCATTATGGTGTGTCACGCTGAGACCCACTGGAGAACACTTAATTGTAGATCATTGTCCCAGTGTGTTTCAAGGCCTTTTCAGGGTTTTGACAAAGCAGCCTCCTCCGCCACTTACGGGAAACCTTGGGAAAGTTTCGATACTGACAAACCCAAGAATATTCTTCAGGTTTGTGCTTTTAAATTAAATAACTAGAATTATCAGAGGTTTTTCTGTCTTCCTTTCACCCGCTTCCTCTTGAAATGAAACCTCAACTGGACATAGACCCCCTGGCTGCTGGATATGTGTTGGCTACATTTCTTTCCTTTTCTAATTTCTTTGGTTTTGAGGTCGGGATTTTGTTTTTGTTGGTGGCAGAGGTGGTATAATGAGCAAACACAGTTATCACATGCAGAGCCTGTAAGCTTTGATTTCAAAATGTAATCGAAATCACATCATTTCATGTGGAACCAATTTCTCCTTGCCTCCTTCCCCTGAGGAGTGAAGGAAATATCTCTGGTATATCGTTAAATACCTGATAGATTAGACCTTCAGATAGGTTGGTGGATTAAGGCAAAGCACAAAAAAAGCTCATGTTTTCAACTGTCTATCCTATTTTAAGGTTCCTATTGGCCCTCAGTATTCTGAATTTACCACATTAGTCCTAATCTAATATTTAGCCCCATAATGTTTTAAACATTTTGACCAGACTCAGTTCCCAGCTTCCATGTTGCCTATCTCTGTTAACATCTCTGCATGCATACGAGGGTGTTCATTACGGCTGGATTGAGGGAAAACCACCAAAAAACCAATTCCCATTTCTTGGGCCTGGGAATCCGGGGCCCTAACAGTGAGCTCAGAATGAATTGAGAGAATCCCTCTGGGTCATAAAGATAGACTGCAGGGTCAAAACTCAAAACCTTGAGGTTCTTTTTGCTTAAAATTCCAAACTCAATCAAAAATGAGTTCATTTCTAAAAATGCTGCAATGCCTTCTCATGGTTTTTCCACACTGTAAAACAGAAGTTAAACTCTAGGGTCAGAAATAGTTAACAAAGAGAGCCTTTGTGCTAAGCAGGAGTCTGTGGATTGAGTTCTGGCTCAGCCAGTATATTTCTGTGTCATTTGGCTTTTTATAAGCTCATTGCCTCAGTTTCTCTTCCATAAATGGAGGCAATAATATTATTGCATTTCTATCTTCTAAAATTACCAAGAGGTATAGATGTGTAGTAATACAGAGGACACTTATGAAGACTGTTAACTGTGAGTCCTTTTTGCTATGTGAGATATACCAGTAAAATAAGGGACATGATTGTTTTGGTAGGCCTCTGTACGGATACAGGATAGCTCATTGAACCCGATCTCAGGAATTATAGATTAGAAAGTTGTCAGTCTTTGATTTCTGCATCTCCCCGTGTGTCCACTTGCTCCCCTCTTTCAGCAAACCAACTGCCACTGTATCTTTGGGCCACGTGACCAAAAAGATGGTTACCAATGGGTTTTGAGTTTTCATGTCTCAGGTCCAACAACCTGGGTAGAGACAGAATCTCTTTAGGATCTCAATTCCAGATTCCCAGGGAGAGAATTCTGATTGTTTCACCCACTTCTGGAACTAACAGCTGTGGCTAGGGAGTTCAGGCCACCCCGAGCGAGCATGGCTGCCTGGAACCTGCTACTTAAATCATATGCATATTGGGGAGGTCAGTTCCCAAAAATGGAGAATGTGGCACACATCCAATGTATTTCCACTGGACCACTCCTTTAAAGAGTAAGTTGAAGTACCCAGAGTTCTTTGTATTCCTCAGAAGAAAGTTGCTTTAAGGAATAAACATAAAACTTTAAAGCAGGAAGGGATTTAAAGTTCACCCAACTCTACCCTCCTTGTCACGTTGATGAAACTAAGGCAAATGAAAGAGATTAGTTTTCCAGAGGTCCTAAAGCTACTTAATAGCATCCAGTGCTCATGCTTTTAGTTAAGAGCATCTAGTGTATCTTTTATTCAGTTTTCTTCTGCCATCTCACAGTTGTGCGTATTTCAGATGTCATTTTTTCCTATTGCCTAGACGTGTTTCAATTATAAGAGATTTATATTTATAGTCTCTCATTTAATAGGTGGTTTAAATTTTATAGACTCTTCTACTTTAGAAAAACATAGATAGTATTTACAAAGACAACATAGAAACATGGAGAAATGCATATGATATACCATTACATGGAAAAAGCAAATGAATGCTTATATATAGTCATTATGTTAAAAAATATGTAAAAATTACGTATGCATATATCAACTAGGCTTGTTAGAATAGTAGTATTACGTGTAACTTTAAATTTTCCTTAACACCATCATTAAATTATTTTAGCAGTTAATTTTAGAAAACATATTTAATACAAATACACCCTACACTACTTCTCATCTTAGAGCTACCTGAACCTGTATACCTAATGTTCTTGTGCAGGAAGGTGAACTTTCTCTAATGTAAGCCATATATATTTTGGGCACAGCTGGAACCTTTATTCCGGCAGTGAACACATTGAAAATGGAGTCCTCATAGCTGTGGCTAAAGCTGCATTAAATTATGATCTTAGTAGAGACTTGGCCCCAGACAGGATGACCCACTAGAGGCAATAATCAGAGGATAAGATGTTTTCAAGCATGAGTAGAGTCAGACTCTAGGAGCTGGGAAGAACCTTACCTCCTGTAACCTGACCCTTGTGGGCTTCAGAACTGGCAGTGGAAGCATAGAACGTTTCCAGTGTTTAGAGGTGGAACTTGGCTAAAGTACAGAGAGAGGACTCTCAGTGAAGTTCCTTCTGCTGCCATAGCAGCTGCATTGTGATTATGCCCAACCTGGAAAGTGCCTCCCCCACCTTCCCAGGAGCCTCACTGTCTACCTCTGATGGCCAAAGCTGGGGAGAAAATCAGTGTCTCAGATACCATCTGCTATGGTTTGGATGTGTGTCCCCTCCAAATTGCATGTTGAAATGTGACCCCCATTGTTGGAGGGAGGCCTAGTGGAGGCTGTTTGGGTCATCTGGGTGGATCCCTCATGAATGGCTTCACACTGTCCTTGCAGTAATGAGTGAGTTCTCACTCTATTAGTTCATGAGAGAGCTTGTTGTTTAAAGAGCCTGGCACCTCTCCCCTCTCTCTCTTGTTCCCTCTTTCGCCATGGGACATGCCTGTACCCTCTTCGCCTTCTGCCATAAGTAAAAGCTTCCTGCGGCCTCATCAGAAGCCAAGTAGATGCTGGTGCCATGTTTGTACAGCCTGTAGAACCATAAGCCAAATTAACCTCTTTTCTTTGTAAACTATCCAGTCTCAGGTATTCCTTTATAACAACACAAAATAAACTAATACATCATCTGACTTTGAATCTGCCCTCATGTAAATACATCTGTTCACATGTAAAGCAAGACAGGGACACAAGAGCAGCCAGCAGGGCTTGTAGGGGCAGGAGCAACCCGAGAGGTGGGCGGCCTCCTGTTAACACTGCTTTCTTTTTCTCCTTGAAAAAGGCAAACTGGGTTTTCAAGGAGAATGAGAATTTCAGGGAAGGGATCAGAGAGAGTGGGCACTACATGTGCCACATCTGTCAGATGTCTTCAAACCATTAACTCCCAGACCCCAGGAAGCTGCTGCTCTTTCTAGCATTTTCTAGAGCATCTAGCAGAGCACTAAGTGGTAGTGGCTTAATGATATAATGTTTTGTGAACTTTGATGAGGAGGGAGATTTTCTCAAGAGCAACTTCAGAGGTGCCTATACTTCTCTGTTTCAGAGTGGATATAGAGGGGTGGAAGAAGGAGGCCAAGATACTTTGCTTTCTGCAAGAAGCTATAGAGATCAAGAAGGAAACATAGGGATGGAGGTAGGATTTCTACCTATGAAGAGTTATCAAGCATTTAAGTCCTATAGGGCCCATGTGGCCCATTCATTCATTGACCAGTTTATTCATCCACTGATGTTTTTCATTCAACAGACTACTACTAAGCATCTTCGACTATGCTAAGTCCTGAGCAGACAGTGAAGAACTAGAAAGACATGGCCCCGCCCTCATGAAGATTACAAGTTAGGCCTATTCTCCACACTTGTTCTAACTCAATCTGCTACATATACCTTGAGTACCCAGTATGCGTTAGGTACTAAAAGGAGCTACAAAGATGAACCAGACACAGTCTTCAAGAACTTCAGGGATCAGGGAAGGTTTATCCTGATTGTAATCCCTCCAGAGGTTTTGATCATTTCTCTAATCACTTATTAGGCCTCTTGCTTCCTGTAGGAATTTGTTCTCTATATTAGATTGAAATCTGCCTGTTCTAATTTCAACTTCCTTTCTTCTGGCCCTGGCTAGTCCTCAGTGTACAGAATTGCCATTGGTACCTGCTGGTCAAGGCCAAGTGTTGTGAGCCAAGGTTTCTAACCTTGGCTGCAGTTACACTTAACTGCTCCTCTCCGAAGCTGGATTTAGCAGAGATTTGATGGAAGCCCTGCAAACCTCGATTCAAATCAAAGTTCAAACCTAGTGACTGGTTGAGTGAACTGCTTTAATAATAACAGTGCAAAAATTGAATTTAAAATAATCCTTTTAGGGATGCAAGATGCAGTGGTTTAGCCTTTTATTAATATTCTTTTCTTTCCACTAATAAAGATTTTAAGTCAACATCTCCTTAAATTTGATTAATTCCATTAGGATCACTCCAAAAAAAGGTTTATCAGTGGCTTTGAAATCCAAATGGGATGAAGAAAAAATCATTTATATGGCAAAATCTCAGTTACACTAACTAGATTAAAGACCTTCTGCTGAATTAAAGAAAAAATCAACACACAGATTATTTGAAACAAATGTAAATATGCAACTTTTAAGCACATAGAGAAATCTACCCTAAAGTTGATGTTTTTTCAAGTTCTCTTGGAGCTTACATTCCAGTGGGAGAAACCCGTGTTAAACAAATACATAGAAGACAATTTCAGATTGTGAGCTAGGAAATCAGGGTAGAGGAATGGGTAATATTAGAGAGATCAGGGAGGCTTCTCTGAGAGGTGACATTTGAGCTGAGATCTGAAAGACCAAGCCACAGTCACATGAAGACATGGAGTTAGCGTTACATGCAAAGCAAACGGTTAAGTGCAAAGTCCCTGAGGCTGGAATGGGCTTAATGTCGTGGAGAAACAGGAAGAGAGTGGAGGAGTGATGCGAGATGAGAATAGTCAGAGAGGAAGGTAGGGCCATAGGAAGAAGTTTTGATTTTTATTCCAAGCACAGAGAATACTTTAGAAAGCTAAACACTGACTTTTAAAAGCCATCAACAAAGGAAAAATATGCCTAAGGTGTGTGTTTTATATGGGACCGAAGAAGAAAATACCGAGGCTTCTCCCCATTTTATTCTTCCACATTGAGTGTACAGCTATTAGTAAAATGAAATATTATTTGCAAAAATGCTTTGAAAATGTTAAAGCACTATTCTCCTTAAATTTAAGAATATTGTCCTGGAAAGATTTAAAATGACTAAGGGTACTATTACTTTATCACAGAAGAATCATGCTGTGTTAGTCCATTCTCACAATGCTGTAAAGATGCTATCTGAGACTGAGTAATTTACAAAGGAAAGAGGTTTAACTGAGTCACAGTTCCTCATGGTGGGGACGCCTCAGGAAACTTACATCATGGTGGAAGGCGAAGGGAAAGCAAGACGGCAGGAGAGGGAGCACAGGGGGAAACCACCACTTTTAAACCATCAGATCTCGTGAGAACTCCCTCATTATCACGAGAACAGCATGGGGGAAACCGCCTCCATGATCCAATCACCTCCCACCACTCCCCTCCCTTGACACCTGGGGATTACAATTCCAGATGAGATTTGGGTGGAGACACAGAGCCAAACCATATCACATGTTAAACTTTAAGCAAACTCTCCCTAGTAGACCCACCTAGCGATTCAAAGAAATACATGGCTATGAGGATTCCGTTGCCATTTTCCTTATCTCATATAGGTCTAAGGAAGGAAGATTTCCACTGTTTAGACCGGAAGACCCTGAGGACAGTATCCTTTCTGGCTGCCCTGCTGTCATATGAGTCCATAGGGGGCAAAGGTGAGGCTTTCCTGGGCTTGTGATTCCCAGGATGTCTCCACTTCTAGGGCCACATTAGCTAAATGGTAATTATGAAAATATCCAGGGCAAGAAGCTAATAAATAAGAACTGACAGGCATTGCATAGTAAAGAATTGTTGTGCACGCTGGCTCTTCTGCAAGACACACGATGGAGGTTGAGAGTGTCTAACAATCCTCCTGAAACGTGCTGCCCGATGTGCTGATGATACAAAAGGAAACCTGCTCGAATAGAAGAGCACGGGAGAAGATTTATGTCCTGCGGATGGCTGTTCCTATTGTCGTGGATCCCTGGGATGTTTCTGAGAGCTTTCTTGTGACCTTCGGTTTCTAAATGTAGAACCTGGCTGTGATCTCTGGGAAAGAGAAAGGAATATGTCCTAGGTTTGTCCAATGGTATCAGGAATAAAGAAGCTAAGATTTGGAGGAGCCAAGATGGCCGAATAGGAACAGCTCCGGTCTACAGCTCCCAGCGTGAGTGACGCAGAAGACGGGTGATTTCTGCATTTCCATCTGAGGTACCGGGTTCATCTCACTAGGGAGTGCCAGACAGTGGGCGCAGGCCAGTGTGTGTGCGCACCGTGCGCGAGCCGAAGCAGGGCGAGGCATTGCCTTACCTGGGAAGCGCAAGGGGTCAGGGAGTTCCCTTTCCGAGTCAAAGAAAGGGGTGACGGACGCACCTGGAAAATCGGGTCACTCCCACCCGAATATTGCGCTTTTCAGACCGGCTTAAGAAACGGCGCACCACGAGACTATATCCCACACCTGGCTCAGAGGGTCCTACGCCCACGGAATCTCGCTGATTGCTAGCACAGCAGTCTGAGATCAAACTGCAAGGCGGCAACGAGGCTGGGGGAGGGGCGCCCGCCATTGCCCAGGCTTGCTTAGGTAAACAAAGCAGCCAGGAAGCTTGAACTGGGTGGAGCCCACCACAGCTCAAGGAGGCCTGCCTGCCTCTGTAGGCTCCACCTCTGGGGGCAGGGCACAGACAAACAAAAAGACAGCAGTAACCTCTGCAGACTTAAGTGTCCCTGTCTGACAGCTTTGAAGAGAGCAGTGGTTCTCCCAGCACGCAGCTGGAGATCTGAGAACGGGCAGACTGCCTCCTCAAGTGGGTCCCTGACCCCTGACCCCCGAGCAGCCTAACTGGGAGGCACCCCCCAGCAGGGGCACACTGACACCTCACATGGCAGGGTATTCCAACAGACCTGCAGCTGAGGGTCCTGTCTGTTACAAGGAAAACTAACAACCAGAAAGGACATCTACACCGAAAACCCATCTGTACATCACCATCATCAAAGACCAAAAGTAGATAAAACCACAAAGATGGGGAAAAAACAGAACAGAAAAACTGGAAACTCTAAAATGCAGAGCGCCTCTCCTCCTCCAAAGGAACGCAGTTCCTCACCAGCAACAGAACAAAGCTGGATGGAGAATGATTTTGAAGAGCTGAGAGAAGAAGGCTTCAGACGATCAAATTACTCTGAGCTACGGGAGGACATTCAAACCAAAGGCAAAGAAGTTGAAAACTTTGAAAAAAATTTAGAAGAATGTATAACTAGAATAACCAATACAGAGAAGTGCTTAAAGGAGCTGATGGAGCTGAAAACCAAGGCTCGAGAACTACGTGAAGAATGCAGAAGCCTCAGGAGCCGATGCGATCAACTGGAAGAAAGGGTATCAGCAATGGAAGATGAAATGAATGAAATGAAGCGAGAAGGGAAGTTTAGAGACAAAAGAATAAAAAGAAATGAGCAAAGCCTCCAAGAAATATGGGACTATGTGAAAAGACCAAATCTACGTCTGATTGGTGTACCTGAAAGTGATGTGGAGAATGGAACCAAGTTGGAAAACACTCTGCAGGATATTATCCAGGAGAACTTCCCCAGTCTAGCAAGGCAGGCCAACGTTCAGATTCAGGAAATACAGAGAACGCCACAAAGATACTCCTCGAGAAGAGCAACTCCAAGACACATAATTGTCAGATTCACCAAAGTTGAAATGAAGGAAAAAATGTTAAGGGCAGCCAGAGAGAAAGGTCGGGTTACCCTCAAAGGAAAGCCCATCAGACTAACAGCGGATCTCTCGGCAGAAACCCTACAAGCCAGAAGAGAGTGGGGGCCAATATTCAACATTCTTAAAGAAAAGAATTTTCAACCCAGAATTTCATATCCAGCCAAACTAAGCTTCATAAGTGAAGGAGAAATAAAATACTTTATAGACAAGCAAATGCTGAGAGATTTTGTCACCACCAGGCCTGCCCTAAAAGAGCTCCTGAAGGAAGCGCTAAACATGGAAAGGAACAACCGGTACCAGCCGCTGCAAAATCATGCCAAAATGTAAAGACCATCGAGACTAGGAAGAAACTGCATCAACTAACGAGCAAAATCACCAGCTAACATCATAATGACAGGATCAAATTCACACATAACAATATTAACTTTAAATATAAATTGACTAAATTCTGCAATTAAAAGACACAGACTGGCAAGTTGGATAAAGAGTCAAGACCCATCAGTGTGCTGTATTCAGGAAACCCATCTCACGTGTAGAGACACACATAGGCTCAAAATAAAAGGATGGAGGAAGATCTACCAAGCCAATGGAAAACAAAAAAAGGCAGGGGTTGCAATCCTAGTCTCTGATAAAACAGACTTTAAACCAACAAAGATCAAAAGAGACAAAGAAGGCCATTACATAATGGTAAAGGGATCAATTCAACAAGAGGAGCTAACTATCCTAAATATTTATGCACCCAATACAGGAGCACCCAGATTCATAAAGCAAGTCCTGAGTGACCTACAAAGAGACTTAGACTCCCACACATTAATAATGGGAGACTTTAACACCCCACTGTCAACATTAGACAGATCAACGAGACAGAAAGTCAACAAGGATACCCAGGAATTGAAATCAGCTCTGCACCAAGCAGACCTAATAGACATCTACAGAACTCTCCACCCCAAATCAACAGAATATACATTTTTTTCAGCACCACACCACACCTATTCCAAAATTGACCACATAGTTGGAAGTAAAGCTCTCCTCAGCAAACGTAAAAGAACAGAAATTATAACAAACTATCTCTCAGACCACAGTGCAATCAAACTAGAACTCAGGATTAAGAATCTCACTCAAAGCCGCTCAACTACATGGAAACTGAACAACCTGCTCCTGAATGACTACCGGGTACATAACGAAATGAAGGCAGAAATAAAGATGTTCTTTGAAACCAACGAGAACAAAGACACCACATAACAGAATCTCTGGGACGCATTCAAAGCAGTGTGTAGAGGGAAATTTATAGCACCAAATGCCTACAGGAGAAAGCAGGAAAGATCCAAAATTGACACCCTAACATCACAATTAAAAGAACTAGAAAAGCAAGAGCAAACACATTCAAAAGCTAGCAGAAGGCAAGAAATAACTAAAATCAGAGCAGAACTGAAGGAAATAGAGACACAAAAAACCCTTCAAAAAATCAATGAATCCAGGAGCTGGTTTTTTGAAAGGATCAACAAAATTGATAGACCGCTAGCAAGACTAATAAAGAAAAAAAGAGAGAAGAATCAAATAGACACAATAAAAAATGATAAAGGGGATATCACCACTGATCCCACAGAAATACAAACTACCATCAGAGAATACTACAAACACCTCTACGCAAATAAACTAGAAAATCTAGAAGAAATGGATACATTCCTCGACACATACACTCTCCCAAGACTAAACCAGGAAGAAGTTGAATCTCTGAATAGACCAATAACAGGCTCTGAAATTGTGGCAATAATCAATAGTTTACCAACCAAAAAGAGTCCAGGACCAGATGGATTCACAGCCGAATTCTACCAGAGGTACAAGGAGGAACTGGTACCATTCCTTCTGAAACTATTCCAATCAATAGAAAAAGAGGGAATCCTCCCTAACTCATTTTATGAGGCCAGCATCATTCTGATACCAAAGCCGGGCAGAGACACAACCAAAAAAGAGAATTTTAGACCAATATCCTTGATGAACATTGATGCAAAAATCCTCAATAAAATACTGGCAAACCGAATCCAGCAGCACATCAAAAAGCTTATCCACCATGATCAAGTGGGCTTCATCCCTGGGATGCAAGGCTGGTTCAATATACGCAAATCAATAAATGTAATCCAGCATATAAACAGAGCCAAAGACAAAAACCACATGATTATCTCAATAGATGCAGAAAAAGCCTTTGACAAAATTCAACAACCCTTCATGCTAAAAACTCTCAATAAATTAGGTATTGATGGGAAGTATTTCAAAATAATAAGAGCTATCTATGACAAACCCACAGCCAATATCATACTGAATGGGCAAAAACTGGAAGCATTCCCTTTGAAAACTGGCACAAGACAGGGATGCCCTCTCTCACCGCTCCTATTCAACATAGTGTTGGAAGTTCTGGCCAGGGCAATCAAGCAGGAGAAGGAAATAAAGGGTATTCAGTTAGGAAAAGAGGAAGTCAAATTGTCCGTGTTTGCAGACGACATGATTGTTTATCTAGAAAACCCCATCGTCTCAGCCCAAAATCTCCTTAAGCTGATAAGCAACTTCAGCAAAGTCTCAGGATACAAAATCAATGTACAAAAATCACAAGCATTCTTATACACCAACAACCGACAAACAGAGAGCCAAATCATGAGTGAACTCCCATTCACAATTGCTTCAAAGAGAATAAAATACCTAGGAATCCAACTTACAAGGGATGTGAAGGACCTCTTCAAGGAGAACTACAAACCACTGCTCAAGGAAATAAAAGAGGACACAAACAAATGGAAGAACATTCCATGCTCATGGGTAGGAAGAATCAATATCGTGAAAATGGCCATACTGCCCAAGGTAATTTACAGATTCAATGCCATCCCCATCAAGCTACCAATGACTTTCTTCACAGAATTGGAAAAAACTACTTTAAAGTTCATATGGAACCAAAAAAGAGCCCGCATCGCCAAGTCAATCCTAAGCCAAAAGAACAAAGCTGGAGGCATCACACTACCTGACTTCAAACTATACTACAAGGCTACAGTAACCAAAACAGCATGGTACTGGTACCAAAACAGAGATATAGATCAATGGAACAGAACAGAGCCCTCAGAAATAATGCCGCATATCTACAACTATCTGATCTTTGACAAACCTGAGAAAAACAAGCAATGGGGAAAGGATTCCCTATTTAATAAATGGTGCTGGGAAAACTGGCTAGCCATATGTAGAAAGCTGAAACTGGATCCCTTCCTTACACCTTATACAAAAATCAATTCAAGATGGATTAAAGATTTAAACGTTAGACTTAAAACCATAAAAACCCTAGAAGAAAACCTAGGCATTACCATTCAGGACATAGGCGTAGGCAAGGACTTCATGTCCAAAACACCAAAAGCAATGGCAACAAAAGCCAAAATTGACAAATGGGATCTAATTAAACTAAAGAGCTTCTGCACAGCAAAAGAAACTACCATCAGAGTGAACAGGCAACCTACAACATGGGAGAAAATTTTCGCAACCTACTCATCTGACAAAGGGCTAATATCCAGAATCTACAATGAACTCAAACAAATTTACAAGAAAAAAACAAACAACCCCATCAAAAAGTGGGCAAAGGACATGAACAGACACTTCTCAAAAGAAGACATTTATGCAGCCAAAAAACACATGAAGAAATGCTCATCATCACTGGCCATCAGAGAAATGCAAATCAAAACCACTATGAGATATCATCTCACACCAGTTAGAATGGCAATCATTAAAAAGTCAGGAAACAACAGGTGCTGGAGAGGATGTGGAGAAATAGGAACACTTTTACACTGTTGGTGGGGCTGTAAACTAGTTCAACCATTGTGGAAGTCAGTGTGGCGATTCCTCAGGGATCTAGAACTAGAAATACCATTTGACCCAGCCATCCCATTACTGGGTATATACCCAAAGGACTATAAATCATGCTGCTATAAAGACACATGCACACGTATGTTTATTGCGGCACTATTCACAATAGCAAAGACTTGGAACCAACCCAAATGTCCAACAATGATAGACTGGATTAAGAAAATGTGGCACATATACACCATGGAATACTATGCAGCCATAAAAAATGATGAGTTCATGTCCTTTGTAGGGACATGGATGAAATTGGAAACCATCATTCTCAGTAAACTATCGCAAGAACAAAAAACCAAACACCGCATATTCTCACTCATAGGTGGGAATTGAACAATGAGATCACATGGACACAGGAAGGAGAATATCACACTCTGGGGACTGTGGTGGGGTCGGGGGAGGGGGGAGGGATAGCATTGGGAGATATACCTAATGCTAGATGACACGTTAGTGGGTGCAGCGCACCAGCATGGCACATGTATACATATGTAACTAACCTGCACAATGTGCACATGTACCCTAAAACTTAGAGTATAATAAAAAAAAAAAATTAAAAAAAAAAAAAAAAGAATTTCCCTAAGTCAACAAGACAAGGTCTAATAAACTTCAGGTCTAACAAAGACTTCTGCTGTTTAATGTAAAAAAAAATAAAAAATAAAAAATAAAAAAATAAAAATACTTGAAAAAAAAAAAAAAAAAGAAGCTAAGATTTGAGTTGCTTGGGTGGAGTAGGTACAAGTTGGTGATTACCATTCAGGTTGGCTGCCATCTGGGTAGGTCTCCCTTCATGGAAGGCCCCAGCAGGGAAGCTGTAATCATGTGCTCAGTGAAGGCAAAAGTCGTTTTGATATCTTTTTAGTAAATCATTCCACCAACGCTGTGCAAGCCATAAATGTGGCACAGATTAATTGAGCAAAAAAAGTGACTTGCATACAGTTGGCACTTCTGTTCTTATTAGGATCAGAAAGAACAATTGGGTGAAGATCACTTCAGGAAAAAGAAAAAAGCATATGTTACTTATTGTTTTGGGTGAATGTTTTTATGGAAACAGGGATGCCACGTCATTAATAACTCTGGCATGCCATCCCAATTCTGGTCGGCCTGATAGATTAAACATGAGCCCTCTCTCATTATTCCAGCAGCCGTAGAGCATTGACTTTGCCTCCAGCCTGATAAGTATTCCATGCACATTCAAGCCTCCGAGTTGACATCTTCTTCTAAAATTGTTTGGCTGTAATAAATATAAAACTTTCACCACTGATGTAAAGCATTGCTGGTTGGCATCATTTCCTACCCCCTTTTAATTATTCCTGACACTGTGGAGAAACATCTAATATAAATCTGTAATGTGCACTGATGACAAACTACACGGTTGAAGGACCATGTAATTTCTCCACAATTAATTAAAGTGCATGGAGATTTTTTTTTTCTCTTTCATTCTTTCTTTCTTTTTTTCCCCCCAGCAGCCAGATGCCACTGACTAGCTCAGATAACACTGCTGTCAACTGTAAAAAATTAAGATCCAAACCGTAAGAAAGGTACTTAGATAAAGAAACCAGATGCCAGGTTATTTGTGATACTACCACATACGTCTTGATGGAAGCCACCATTGTTCAACATCTGTAGTTCCACAGCCTTAATTACGCACTTAACTCAGCAAGCCTGTCAGCAGTTTATTTCTACAAGTACCGTCACTTTTGTAAATCTTCCCTTAAAAATTGAATGCTGCCAATCAGCACAGGGAAGAGAGACAGAGACCCTGGAAGACCTTGTGCAAAAAGAGATGGCTGCCCGTTTATGCCGGTAGCACATGCTGGTGTTTATGGGCATGTGTGTGTGGTCACCCAGAGAGGAAAAAATGCTCTGCTACCATTTCAGGCTGATCTACCACCTGGAATTGATCAAAAGCAAATTAATTTTCATTTTCAATTAGGAATACAATTAAATTCAAAGTGGTGAGGGGGGGAAATGGCCATGTTTACATATAGCTCCTGCTGGTGGGAGGGCTTGAGGAAATACCAGATGAAATGAAATACTTGTCTTTGTATCTTTGCATTTAACTCATTCAAGTGTTAAGGTGGTGGCTGGGGCTGCTGCTGCTGGGACTGCAGTTTACCTCCCCTGGAGCTGCCCCTCCTTCCCTTCAGGCAGAATGTAGGCAAAGGGAAGAGGGAGGGCAGTCAGAAGGTGGCCACTCTGAGATGCCCATTCATGGGCTCTTTTCCCAGGATTTGGCCGTGGATCCAAGATATGGGTGTTTTCATGTAGAGCCTGAATGAGGAAGCAGTAGTTTGGCTTTGCATTCTGCTGGCTCTCAGCGTCAAAGCATTACCTGGCAAACGGATCCACGTCTGGCCATCATGAGAGATATTGAGTGATTGTGTGAAAACAATCTGGCTGTTGAATGCCTCATGTCACAGGATCCCGGCCCTTTTCACTTGACTTTTCTCTACATTCAACTGCTGCCTTTTGTTGGAGTAACTGAGTGGGGGCCTGTGGGGCAGACAGGATTCCTCCTGGCTGCCTGGGGAACAGTTGACCCAGTGTGTTCATCACCAAGGGTGGTAATTTGGGGAGCTTTGACCCTGATTTTAAGGAAAGTCAATTATTTGTCAATTATGAGTCCCAGAAATCCTGATATGGGACTCAGATGTTAAAGGCCCGGCTCTCTGGTTTCGGGAGAGATCACAGTGGATCTGAGAATATGAAGCGGTCATATTCTCCCAGAGCAGTGCATGTTGCTTGCCATAAGCCTTCTGTCATGCTGATGAGATTCTTCTAACTATCCATCTTGGAGATCAGCTTCTTTGAAAAAGCAGAGTGGGTGATAAATATTTGGTCATATGAATAACAATGAAGTAGCTTCAGATAATAGCTTACATCTTTATAAAATCCTCTGGGTGATGGATGAAGAGGAAGAGAAGGTTCTGGGTCATGGAAACAGCTGCTTTGGGTGAAAGATTATCCAAAGCAGGGTGGTGACCAGGAATCCTTGCTGCTCCAGTCCATACTTTACCTCCTACCCACACCCCCAACCACCTTTCTTGTCCTAAAGCAAGGGTTTACGTTTCCTCCCTGCATGGTATTTGTGCTTTAAAAGAAGATTTTATTACTTCTGCTACAGTGGAATTTCTCTTTTTACTAGACAGTTGGCATGACCGCAGCCTAAAACCGCAATGGAGTTGTTAACACACTGGGATCAGTTTTTCCCCCTTTAAAGCTATTCTTTTCTTTTCTTTATTTTTTTAAAGAGGAAAAAAATGCTCCAACAAATCAACAGAACTATTAACTTTCTGATTTATTTGCTAGAGAGAGCAAAAAAAGTCAATGTGAACTGACAGAAACGCCAGAACAGACAGTATGAAAACATTCTATGTGAAAGTTTCCAACTGAAATCGCACCACAAGCAGTTGGTTATCTGGAGATAGACATCTTCAATTTCCTGATTGCATAATAGAAATGGGATTTCTTTTTCCTCTACAAAAAGCGTTATCCATAATGTTGACATAAAGTTTTCTGTGCCTTGAGTTCCAAAGAGTACTCTTCTCAAGAACAGCCCAGCATCTTCTCAACTGCTAACGGTTACTGCCATTTCTCCTCCTTCAAGGGAAAGGGTAAATGTTGCTAACATGATGAAGGCCAGAAGAAGAAATCTTCAAGAGCCTGGGAGATTAACTCTGCCCAGCTGGCCGGTGTCATGGCATCTAGTAAACAGGCCGATCCTCCACTATAAGGAGAAATAGCCTTGAGAAAAATTAATCTGGTTATGGGTTGGCAACCCAATAGCTGCCTAGCCAGTGCACGTTTCTCCCTTTGCAAGTATCTCAGGGTTAGAAGTGTCTAAGGATTTGAGACTGTGATTCTGGGAGGTTCAGGACAGTTGTCCTGGCTGGGCCTGAGCCAGGCTTTGCCGTGGATCTGCCCACCTCAAGAACTGGCACAGGTGATAGGTAGTCTTCAAATCTACATGGCATCCCAATACAGTTGGTGACAATGCACTGTATTTTCCTCCCCCCTCAGTTTCTGAGGACCCATTTCTGAGATGGAAAGTTCTTGGCCCTGGCCTGTAGCTTACATCACTTTGGTATTTTTAAATGCCCATGATCTCAAAAGCAGTCCTCATATTAAAATCACCCTTTATATCAATACTTCATTTTATGTAACATAGTGTTTTAAAATTATATTTAAAAGGCAGCTTCTTTTGTCTTATGTGCCCTTGGCTAGGAAACAAAGGAAGTCTCTTTTAAGAGGTGTTTTACATTTTATGACTACTGAGAGAGAACATAGTTCTTTAATAGGTAGATATCTAAGAGAGTTTCACATTATAGGTTTTCAGAGATTAGAAGTTCTGGAACAAGGTTGTTTGATAACATCTCTGAAGGGCAAAGGAGCAAACGGAAACCTCAGAGGACTGGATGCCAAAACAGAACACTCTCTAGACTTGTGGGCAACAGGAGCTTTTCTGAGATCGTATTATTCTCACCGATAATAGCATCCTGCCTTGACTGAGGGTGAGGGTGTGCAAGATGGATCATTCGTGTCTTATACTTCATGGTTATGGGCATGTAATATGTTCTTCATTGAGCCAGGCAATTGACAGAGACGCCAGTGCATTTAAGACTTGAGTCTACTGGAAATGAGACTTGCTCTCTTGCCAGAAATGGATGCTTTTCTGTGTCCACCACTATCAGACATCTTGACTTTTTTTTAATCCTGACTCTTAAAACAATAATATCAAACAACTCGAGGGGGAAAAAGTTAAATATTTCCATATGAAGAGCTGATTAAATTTGTATGGTTTTCTTTTCAGTAAAAATTGATATGTGATGAAACACAGTGCAGCTGGATGGCTGGTTTGGGTTGATGCTGTCACATCCTCTGATCTCGCTACCCAGCTGTAAGGGCCAGCACCCGGTGAGCTGCCATGCTGCTCAGAATGCCCATTCCCAGGCACTAAACACCAATCACTGATTACCTGGCTGAAGTCTTTCCTCTTAAGTCTCATCGTTCTTCTGTGTGCCTTCCTTTTCAAGGGCAGGCTGAGTCCATGTGGAGCATTATGGTTGATAGGCATGTGATGCCCATCTAAAATACGGATAATAAGAGGAAAGGGCTTCTCAATTATTGGTGTGGATATGAGAACTTGACTTTTTTTTTTTGAGACAGGGTCTCGCTCTGTTGCCCACGTTGGAGTGCAGTGGCACTACCTCTGTCTCCTGGGTTCAAGAGATTCTCCTGCCTCAGCCTCCTGAGTAGCTGGGACTACAGATGCATGCCACCACACCCAGCTAATTTTTGTATTTTTTTAGTAGAGACAGGGTTTCACCCTGTTGGCCAGGCTGGTCTCGAACTCTTGACCTCAGGAGATCCACCCACCTCAGCCTCCCAAAGTGCTGGGATTACAGGTGTGAGCCACTGCACCCGGCCAAGAACGTGACTTTTGATTTTCCCAGTATTTGGAGTGGGTGGGCTGCTTCTGCTGTTGCCATTGGTGGCCAAAGGTAACAACAGTATATTTTGCTGTAGCAGATTTTACAGAGATGAAACCATCTTGCCACTTCTATTCTTAATAACTGTGTCCATCTTTCCTCTCTGCAGAGATGAAATTGCCAAAGAGTCAGAAGCTCCTCCAGGCTTAGCCAGCTTTCACCTTTGCTCATCATACATCTATGGGGCTCCTCTTAACTCACAGATGGGCTAGCGCCTGTTTTCAGCCTTTATCCTGATCCTTCGTATCTCCATGCCCGCTCCATGTCTCTCTCTCCAATGTCTCTTATCTCTGTCTTGCTTAACTGGGACCAGTTCTTCCCCCTCCCTCTTTCAGTTTCCAAAGATCATCTCCTGCCAGATCTTGGCCTAAAGTTAACTTGATTCTCTGGCCTCGCTTACAGAAGCCGAACTGCTCTAAACCACCTTTGGTGGCAGTGACTCCTTCCTGAATGAGGTCAGGCACTCGAAAAATTGATAGGCGACACTCACTCTGGGGCTTCTCACATATATTCCTCAGTCGGGAATGGTAAAGGTCCCCCCATTCAGGGACTTCAATTTTGTGACAGAGAAAAAGACAAATTTGACTGTCAACATTTGTTGGGCTCCAAGGAAGTTACACGTGTAACTGAGCTATTTCAGATCTCTATTTGTCAAGCCCAGTGTTCACTGTGGGTTTCCTTACATCCCTCCCCTGCCCAAACCCCTGCCTTCGAGAAACAGTCTACAAAAAAAGCATTTACCCTCTGAGGATTGCTTTGTAATTAAAATTTTACAAATGCCAAATAAACAAGGGCATTTTTGAAATGTAAATTTGTCATTTTTCGTAAGCAACTTAAATCAACTCCACCTGCCTTGAGACTGGTTTCTCCTTCAGCACAAAGCCACGTGCTCCTAGGTTCTCTTTTGGCTCCTGCAGCTCCGATTCCCCGTGCACTTAGATCCTGGTGTCGGTTTTTTTTTTCCTTGAACACTTTCTGCAGTTTAGTTATTTGTTGTAATTATCAAGTTCATTTTTCTCTAATAGATGTGATTAAGTATATTTAGCACTGTGTAATGAGTTTTCTGCCTGGTTGCATCTTAGCTAATAAGGAATTCCTTAGCGGCAACTCTGACAGCTGCTACGAGTCCCAGGTCTGCGCTGCCACAAGAGACTCCTTCCATGAACTGCTAGCATTAGAGAAATTAACTCCATTACACTAACCATAAAATTGAGGCTGAAATTTGATTACTAATAGATCCTCAATTCAACTAGAAACTGTAGAAACGGGGTGGTGCCAGTGGGGAGGAAGGTGAACGCGTGTGAAATGCCAGCATCCACATTTTCATCAGTGTGTGTGTTCACCACACTTCCAATTTATTTCCTGGGCAGGAAGGAGAGAATAGAGCCAAGCTGATGGAATTAAAACTGCGTGATTCAGCCGGTATAAGACTGGAAATCTTTGTTACTGCCATGATGGTAATACCTTGTTATTAGTGCCTCTGTCTTCGCTGAGCTGAGAAACCTCCCGGTGTGTTTTTGGCCATCAAAACTACTTGCCATTGTCACCGGTAGTCCAGATTTGTAAGGCTAAAGTGCTGAGGACAATTAGTAATTGGTGACTGGCTGCTATGATGTATAGTTGCTTAGCAACGGTGCCTGAATTAAGTCTCTGGAAGTGGCATACAGGAAGAGACAAGACAGGAAGATGAAATAGGTACCATTTCAATGTGTAGGTGAGTCAGTAATGAAAAAGGAGTGAAAGATATTTGTAATCATAGAGACGGCTGAGTGGAAAATTGGGGCTAAAGGAAAGAAAAGGCGGAACTTAGTTCCTCTCTTGCGAAGTAAAATAAGAGTAAATGGCAGTTGAATCACCCCATTGATACAAGAGCTCATTCTCTTTCTTTGACACTATACTGTGAACCCAATGCTAGCTGAACTCAGGGTGCATTATTTACCCAAAAGGCAGCATGAAAATTCATGGAAGGAAGAGATGGAGAATGAAGTTGCACTGGCTTGAAGTCTTTAGAACAAGATTAATTTAGCTTCCGTTAGTTCATACCAGCGAACTAGGATTAAGTGGGCGACAGGGCCCAGGTTTGATTCAGCCCTGCTTGCAATACTGGGTGGAACTGGTGCTCTGATATACTGATGTTCAGTCTTGCTCTGTTTGGAGTAGAGAAGTATCTTGAAGAGGCCACGAACAGCATATTCATTTCATTAGACTTGGCTGTTTTGAGACTCTGAGCAGACTAAGATATCACCCTGAACTACATGATTTAGTGAGCTGGTTTAGCCTCTGGAAGGCCAGATGAGCAAAAGAAAGTGGAAAAGCAGTACAAGACCTTGATCCAGATACTGAGCCTTGTTAAGGGACTGCCTTATCTATGGCAACGAGCTATGTCTAGAGGTCTGCAAAGGTGCAGGGGCTGTTTTGCAATTAGTGTTGAAACACTGAGATAAAGAAAGGATATATAGGAATTAAAAAGAGATAACGTAAACACTAACAAAGAGTCTTAATCCCCTCGGCTGAGTGTTTTGCATGTTTACCTCTGATCAGAATTCTTAATAATTTTGAGTGTGTTCCAACTCAATAAAAATTCCCTAGGAAGAAACAAGTCGATTCTTGGATTAAAAAACAAAACAGAAACAGAAAAATGTATGCCCATGTCTATTATTTTAAAAATAAAAATTAAGGAAATTAAATGACACAGGAAGGTTTTGTTTGGGTTTAGTTTGGTTCAGCCTACTCATGGGCACAATTCAGTCCCCCATTATCTACTGATTAGCAGGATATCTTTAGGGCTCAGAAAGCAGGTTTTCTGTCTCTACCGATGGCTTGTTTTCTGGCTGAAGAATGAAGGTGTTTTGATACAAAGTTATTATTGTTCAATTGAGAAAGTCTTTGCCCTCCTGGCCTGAAGTTCCCCACTGGAGAGAGGAAGCTGATAACAATCTCTGGTTCTTTCCTAGTACCTATAAAGGGCTCATCCTCACTTACAATAGAGCACTGTATTTTCAGGACAATGTATAATTATTTGGGAAGAAGCCAAAATGATGACTAGTGCGTAACAATAGCATGCATGATATCACAATCTGTCTAATGGCTGATGGTTCCAGTTTAAATATCTTAAGCTAAGGGTGCTCCGTGCTCTCACATTCATTCCCACAGTCCCACCACTGCTGTCCCTTAGGTAAGTAACACTCAAACTCTAGTTGTTTAATACTCAACTTTCCTGTAACTGTAAACTCTGTGAGGGCGGGGGTCATATACCTTGCTTCCCACTGACCATTTATTCCCAGCACCCAGCACAGGGTTTGTGGCCCAGAGGGCACCCAATAAACGTTGGTTGAATTAAATTGTTAGAATTTCCAAGATGGCCCCCAGTGAGCCCCACTTCCTGATATTCACAGCCTTGTGTAATGCCCTCCCTGTCAGTGTGGGCTGACGCTTCTGATGAATTGAGTAAGGGGGAATAAACTAGGTTACAAAAGGCAGTGTGGCCACTTATGATCTCTTTCTGTCTGGACTACTCACGCTGGGAGAAGCCAGTTCTACATTGTGAGCAACCCTATGGAGAAGCCCTTAAGTTGCTGAAGCCTCCAGCCAACAGCCATGTCGCTGATTTTGGAAGGCGATTTTGGAAGCTTATCTCCCAGACCAAATCAAGCCTCAGGTGACTGCAGCCCCAGCTGAAACATTGATTGCATTCTTATGAGAAACCCTAAAACCAGAGCCATCAGCTCCCAAATTCCTGACCCACAGAAACTGTGAAATAATAATGTTTGTTGTTTTAACCTGTTCATTTTTGGAGGTAATTTGTTACCCGGCATTAGGTAATGAATATACTGGCCAATTACCACATGTATCGATTCATTTATTTATTCATTCAGTAGGCATTGAATGACAACTTTGCCAGGGACTGTGCTAGATGCTAGGGATACCAAGACAAATAAAGCAAGGTCCCTGCCTTCAAAGAACTCACAGTCTAGGAGAGTGAGATGGACACGGAGTCAGAGAACACTGAAGGTTGGTTTATGAGCAGCAGGCATACAAAGGAGGAAGCTGGAGTGGAAGGAGCCGTAAAATTGACAAAGTGGTCTCTAATATAACCCTCCCCAGACACACATACAAATACAACACTTTCTTCCTAACTTTCACTTAGCTTAGCTGTAGACAGTTCCAGCAAACCTTGTTTAGCACTGCTCCGTGCTACATTGACTCCTTATGGAGCTGGCTGACCACTGTGGAAGAGAGAGCACTATCCTACATTCTCAGCCCTTGGCTGTGGGCATCCCATGATCAACGTGACTCAGTTTGAGTGACTCTTGCCAGTCTGTCAGTTTTCTTTCCTCTTCCCTGGTCTCTCTGTCATTAACACCCTATTACCTATGGATGTCTTCATTAGAAGCAAATGTTGTTTTTTGTTTTTTGTTTTGACACGGTCTCATTCTGTCGCCCAGGCTGGAGTGCAGTGGCACGATCTCGGCTCACTGCAACCTCTGCCACCCAGGTTCAAGTTATTCTCCCACCTCAGCATCCCGAGTAGCTGGGACTATGGGCACGGGCCACCACGCCTGGCTAATTTTTTTTTTTTCTGTATTTTTGGTAGAGATGGGGTTTCACCATGTTGCCCAGCTGGGCAAATGGTTATTTTTTAAATGACCAAAAAAAATGAGATTATTTTAATGCTTTGTATGCTCGCCCGATATATAAATGCAAGTTTCACTGTGGCTTGAGTCTGAACATGGTTGGTAGATGTGAGTCATACCCTGGGCCCAGCTGCGTCCACCAACAGAATACTTCTAAGGAGCACCAGGAAGATAAAGACATCAGCCCAAAACGCTCTAATATGTTGCTGGTGAGCAGTAAATCACAGTGGTAAGAACACATCTCCATGGGGACCCTGCTATCATGGCCCTTCTCATGGCTGATTCTTTAGAAGACTCATTCCCACGGCCTCTTCCTGTGGGTGACACAGTGCCCTGGACATGGGTGGTACTGTGTGGTTGACATAGGGCCTGAAGGTGGGTGACAGATGTTATGGAGGAGAATTTATTTTATTTTATTTTTTGAGGGGGGAGACAGAGTCTCGCTCTGTCGTCAAGACTGGAGTTCAGTGACACAATCTCAGCCCACTGAAACCTCCGCCGCCTCCAGGGTTCAGGTGATTCTCCTGCCTCAGCCTCCCAAGTAGCTGGGACTACTGGCACACACCACCACGTGTCAGTAGTCCCAGCTAATTTTTTGTATTTTTAATAGAGATGGGGTTTTGCCATGTTGGCCAGGCTAGTCTCGAACTCCTGACTTCAGGTGATTCACCCACCTCAGCCTCCCAAAGTGCTGGGATTACAGGCGTGAGCCACCACGCCTGGCCGGAGGAGAAACTCCAGCGCAGTAAAGAAACAGCCCTGCTGGTACTGGGTCCTTTACCCTCCAGAGTGGGGCTCAGGAAGAAGGAACAGGACCAGGTACCAAAAGCCCCAGTAATCCCGTCAAGAGGTGCCCAGGTTTAGAGATGACTTCAAGGAGGAGGAAAGCCTACACACTCTTTTTCCATCTGCTGCAGGCCACAGTGGCAAAGCAATAAAATGCTGATACCATCCTCCTGCAGGTATAACTGATTTAAGTGGGGAAAGGCAGACAATCTGTGAGAGACACCAAAGATTACTTGGCTTTTCCCCCCACCTCCTGTGCATGAACCGGAGAATGATGGAACAATTGGTTGTGTTTGGGGCCTTTATTTGCTTTTTTCCCTCCTCTCTTTAAAAAATAAATAAATAAATAAAAAATCTGCCTTTGTCTGCTGCTACTGTGTCTATTTTTGTTGTGGTGGTGGTTGTTTTAAATAGGAGAACTTGTGAAATGAGACTGCATAAAAGATGGACTTGTTTTATATATGGGATATTGCCTGTCCTTCAGATCTATGTGTCTCGCTTATGGAATGAACCAAAGTAGGAGAGATAAACTAATATTTTGTATCAGCTCAGCCAGACAATACAGATGATAAAGATGTTTCATCTTCTTATGCATGCAGAAAATATGAAAAATCGTAGTTTACACACATTTGCTCAATTCAAGTGTAAAATTGGGCCCCTCGATTGCCCTGGGCCACAGTGGCTGTGTTAAGGAAGCTCGATTTACCTTGCAGCCGAGTGAAAAATGATCAGAATATTAGACTCATCTAGCCCACATTAAGGAGCCATTGCATTTCCCGACAATTGTATGCTATCTCAATATGAAAACAGAGCAATTTCAACTCATATCAGGTTATGATCGGCAATTACAGTTGCATAATTCACCTAGTCATCTCTTTGCAGGGCCTTTATTTTCCCTCTTGGTGACATTCCTGAGAAAGTGCCTGATAAAAATGTCATATATCATCCCAGCTTTAGAACTCGTGAGGGGGTAATCTGCTATGCCTTGCTGAGCCCATATTCATCACTGGATTTTTGACTTGGAGGGGTCATGGCACTCATAATTTCCTGTTTGATATTGTCCTCACCAGCTCTGACAAGGGGCTGTAAAAGCTCGGTTGTAGGCAGTGGTTAAGCGCTGCTCCAGTGGGGCCCATCACCAGCAATAAGAGTGCATTACTGTGGCTCATGCTGGAGTTGGCCGTTTCGAAGATAATTAGATTTGATGTCAACATTTCTTTATCACCTGCATCCTTTTGTGCATCTGTGTGTCAAGTTGTTCTTTCCGGATTTATTAGCACCCTCAGAGCTACTCTCTATCTGTCAGCTTGTGTGCTGTTTGTGTTGACAGTTGTAAAGTTAATTACTAGTACTAATGAGCATCGGGCTTTTGGTGGACATGGCGTTTTGGACATTTAAAACTATAATTAGTTTTTTTTTGTTTTTTGTTTTTTGTTTTCTGTGTGTGGTGCTTCAGTACAAAATAAAACGTGTTTTAAAAAAATACGTCCCTTCCATTGCATTTTGACATTCTGTGTGCAGTCAACTTATCTTTTATTCAAAGGCTCCAAAAACTCAGTTCTGTTTCTTTTTAAAACAGACTTCCTTTTCATTGTAACTCCATGAATAATTTCTTTTGTTCCTTACTTCTCTTCCAACTTGATAACGTGACCATTTCATATGCCTTGAGAATTAAGGATAGTGATGGTGGAATGATCAAAAAATGTGCTGGGTAAATGTTCATCTCTGCCCAATCGGTGGACTACAAATTTTCCACTTTTAACTCTCCTCTTTTCAAATCGTACTCTGGGTTCAACCGAAAGACTCAGTGAATGAAGAAGATTGGATAAAATGAAAAGTGTAATAAATCGTTCTCTGAGTGGCTGGCCCCAAAATAATAGTGATAGCTCATATTGGTGTAATGTTAACTCTCTGCCAAGAATCATGGTAATCTCTATATACAGATTACCTCATTTAATCCTTGCAACAAACCTAAGAGGTCAATACTATTATCTCCATTTTACAGACGGGGAAACTAAGGTTTAGAAAGGTGAAGGGTCTAACAACTAGGAAGTAGTGCTGGGATTTGAATCCAATCAGTGTAGCTCAGAGCCTGTGCTCTTAAACACTATTCTATAGACACAAAGTATGCTTTCAAGGAAAATTAGCAGACTCCTGGGGCATGTATTCTAGAACAACAAAAAACAATCACTTACTAAATCAGATCGGCTCATTTGTATTTCACTCCCAGCCATACTGGGACGCTAGTTTCAGTGTAATGGCAATTATCTATGGCATGTACTTTATGGAGGTATTTTGTTTGGTCTATTGCGGCAGCAAAGCACCACTCCCTTGCTGCTATTCATATTTACTTTCTATTCATCATTATCTGCCATTTTGCTAAATAACTATCCTTCCCAGACATAAATCATCTATAAAAAATACTCTGGCTCAGAGAAAATTTCGCCCTGGCCCTGCAATGATGAGATAACCATTTTCATCTCTTGTTGAAGCATTGAGATTTATTGGCTTTCGATGGGCAACAGACCAGGCATCACTCTCTGCTAAACAGACTCCCACTTGCATTTATTCTTATTGCATTTAGTGATTCAAAATGGAGCTCTCGGAATCCCTTGAGGGTCCATTCCCAGCCTGGGTGGGGTGTTATTACTTTATATTAGATAAGGGAAGGACACACAAAGAAACATGCGGTGATTCGGATGATTTTTTATTTCCGTTTAGCAGTGATGACAGAATGTCATAGTGAAATGACTTCAAAAGTCATTTTTCCCCACTGCCCTGGTTCTGCAGCCTTGTCCCTTGAGGGCTCTTCCATTGTACAGTGTTATTAATTCTGCTAACTTTCAGACTTCATTGCTGACAACAGGCCTCTTGGCTTTCGCAGCCTATTACATTAAATTTCCCATCAAACCATGTCAGCCTCTGAGGTCACAGATTTCAAGAGAAGCTTTAGATATTTTGCCATCTGACTTCATGGGCAGGTGTTTTCTAAATTGCTTTTAGGTTTGTTTTTCCAGTGTCAGAAATCAGATTGAACCTGTTTAAAAAAACTCAGACAGTGAGTGCTCATCAGGATAAGAACAAAGCGGAGTTTGAGGCACGCCTGAACTGGCATGTGTGTTTGTGTGTGTGTGTGTGTGTGTGTGTGTACAGCCGCACGCATGCACTTGTGTTTCAGTTGACCTTCCAAAGGCAGAGCAAAGCCTTCCGACTCAACTTCATCCCCGGCCCCACCTGGTGAGTACAGTGTCTTGTTGACTATCTATTTTTCTAATACTTAACTGAAGCCCCAAAATATAGTGTGACTGCCCTGGTGAACAGAGATATGCTCTACTGACCTTGACTTTGGAGGGCTCTGTGAAACTGTTGAGTAGCATTAGAAGGTCACTTTGGGCAGGCCAGTGAAATGACAGAGGACCTGGTCTAGGGCTAGAATGCCTTAACATGGACTCCTCAAGCAAGTTCCTGGCGGCAATAAAATTTCAGTGTGTCCCTTGATGCCTTTATTTTGGTGTGCTGTTGTGGGATCAAAATAAAGGAAAAGCAGAAACCTTCCTTCCAAGTAACATGGCCACAGGCATCACGTTGCTGTCAAAATTACATTCTGAAGGAAGCCTGCACAGGAACGTGCAACTGGGGCTCCATTTAAAAACAGAAAAGAAATGAGATGTTATTTTTGAAGCAGTCAACTCGTGGAAATGATTACAAGTCATTTGGCAAACCCAAAGTCCCCTTGAAATTCTTATTTATTATTAGTTCCGGTTAATATTTCTGCTCTGAAAATGACAACATTCAAATCTTGGCTTGCCGTGATAGTTCAGATTGACAGGCTTGGCCGTTAACACCTTTTTGGTCTTCTGAACTGGGTATTGTAGTGTGCTTGGCAGGGGGGTGCGGCAGGAAAGTGACAGACCTTGGAAGCTGAAGAGGAGGGAGGACCCACACGCTGGCTTCCTCAGTGATGGGTATCTAAGCACTTCAGTGCCTCACCTAAGAGCAGGTGACAAGAGCTTGGTGGCTTGCAGGAAGCACTGCAGTTAACTCTAGCCCCGCCCCCTTTTTTTCTTTATAATTTGTAGAGACCTCGGAAGCTGCTGTTATCTGAACCCATCATTAGCCAGCTCTACCTGCAGGAGGAGATGCTGAACCAGGCTAGGACCAGAGAAAGATGAGTGAGGCGAGGTAGTGTCACTCTGTTTCCTCCTGCTAGCAGCCATAAGGAGAGAGAATCATTTGTGGCACTCTGGGGACAGTTTTGTCACCCTGACAGTAATGCTGTTATGCGCTGGCTTGACACACAGGATGAATCCATAAAGACAGATAAGTAACTGTGAAAGTGGCTGGGGATCAGGCTGAGTGCCACCACTCACCTGCAGTGACAAATAGATAGTCATGAAGGATTGGAAATCCTGCCCAACACAGAGATCTGTCAGCAGAGAGATGGACTGCAACCCCAGTGACACAGGCAGCTGGAGCAAAGTGTGTGTGTGCACACATGCGCCCCCGAGGGGTGTGCGGGGAGGTTAACTTCAGAGCCTTGTTTCCGAGAGGGTGTGTGTGGTGGTGCAGGTGGGATGAGAAGATTTCGACACTTTTCCTTTATGAAGTAGAACTGTGGATGTTGTGTCTTTTTGTTGGTAAGTTCAGGCACATTTGGTTTAGAAGGCTGTGCTTACTTTCCGTTTTCCCCGGAATTTTTCTGATACCAATAGGGGTCCCCATCTGCAAATCAAATGAATCCAAGTTATGAGAGCAAAATACTACTGCTGAACTGCTGATGTTGGTGGCACCAGGCAAGGGACAAGCGGAAGCAGGGGGGCCCTTATTTATCTTTTATGCTGGAAAGGCTTGTTCTTCCTGGCTGGAAATCTGCTTTTCGTCAATGAAAGAAATTCCAAGGGAATTGTTTGAAAAAACAAGCACAAGGCTGGAACTGCTGTTTCCCACTTGGGCTTGAGATCCGAACAGCGCTACGTTTTACAGTTTTGAAATCTGTTACTGTTATTATGCAGAATAGATCATCTTTGTTGTAATTATCCTTGAGATCACAAATGCCGTATGGTGTTCTATTGTCTTTCTGGGAAGTTATGAAATAGATTTGAGGCGAAAAGTAAACATAAGCGATAAGAGTCAAACCTCATTGGGTCACTGTCAGCCATTTGGACAGAAGCCCTAAATGGCCCAGAGGCACAGCCATTTAGAACTCTTTTCTTTTTTTTTTTTTTTTCAGTAGAATATTTTGACCCCCAGAGGTATGCGTAGCTATATCGGGGATCCAAAGGTTTCACACAGGATGAGTCCTGTGTCTACATGCAGCGTAGCAGGAGCTGGGAATGGAAGCAAACCAATATTCCAGCATCTGCTTCTAGAACAGTGATCAGGATCGCTATCGTTAATAAGATGGGTGTATGTGGGACCCAAGACTCATCTGTCAAGCCCTTCTTCTGACTGCTTTTAAGGTAATATTTTTAAAAAACAAGAAATTACAATAAGCTTTTTTTTTTCAAATGAGTCTTCTTGTCCTATTCCTTTATTATTTTGCCACCTACCTTTGTCATCGGTGGAATTGTACTTCATCTATTTCAGCTTTACTTATCCTGCTAGTTTTACTTCTAGGAGCTTAACGTAGGGTACTGGTAATTCTAGAACTGGTTCCTGAAAAATGGTACATGTAGCTTTAAACTATTATCACCACTGTTGCTGCTGCTATTACTATTACTACTTCTACTTGAGTGCTATATATTTAAACATTTATTCTTTCTATGTAGGCAAGCCCTTGCAACCAGATATTTCTTTCCAAAGCCCTGGGGTCTATTTGTTAGCTTTAAGATTCTTTATTTTAGTTTATCATTTTGTGAGACTAAGAATATTTTAAAGCAGTTCAGCTGTAATGAAAACATTTTCTTTTTGACCCTGGGTTCTGAGTTTGACATGTTTTGACCCTATCATTCTAACCATGATTTAAATTCTGAATTTCCAGAAGCCTTATTAAAGATGTCAATTTGTGCACCAGAATGGTAAATGTTCCTGTGAACTTTGACTCCTAAAGGAAACTCTATTTTAAAAGAATAAAAGATTTTCCTGATAAATATGTTCCTCATTTTGGGCTAATACTTTCAGTCTGAACTGGGGAATGGGGCAGGGAGAGACCATTGCCTGACCCTACTTGCTCCCTCATTCTGTAATCCAAAGCTATTTTACAACCCACAGCATTCGATTTTTATTTTGCCAAGAACACGTTGGTAATGGGATGTAAATCTCCCGGTGCACACCTGATTAAACAGGCCTGTATACGTGAATTAAAAAAGAGGGTGAGCCCCTTGCCATCACGGGGTGACAGGGAAGCACGCCAGATAACCGGAGCTCAGTTGGCTGAAGGGAGCTCGGTGGCTGTTTTTATTAACTTGAGAGCTAAGGTCATGCGGCTTCTTGGGGCCTTGGTGAGGAAATGTAAGTGAGAGGTCTTTCCCTGGCTGCAGATCTCCTCATTCTGATGTGCAAGGATGCTCCTGGAAGTGGTCTGGCCCCCACCCGCCTGACTCTGGTCACAATGGCCACTGTCAGGCACCAAGGCACGTACCACTGAGGCTGGGGACAGCTGAGTGTTAGCATAACATTTTATTTTATTTTATTTTATTTTATTTTATTTTATTTTATTTTATTTTATTTTATTTATTAATGTACTGATTTTTGACCTGGGGTCTTGCTCCATCATCCAGTCTGGAGTGCAGTGGTGCAATCATAGCTCACTGCAGCCTCAAACTCCTAGGCTTGAGCCTTCTTCTGCCTCCGCCTTCCCAGTAGCTGGGACTAGGGACTACAGGCGCACACCATCACACTTAGCTAATTTTTAAACTTTTTTTAGGAATGGGGTCTTACTGTGTTGCCCAGGCTGGTCTCGAACTCCTGGACTCAAGCGTTCCACTCACCTTGGCCTCCCAAAGAGCTGTGATTGCAGGTGTGCACCACCGCATCCGGCCCACAGTTACTCATTCTGCTGACCTCTGTTGCTGCTCTCCTGAGTATATTCCGGCTTTGTAGTCAGGACATCAGATACTAGCATTTGTCAATAAAAAGTGTCAAATGATGTGAACTTCCTCAGTCTTACCACCAAACCCTACTTTTCAGCGAGAGTGCTTGCAGAGAGAAATTTCTTCTAGAGGGTTTGGCTTGCCTTGTCACTTTCTGGTTCTCCCTGTCTTCACCAGATCAAACTATTCGCAGAGAAAACCGGGCCACCTCTTGGACCTTTCTGGGAATGGAAAAATTATTTTGGTGATAAGATGTTTCCAGCCCACTGTTAGGGATCATGGCACTGTGCCCATCAACACTTGGTATTACCCCAGCCTCCTTGGAGTCCTCGTCCCCATCTCCCTCTGACCTGAGTAACTTTGAGGAACTTTAGTATATTTGGAACCCGTATGCCAGCAGCACTGTTGGAAGCTATCAGGAGGACACCTGGTAACTAACTAACTTACTAGCTAACTTACTAACTTATACAGCTCAACTAACTTATACAGCAGAGCTGTTTAGACTAGCCACTTTTGCACACAGTACTTCTCTTGATCCTCCTAACCCAGTGAGATGAATGAGGTAGATATTATTGGTCCCGCCTTGCCTTGGGGACACTAGCATCTGAGGAGTTACCACTACTAGTGAGTGTTGGGACCGGGATTCCCCATAGCATTTTTGCTGTCCCAGGAGACTTTCATATGCATTGTTTTCCTGGGTCCTTACGGTAGTCCATGCAGTAGGTGAGACAGGTGATGAAGTTTTGGTCTGCAAATGGGGATGCTGAAACTCAGAGAGGCTGACTGGCTTTCTTGGGGACATGGCAGCTGACAAGTGACACAACTGGAAACGTATCCCAGCCCTTCCAACTTTTAGACCGACACCCTTTCATTACACGAGGACTAACTCCACAATTATGAAAATCTCAAAAACAAAGCTACTCTGAAGTCTCTATATAGCTTTGCCCTTCATATGATTCCAAATTCCCATGCCAGTGAAGCTGCAGTTCCGGGGAAAATCCCGTGAAAGGAAAGTCTTCTTTGGCTAGCTATTCAGACCAGGCCAGGGAGGGCTTAGCAGTGTGCCCTACACCCAGCGCATGTGCTCACCAGCCCATTGGTATTGAAGGTGCTAACAGTCTGGACTCAGATCCTGGCACTGCCCACCATTTGCTGACTCATGTCCCAGGCATTTGCAAAGTGTATGGGCTGTCATACAGAAATAGAGTGGATGTTTGGAAGAAGAGTATCAGGTGTAGCTCAGGACCAGTAGGAAAGGTGTCCCTGCCAGTGGGGACAGAGAGCAAAAGCAACGGGACAAACATTGAAGGCACAATACTGCACTGTAGAGGCCTCCCATCTCTGCAGCCCCAGCTTGGATCACAAGGGAAGTTACTGCACAGCCAAGTATGCTGCATTTGCAAAGGTCAGGCTTTAATTACATGCACAGTTAAATGGAAATACTGTAGAGAGGTCACACTCATATTTCTTTGGCTTTCATTAATGTTATTGCTCTGTCACTTTCCCTCTCCTTAGGTTTGTAAATGAAAGTTCCTTTAGTACATTTAAAAGCATTATTTATTTTTAATTGTCTTACCTCTGGAGGGAGAGGTTACTTCTTTTTGGGGTGTTTTTGGTTGTTGTTGTTTTTTTTTTGTTTTCTTTTTTTGAATAGACTTAAAAAAAAAAACTTTGCCTATGCATTTCTGGTTAATTTATTTCAAACCTTTTGCTTTTTATAGTCTTATCTACTAATACTTTTGATTAAAACACAAGCAAAAACCAGCCAACATGAACAGGTTGAATGCCACATCTGTGCAGAAGATAGCAGCTCACTTATTTATGGCTCAGAGAAATGGAGCCTAAATTAAGCTAGCTATTGCTGGAGAGTGGATAAGCGGCCATTATGAATTATCCTTAATTATAGCGATTTCCTAAACTAATAAACCTGCTAAATCTTTATTGCAAAGGTTAGTTTACGCAGTGCATATAAAATCCGCATGTGCTCCGCATCAGCCACCAGCTGTCTGACAGTGTGTTGCTATTGCAGTGAGTGTTCACATAAATTTTATGTTGGTTATATTAACAGTCCGTCCATATCACTACCCACAGATGCCAGTAGACATAAAAATTGCTCTCTAGTGAGCCTAAATATCCCTAGAAGCTAGTTGTGTCTAATGTTCCATGTAGTATTTGAACGTGAAAGCACCAGATTGGAGGGTTATTTACAGATGAATATTTCAATCCACTTAGTTCATATAGGCCTACTTAGCCTTCTTTGCTGGTTTATTTGTATGCTAAATAATTCACCAAAGGTTCTTGTTTACTTTCTATAGTAGTTTCTATGAAATGCAAACAAGGGAGCCAAGTTGAGGTGTTCAAAAGGCTAAGCAGCTCTGTGTTTAAATGCAGGTCAGAGCAGCAAATGCAGTCTTACTGACGGGCTGTCACTCAGTTTTACACATTCCTCTCTCCTCTGTCTTTTTTTTTTTCTTCCTCCTCCAGATATAACTGGGGCTTGCTGCTTTCATAGGAATTTTTGGTTGGACTATCTTCTAAATTTGTCTTTTTCAATACCTGCCTGTGTGCTACCTTCAGCTTGCACAATTAACCACCCAATGCCAGCAGCAAAGAACACATCCCTGGCTTTGAGAAGCTTCCCCACGGTCCTCTGGGCTAACAAGAACAGGTCAATCCTCAGCTCTTGAAATGTCCTTGTTGTCTTCCTTTTTTTCCTTTCTCATTTTCTTATTTTTCTTTTCTTTTTCTTTCATTTCTCTCCCATGGTTTTTTCTAGTGCATTTCCAGATCTCAAGATTTGAAAGGACAGCAAATAGGACTTTTTTCCTTGAGAGCCCTGAGCTCGCCCAGCCTCTGTCAACCTGAAAGCCAGAAGGGCAAAGTCTAGCTCTAAAAAATGCAGCCTTGAGAAGCCCTTAGAATATATGTTCACCCAGGGGTGAGAAGGATCATTGTTTTCTGGCAAGGTAACAGTTACCTGGCCCTATTGTTCACATGTCCCCATGGCTGAGGTTATGAATGAAAAATACCTATCTGCCCCCACATTTTGCAAAGGTTTACGATCCTAAACATTTGCCCCCAAAGAGATGGGAAAATAGCCTCCTCCATTTTCAGCCAGGCACTGCCAAGATCATGGGCGAGTTCAATAGCAGTGCTAACTTTTTATTTAATAATATTGATTTTATCATTTTTACTACTTACAATGGGGATTGGTCGGCTGATAGTTATTTGACCTCCCTTTGTGCATGGCTGTGGAGTGCTTCGTTAAGGCTATTGACATATATCTCTCTTCCCCACTCTTCTTCCAGCAGCCCATCTCGGCAAATAATATTGAGATGCGGTAACTGTTCCCTGATATTGATTTCAGATTGTGTTCATCACACCCTTCTCGGGGCCAGGCAGAGAGCAGCAGCCCCAGTTCTGCAAATCCTTGATGGCTGCAGGCTGAAGTATCGTTTCCATCTTTCAAGCAAGAATATCAACCATATATATTTCCAAAACATTACCCAAGAAAACGAAAGCATTTTTTGATCATGATTATTTTTTTACACATACATAATTAAACTGATCGCTCCAGTTTTATGTTGGGCTTTTTCTGCACTTTTCTTTTTAAGGAATGCTAGAAGATCCATGGGTCCCTGAGCTGGTAGAAGGAACTCTGATTACATTTTTAAGCTTCAGGGATTCAGGATTTGGCACACTCGGCCAGACCCAGGGCCTCGTTGACCTTCAGTTCTCAGCCAGCTGGGGCCGTCTGCACCACCTGGGCCTAAAAAGTTCCATGTTTGGCCCCTGTGGAGTCAGTTGAGATGGCAGGGTATTTAAAAGAACCAGAGGTTTAACATTCAGGGAGAGCCTACCTAATCTAGTGATTACAATCAGACGTAGGAAGGACATGATGCAGAGTTTAGGTTTGCATATTTATTTAAAACACCAAACACCAAGCAAATACTAATAATATTGGAAATTATACGTTCCATGGGGAAAAACAAAAAGGCAATAGAGAATCTATACCAAGAGTGATTATATCTGAGCAGTAGAATTGCAGGTTATTTATATTTTTTCTCTTTGGGCATTTCTATGTTTTCTTAATTTTCTTTTGTAATTAGAAAAAAAGAAGCCTATTCATAAGTATTATTTTTTTTTAATGGAAAGATTAGTTGGATTGGAGCTCCAGAAGATCCCTGTCCACCAAAGTGAATGCATTAGCCAGGGTTGAAATTGACTCACTGGCCATGCTAATCTCTGCCCCAAGGGAAGTGGGACAGACATCACTCCTATCATTGTGCACCTGCCAGTTTTCATTTTGTAAATCCAGTGGGGGTTGTGCTAGCCCTTGCCGCTGAAGCAGACATACAAAATGGTTAGGAAGAAGGGCCATGGAGTCAGATAAGCCTGGGTTTGATTATTGGTTCTTTCTCTTGCCAGCTATGACTTTGAGCAGGTTACTTAACTTTCTCTATGCCTTGGTTTTTTCATCTGGAAAGTGGATTTTTGACAACCCATCTCATTTAACAGGTTATCTCATTAAATGAGATAGTGTATAGTAAGCTCTTAACCTAGTGCCTGGCATCTAGTAAGCAATCAATACGTGTTAATTATCATTACTGGCATCGGGCATCTGTAGAGCAATTTCCTCTTCAAACTAGACTCATAATGAGAATTAGCCTAAACACAGTCTGCAGAATGGTCATTTTTTTCTCCTTAAGCACAAATGAGACTCAGTTGAGATCTGCCCCAGTGTCTAATACATATAAGATTTTCTAGGACATCCTGATTTTATATAGCATTCTTTGATTAAAGGCAATTCATTTTAAAATGTATATCTAAATGGAAATTTTTTGAAGATTTTAAAATAAATAAATATATGTATGTATCAGGAGAAAACCTTAGAGGTCTTTATTCACGATTCTGAACATATGATCACCATACTGATAGCTCTTTGACATAGAAGGTGCTCCTCCCCACACCTTCTATCCAAAGCAAGTATTATTCCAGAAAAATACTGGAAACCTATCAGGAATCTTTAGAATATCGTCCATTTTTTTAGAGTCAGTTTTGCTATTCTCATGCGTTTCTTACTTATAGGGTCAAAAACACTTTCTAATACCACGGATGGCATGGAATTCTTCCCTGCAGGCAGCCATCTTCAAGACTGAAAGCAGAATTTAAAAAGCAGCTAAATTAGAGACTTTACACAGTTGCTGGATCCTGCTTAATGAGAGACAGCGAACATTTTGCAGGCTACTGAACTTCTGAAATGTGACAATCCAAGCAAATGAAATCATGGTACCTTTCATTGTAGTTTAATTGGACTCAAACTCGGCAAGAGGGGCTGCTGAAAGCTGTATTCAAAGAGACAGACAGGAATTGTACAACAACTAATTCAGCCCACACAACACATCTTACAACTGTCCAAGCTCCACACTTGCTCTCAAGACTGACTCTTTTGGTCAAGAGAGAGATAGACCTGCAGTGAACAAAAGCACAGATTGTAAGGCAGGCCAAATACTGGCATTGGGAATGGCATAGCTGTCACCCCAAGTTATGCATTTGAAATAGCTCAGTCTCATGGCAGCCAGTACAGGCCAATTTATTTTAAAGAGGAAAAGAGAAGTGAAACAAACTTAGGCCCTCTCTTCTGCCTGTTAGGGTGTCAAGATATCAGTGTCAAGGAGTCCAGTTAACAGAAGGGTGAGGATGAGTTGAGCATAAACACTAACAAGAGAAGAACTTAGCACAGGCCTCCTGTTGAGTGGAGCTAAATGGCAGTCCCAGTTGAGTAACCCAAAAAGCAGAGAATTACCGTAGCTGTCAGGAGTGGGACCAAAATCCTGTCAGGCAGCGGTAAAGGGGATGGGAACGGTTTGAGGGAAAGGCGAGTTTTGTGGGGGAGTGAGGTCAAGAAGTAGACTGTTTTAGGGCATGCATGTCTGAACTTAGGAGGCCCTTGGACTGTTTAGGAGGGTGTCTTGGCTTCCTTGTTTTGTTCTTGTATCATTTGAGCTCTGTGGCCTGAAACTGATTATATCATCTCAGCCCCTTCTGGTGTAACCATCCCGCCTGACCACTTGAGTCCACGTTTACTGTTATTATGGCTGTAGGTTTAGCCAGTAAGGCTAAAAGAGTGGACAAATTGGGTGCCTGCATGTAACAGGCCATCCTGGACATTGATTTTTGAAGGTTCATTAGATAAATGCTGACATCACAGATTGATGTCTCTTTAAACCAGTACCTAGTGCAGGACCGTCTGGGGAATCAAAAATATTGATGTAAACATGTTTGAGTAGAAGGCCCACTGGAGAATTCCACTGCCTAAATGGGATCCATCAATTTAGGCTTTCTTTAATTATTCTAATTCTATGCATCACATCAATAGGGGAGTTTGTCTGCAGAACCGGTTTTTATAGGGGGTGCCGCCCCTACGTTAGGGGCAAAGGAAGGCCGGACAAGGTATCCACATCTATTTTTCATTGTTGTTTTGAGTTGCTGTTTAGTAATTAAAATTTTTGATCATAGACTAATTTTCCCATACCATGTGGCCGTGCGATTGACAAGGGACTGATTAATGGGCTGACCCCAGGGCCAGGAGGCTGCTGGGCTCTTCTCTTGTGGAAGGCATGCCGGCAAAATAAAGTTGATGGTTTTGTTTGTGTTTAACCCTTCACCTTGGCACTATCAATAGATTGAAGACATCATTTGTATCTGCAAGTGTTTCTTTAATTAAGACCTCCTAAAAATCTTTCCTATTGATTCATTCCATTATCCTATTGATTAACTGCAGTGGATCATGTACTTGGTCTTCAGTGGAAGGCAACAGCCTCAGCCGTCTGTCATGACTACAGATGCAGACCACAGGCAGCCAGCAGCCAGCGCCCAGGGCTGGCAGGAGTGTCTCGCGTTCTAATGAGGCATCAGCGGTGGCTCACTGAACACCACAGAGAAAGCCAGTTGTCTCCTGCTGAAGGGGTGGCCAAGCATAAAGCATTCCTTCCAGTTATTTATACTGCAGCCACTTAGCTAACAGTATGTACGGGGCTACTGGCAGTCTTGAGCTGGGGGAGGGGAAGGATTCTGCTGTGCATCTGAATTTGAAAATCTTGAGCTTTGAAATAAAAGCAGACTCTGAAATCTAGGTGCAAGGCATGGTTCAAAGGCTGACTGTTCGTGTTCCTTTCCCCAGGCTGTAGTTTTGTGCCCCGCCCCATCCTCACACTGTCCCCCATCCTATCAGCCTCCTCACTAGGATGGCTAACTAGGAAGTACCACAGGGGGCTTCCGTTTTGGAAGGAGCTTCCCTCTGACTCGGTCAGAAAGAAGGGCTGGCCCTTGTTTTTACCATCTGCCACTGGACATACATCTAAATCATCCCCTGCTATTAAAAAATGAAGAAACCTGTGGCTGGACTAGTTCTTAAACTTCATGTTTTGCAATATTCCTTAACATTGACAGTTACAAAGAATTATTCTGGTTGGAGTTTAAAGAGAGAAGGACCTTATTAGGCTGTAGTTGGGTATTCTGGGATATGCGAAATCAAGTGAGTTAAAACACTAGGCACATAGTAGGTTCTCAATCAATAAACCAATAATTGTTGATCCACCAAAAATTCACCTTTCTTCCTCTCCTACGTGTCCTGTTGCGTCCCTATTCAAGCATTCTCTGCCTCCCCATCCATCAAGTAGACTCAAGAAAATGGCCTTCTCAAGGGATGGGACACCTTTCTTCCCAAATGGAATCCAACAGGAAAGAGAAAATATAGAAGTGAGGGTACCAGGCAGGAGGCAGATTAAGTTCAGAGAATCTGATGTCTCTCTTCTCTGACTCTTTAGTAGGCAAATTAATTAAGTTTTACTTTTGGAGTGAAAAATTCTAAGACTTTGAAACATCTCTCCTCAGCAAGTTTATAATGGTCTTCATCTTCAGGATCAGGCTTGGCGTGGGTTTTCAGGAACGTGTGTGGCCCTGAGTTAAAGTCAGTGGCTTTTTTAAAATAGTCCCCGAGAAAGGAAGGCAGAAAGTCCCACCTCCCCCATGTGTATTTTGGGATTAGGAAAGCTAGTGGTTACTGGGAGGAGCTCTCTCTCTTCTCTCTCTCTCTCTCCCCTTTTTTTTTTTGAGGAGGGAGGTAGAGACTGTCTCAATGTGTTGTTCTCAAACTCCTAGCCTCAAGCTCTCCTCCCACCTCAGCCTCCCAAAGTGTTGGGATTACAAGCATGTGCATTGCACCCAGCCCAGGAACTCTTCTTTCTAATATGAGTATTTATAGAATACTCATGTACAGAATTTTCATTCTATAGATTTAAAGAATAAAAATTTATAGAATACTCATTTATAGACTCCCATCTATAGAATATTAAAATCAAAATTGAGTGCAAATTCAGGGCCGATTTGTGTTTCTTCTATCAGCAGTTGTTAACAACCAATTGTTTGCACCAAACCCAAGGGCTTGATTTCCCTTGGCACTAAATGTTATGTTTTGGGTGTCTTATAGTCTGTCCTGTGAGTTAACATTGTACAATAAACTGTTTTATCAGGACTTGCTGATCATCCTGCCTGCTAGTTCTACCCTCGAAAACTGTTTTTTTTAATGCTTATTTCAATACTTCTGTGAAATTTGACGTTATGAAGATATCCCCAAACTCTTCTCCAAAAAAAAAAGCAGAAATTTACTTATATCTAAGGTTACTTTTCCTAAGCCAAGTGATTCAGAAACTTTTAGGAAATAATTTTGAGGCTAAATATTTCTGGGTTTGCTTTTTTAATTAACATGTTTTAAATTAGCATGTAATCTGTCTTCATTAAAGACATGTTTTGAAAATTCAGAGAAGTATAAAACAGAAAGGAAAAGTCTCCTGTAAGCCTACCACCTTGGGTACCACTAGGAATATTTGAGCCTGTTGCCTCCCAGTCTGTTTTTAATGCATATATACTTGTATATATACTTTTTAAAGCAATATTAGGATCATAATATTTTATAACTTTTGCCTCTTTTCACTTACTATATCATAAGCAGGTTTTCTTATCTTTAAATATTCCTTGGGAACATGATTATTAAGGGAAACTAGAATTCCCTTGTATGGATATGCCATAATTTATTTAACTTTTCTCCTATCATTAGACATTTAGGTTGTTTCCTATTTTTTTCCCTATCATATAAAATGCTGGGATGAATATCCTTGTCTAAAAATTTTGTGTGAATCTTTATCACCTAAGGATAGATTCCTAGAAATTGAATTACCGAGCCAAGGATTCACACATTTTTAAGGCTCTACCACATACTGCAAAATGTTCTTCCAAAAAGTGCAACAAGTTATATAGGCTCCCCAAGTAGCCAGTGAGCATACCTGTTTTTCTGTAGCTTTAACCAGAACTGGAAAGAGGGAGAGAGAGAGAGAGAGAGAGAGTGTGTGTGTGTGTGTGTGTGTGTGTGTGTGTGTGTGTAAACTGTTTTAGTTTGATAGTTTAGAAAACCAGCACAGTATCTTTTTGATTTAATTTGCATTCTTTTGATAATGAATGAGGTAGCAGTATTTTCTTATATTTAAAGGCTATTTCTATTTCTTCGTTTGTGAAATACTTGTTCATGTCGTTTGCCCATTTTGGGGGAATGCTTGGCTTTTTCTAATTGATTCAAATATTTTTTTCTTTTTAATTAAGAATTGTGGCCCTTTTTCATAGAAGATCAGATTAGATTGTTAGAGATCATTAGATTGGATTTTTCATGTAGACATGAAGTTATACTTGGAATATCTGTTGGTAATGGCAATATTATTAACGTACTTTTTACTTTTAAAAATGGTTTGTTCGCCTCTGATAAAAAAGATATATGAAAAAGAATCTGACAGTGTCAATCCAGCTCTCGTTAACTATCCCAGGACGCTACCAGCATTTTATTACAGTTGTCAAGAAAAAAGAAAACCAACAATTTTATTGTTTTGATTATTGAGATCCAGCCACAGATCAACTGAGCAATTAAAATCTCTAAATAACGTTCTCTGAATTGTCAAACAAAGGATTAGTTCCCGGTGGAAAGGACTTTTCTAAAAGATGATAGTTTTCTCTGTAATGTCTGTGCCAGTAAATGGTTGCACTAATTGGAGTATACAGAAATATTTTACTAGTTTAACAATGCATGACATCCTAATAAGATTGTGATGACAAGCTTTTCTTTTTATGAAAGGTGATGTCACCGCATGCTTCTAATATACATGGACTCATGTGTCTTTTTGTGACATGCTATAAATGAAATTTTTCGATGAAATTAATCTGTTTTACTAAATCTTTACTGTATGTGAAATTATTTCTTTAAGCAGGGCAACAGAGTCTTGATGCTTGTTTTTATTTATAGTTCTTAGAATAATATATTTTAAGGAATCTTAGAGTTGAGTAGAAAGGATCACAATTAAATGCATATTAAAATGCTTGTCCCAAATCCCATGAATCTGTCACTAGAATATGCGAGGCCGGATTCCCCATCTTCCCCTAGCTCAGGTGGCTAGCCGAGTGCAGGCTTGGGACGGTTAATGACAATCCTCCAAGACAAGCAGGACTTAACATCAATATCCCTCTTCCTGATAATCTGTATACTCTAGAGGTGGTGAGCTCTGGCAGGGTTTTGATGATTTTATGATGGCTTGTGTATATTTATAGTGTGTTTAAAATACTCTTTTTAGTTATCATTTGAGTGACACAACTTAATCTTTCGATCTTTACCTGCACCTCCTGGTGATGTGTGTTTGTTAGGTAACTAAAAAGAGGAAATTAAGCAAAGCCAGAGCTTTATGCCAGCAGTAGGACTGAGGAGTCAATAGATGATTAACCTGCCTTTCTCCTCTTCATGAGAATAAAGGAGTCACTTTTTCAGAGCAGCACCCTAGAAACATATAATAGCTATGCAGAAATGGGCAACATTTGAGTTCCACAAAGCAAGTATACAGGGAAAAGAATAGCAGGAAATCATTTGAATGCTGTTCTTTAAACACACTGATCTATACCCCCGTTGAAACTGTCTGTGACAGTCAGTGTCTTTTGCGTTTTATATACACATATGTGTTTGTATGTATATGCATATATATGTGTATACATATATGCCATATATGTATATATTATGTACATATAAATTATGTGGGTGTAAGCAGCATACGTGATTGGATGCTGATATTTTGTTAGATTTTAGGGACTTAAATAAACAGGATATAATCATAATCTTAGTCTATCAAAGCCACACCTTAAATGCATCCCTGTATCATTTCATTTGAAAAGGCATGAAAGGCCAGGGTAATTAGTCCTTACTGCAGATGAGTAAAGGCATCTGTGTTAATAATGGATGCTTAGGATTTTGAATTAAATATTGAACCTCTGGCTTGCTTTTCCCAAACGATGAGGCATAACCACCACTCTTTTTGAAAGCTCTTATTTTTTATATTATGGGTCAAAATTTTAAGCAAAAGCTGAGGAAAACAACTTCAGTTAATCGGCCTATGTGATTATTTGACATATGTGATTAACTGACTGAGGTAAGGAGCGTCATTATTATATCATAATCATCATTATATATAAAGGAACTCCAGGCTAAGACTGCCCTCAAAGAAATCTTAAAAATCATGGATTGATTTGCAGATTTAGTGGGATATGAAAAGCTGATGTTGTGCCTGAATAAGATAAGCATTCTTTATTAGATTGTAGTGGAGAAAGCCCTCACGTGGCCATGTGATTTTATTGACAGCTCAGAACCAAAGACCATAAATTCTGTCAGGCAATATACTGTCCTAGGAAATGGACATCACAGATGCCAAAGCGGCCTTTGGGGGCCCAGTAAACGCTGTGTGGAGTCAAGTGAAGAATTAAGCCCCAGACCAAGCCCAGTACCTGCATGGTTATATTTTTTAGCTGGTATTGGTGAGGCTTGGCTGTCGTTTGTAACACATCCGTGCCCCTGGAGCAGCTTTTCTCTGACATCACCTGTGAGTCACAGTAAAGGCCCAGTAGTCATCCTGAAGCCGCCTCCCCCACCAAGCTACTAACATCAAAATGATGTTTCTCATATGATTGCCACCTTAAGACACGGGCAGCGGTAGGACAATGTGAAGTTTGTGCCCAAAGTTCAGCCAGACAGGAAAGGAAGCTTCCTGAGTCCCCTCAGTCAGGCAGGCAAGTGTTCATGTTCAGAGAAATCATCAAATGCAGAGAGGAAAGAATGGTGAGCTGAAACAATCAGATGGCAGGGGGGCAGGTCAGGGTGGGGAGCTGAGTCAGAAGGAAGAGGTAGGCAAGGCCTGGAGGCCAGAATGGCAGGCAGTCGGATCAAGAATCCAGATTAGTGGATTTGGGAAGAGAAGATCAGAGACTCAGAAGGGGTCAGGAACCCGGACCAGAGTGACTTAACCATAAAAAGTAGAAATCTGGTTAAGAGGTGGGCCCTTAAGAGAGTGACATACCAAGGATGGGGCAGTGGGGGCAGTCCATTTTAGCTCCCCGGCCCCACCCCCATCCATGCTGGTGACAAGGGGGTGCACTGTCTGTCGAAAAACTTCCAAACAATAATAAAACTAAGAGTCAGTCTGCTTTTTATTATCCCCTTTCACCATCAGTTGTGATCAATGTAAAAATCCTTCCTAACAAAATCTTCCGTTGGTCTAAATTCTAAACAGTGTTCAAAGTTACATCTAAAGTTTACATATACAAATACACATATATGTATATGTAAACTTATATACAAATACACATATATGTATATGTAAACTTATAAACTTAGTAAAGGATATGTTACTAAAATGTGCTAATTTGAAGTGTGTGTGTGTAAATATATATATTATTTAGTAAAATAGTATATAATTATATATAATATTCTAAATATATATTAGTAAAATAATAAATATAATATTTATAATATACATAAATTATAAATATATATTTGCACACACACACTTCAAATTAGCACATTTTAGTAACATATCCCTTACTAAATACTGTGTTCTTCATGGATGCAGAGTTCTCAGTTACACAGTCAGCTGCTGACACACACACAGTCAGCTACACATGCTCGTTTCTGGAGTCAATTCATTACCATTTGGATTGTTTTGAGTGCACTTCAGATAGAGTTTGTGTCTCCAGTGACTGTAGTGCCACATCTTTCTGCATCTGAACAGTAGATTCAAAATCAATAGTGATTAAGATGAAGAAACAACATTTGGGGTATTTCAGCTCTTTCCTACCATGTGAGCACTTGAAGTTTTTCTTTTTGTTTAAACTCTAAAACAGAAAGGCCAGGTATGGTGGTTCACGCCTGGTGGGTCACTTGAGGCCAGAAGTTTGAGACCAGCCTCAGCAACATGGCAAAACCCTGTCTCTACTAAAAATACAAAAAATAAAATTTAAAAATTTAAAAAAATCTAAAACAGAGAAACAGTTTATAAACTACTCAGTGTAATATTTTCATTTGGTAAATGAACATGTTCTTCTCTACATAAAATATTTAGCTGAATTTCAATAATGTTTTTAAGTTGAAATTTATTTTTCAATAGTTAAGAAAATTGTTTTTTAACAATTAATTTGATTGTTAAAACTAAATAATAAATTTTAGAAAACATTATTACTGACTATTATGTGACAGTTATTGGGAATAATTTGTTATAAAAGACAGATAGGTAAAAAATAATCTGCTTCAACTGTCAGATATGCTAGGTACGCCCTTAGAGATGGGGTAGTATTTATGAAGATCTAGTGAGTTCAGTGCCTGCTGACATAATCAGTGGTAATAAGGTAATACAAGCACAGGATGGCCAAACCAAGAATGAAGCTTGATTCTGAGCTTTATGAACTGGCATCGTCCTACGTTTTCTGGGTCTGAACTGGCCTCAAAGTGAAGCCAGGGCTGAAGCCACAGAAGAAAATACATAAGTAAATTTTACTAGAGTTAGGGAATAGAAACAAACGACGAACAGACTTACTGTTGATGGCAGCCACTAGAAGAAAAACACATAGATGCTACCCAAGTAATTGCTGCGGGATTGGGAAACGCATGAGACTATGGTAAAGCAGCTCCAAGGCCCTGAACTAAAACTGCAGGAAGTGCAATAGAGAGGCAACCCACGGGGTGAGGGGCCACACTAAATGGGCAGGCTCTATTATAGCCCAATAGACCGAATAGGACCTGGTGATAAATAGGAACGAAGCAGGCCGCACAGAGAGAGCCTGGACGAGTTTCAAACTGGAACGTGTATGTCCTATCTAAGGAGGCAGTCGCGACTCGGCTCTGGCCAGTTACCGTCATGGCAGAGTATTGGCCCAGATAAGCAGATCTTCCCATTTTTCAAGCAGAGTCAAAAATCTGGACTTTTTATTAAGATCTCTATTTATTTTTCTCTTCTTTTTAGGAACTAATTCACATTTTTTAAATATTGCAAGAGTCATTACTATTTAGGCCAAAATAAATACCTGTAGATTTAATGTAGCCCCTGAGCCACCATTTTGTCTCCTCTGAGCCAGAGCCTTAACCTGTTCCAGTTGAATCTGTTGGTCGCTCTCCATACCAGTCATAAGATAGTTTTCATGCTTTAGGCTATTAGGTTTAATAATCATAAGAAGAGTAGGCCAGGCATGGTGGCTCACGTCTGTAATCCCAGCACTTTGGGAGGCTGAAACAGGAGGATTGCTTGAGGCCAGGCATTCAAGACCAGCCTGGTTAACAAAGCAAGACCCTGTCTCTAAAAAAAGCAAAGAAAAGTAGAAGCATTCCTGAATATTACAGACAGTAACAGAATGGCTATCACAACAGTCACAGCTTGCAGACACCAAGCTCCTCAGAAAATATTCTACTAATAATAATAGTTGTCATTGGGCTAGTCACTGAGTGCCAGGCATTGTGCTATACATTTTGCATTCACGATCTCGTTGAGTCCTTACAGTAGCTCTATGAAATGGATACTTGTGTCTGCATTTACAGATAAAGAAACTTAGCAAAGTTTTATAATTTTCCCACGTTCAGTTGTACAGTCAGGACTTCAATCAAAGCCTCTCTTGAACTGAGCCTAAATTGCCGATGGTGAGGGGACTCTGTTAGCTAAACTGAGGAACCACAGGCAGGGTGGCCTTGAATTTCAGGCTGAAGGACCCATCACCCAAGAGTCTTGGCAGCTTCCTCAGCAAAGATGAATGGGCTTGTTAGGTGGTTTTTGTTACCTGATCAGTAATTGTTTCAACACTAGAGTTTGTCGTTACTGTTGTCCTGTTATGAAGAATTCTCTTTAACAAAACTCATGGGAAAAGGGACTGACTCATGTGCAGTTTGGCCTGAAGCATTTGCGTCAGTATTCTGCTCCTGGAAGAGTATACTTTGACTTATGCATTGCTTGCTTAATAGACCACAAAAGTCAACATCCCTCTGGAAGAACAGCTCGTGCTTGGAGGCGTCACAAGCTCCAAAAGATCCTGTTAAGGCAGGATGTAGTGTGAAACCCACAAGCGAAGCAAAACCCCGTGTCCCCTAATTATAATGTTAATATTTAAGAAAGCTTCAGAGGCTGCCTCTGTGCTTTATGCCTAAAAAGGAGTTGGGATTTTTTTTCCCCCTTTTGCTTTTCAGACCTGGAATCGCATCAATATTTTTTTTCAACAAAAGAATGTGTCTCTTGTCCCCAGGTATGGCAAGGGTACAAAGAAGCCAACTTGTAGAGGGGAGAGAGAAGAGGTAACTGACAGAGTCAGAGCACGTTGGAAAGTGATACGAGAACAGGGGCTTATGGTTACAGCCCTACCCCCTTTCCAAAGAAGGCGATTAGATATTATTTCAGATAGTTTCTCACTGTGTCCTAATTTCATTTTCCAGCAACCCTGTGGCAGGTCCCCAGTTTTTCTTGGACTTATGTGATTAGCTAAACTAGCCATGCAGGTATTGGCATTACACTCACAGATATGAAATCCAGCCTGACACCCAATCAGGACACATTCTTGAGTGGCTGTGTGGCCCCAGAGTCTCCCACTGTCTTCCACTTATGCACAGTGTATCTAAATAGACACTGGCCATGTTCAGTCCACCCTAAACCCTTGTGTCAATAGCCAAAGAGGAATCAGATTTGAAGCCAAAATAACAAGCACTATATATAAATTACTAAACGCCCCCAAACACTATGGCATTGTTTGGAGATAGGGCATGTGTAGGAATAGTAGGAGGCACCTAATCAGAAATTCAAAATGAACAGCCTCACCGAACAGATGGGCAGAGTCTATGGACTTTCCTTCCTTCAGGAGAGGATGGGCCATTATTTAAATTTATATACAGTGGAAGCCACTAGAACCCCATTCTGATGATTAAATCTGGATGATCATAATATCCAGATGCATTAAACAATGACCTTCTCAAATCATAACGGAACAGAGATGTCACGTGGCTCTGGCCAAGGACGTAAGTGAGTTCGTTCAACAGGCATTTTAGTTCTGGTGCCAGGTCATTGGGGACAGAGCAGAGATACAGCCTGATTTTCCTCAGCATCTACCGCCCCGTCAGACAGGGGGCAATAATTCTTCTCCCTTAGTTAAACTCTGCCCCACACCCTGTTTATCTGAAAAATTACTCCAGTCAGATTCTCCTACTTAAATATTCATGAAGATGTTATGAGGACTATATGATGTCAAGTAAAGGGACATGGCTTTTGTGAAATTCTATTTAAACTGTTGAAATGAGGGTGGTGTCACTCTCTCCAAACTTTCCAGTTCCCTCCAATAAACCTGTAGAAAGCAGACCACCAGATGTTTCAAACAGTTTGGATCCCAATTCCACTTGATTCTTGCTCCAGAAGCTGAGAACTTAGGAGCAACTTCCTGTGGAAACCAACATTCCCACCAATACCAAAGTTTTATAATATGTAGAAAACATGACCTCTAAGAAATGCATGTCAAGTGCAGCCTGGGGCTTGGGGTGTCCAGTCCAGAAATCTGCCTTTGGTTAAGGTATTAGAAGATTAGGGAGTTACTCAAATTGTCCTTAACATTGTTTTCATATGTGTTATGGGCCACGCATGCTCCATGACTTTTATAACTTATGTACTCTCATAGACCTACAGGAGAGTCCTTCTTCCACCTCAGGGTTTGCTGATAGCCTAGATGGTAGAATTGCAGTAAGGTTAAACAGATGTAGGGCCTCATATTGCTTCTCATACAATTTTAAGAATCCTTAAAGTCAGTTTTCATGGTAAGCAAACTTTAATTTAAAAACTTTGAGATAGGAGGGATCATTCTTCATTCAGTTCATCCAGGTTCAAGGACTCCTTTTGGTTGCAACTGACCCGCCATGCTGCTTCAGAAGAAACCCTTTAAAAACAAACTTCCTGAGAAGAGAAAAGGGTTACAATTTAGGAGCTTTTTAAGAATTACCTTTGGGTTTTTCCAAGCTCTCCTCTTGAGTAGAAAACAGGACATGTCACAGATATATATTTTCTTAATTGTAAAAAGTAAATACTCTAAAATGTATTTTTTTCATTGTGATTATGTTACAGTGGTTTCTATGTACCATAGATTAGATTTTTATTAAGGGTTTTATTAAATAACTGGTGTTTCACCAACATCTAATTAAATCTTCTATCTAAATTGAACAGAAAATTATGGGGGGAAAAGAAAGCATTTGTAGCAGACTTTATTACAGATAAGACTATTATTTGTTCATCTTAAGAATTTGAGATCAAATTTACAAGCAGCATCCTCATCGAATTTCTTTTCTGGGCTGCTGAGCCCTGGCCCCTTGAAAGCAGCCCATTATCTCCTCACCTCCCCCCATTTTATTATAGTGTCCTGGTTGTTGGCAACACGCCCGCTGTTTAAGGTTACTTTCATTAATTAACCGAAAGTTAATTTCTTTGCAAGCAAAATCTCTGATCTCATTATGTTGTCTTTAAAGCCGAAAGCTTCAGGTTTTCTGGTCTCCTTTGATGACACAATAAAAAGCATGCTCTTTATCTTAAGGGAAACTGTCTCCAGGGTTTCATTTAATAGTCCTTGAAATAGTTACAGCACAGCCAGGCAGACTACAATAATATGCCAGTTTTAGAAAACCTTGGCTTTGTCATGGTTAGAGAGCCCAGTGACTGATGTGAGCTACGGTGGATCCATTTCCGAAGAAGTTCTGCACTTTGCCTCGAGTCCCATTTTTACACACGACACCGCCCTCCCTACCGCCATTATGGAGCCTATTTGAGAACAGACCAACACCAACACCAGCATCCTTCCAAAGTGCACCACTGCCCAGCCATTTTACTCTCTGGGATTTTGGAAAGTTTGCGGGGGCTGGCATTTTGTCTGTTTGCCTTTACTAAGCTATCTTTTGTTCCTCTGGTGGAAGCAAGGCAACATTGGGTGGTACCAAGAGTTTGGGGTAGTGCTTTTGGAGCCTGGCAGGCCTGGATTTGAATCCCAGCCTTTCCATGTACAGGTTAAGCATCCCTAATCCAAAATCTGAAATCCGAAATGCTCCAAAATCCAAAACTTTTTGAGCACCAGCATGATGCTGAAAGGAAATGCCCATTGGAGCATTTCAGATTTTGGATTTTGAATTAGTGATGCTCAGCCAGTGAGTATAATGCAAATATTCCCAAATCTGAAAAAGTCTGAAGTCTGAAACTCTTCTTGTCCCAAGCATTTCAGAGAAGGGATATTCAACCTGTACTGGCTCTCTGTCCTTGAACGTGTTATTTAACCCTTCTGAGCTTCAGTTTCCTCATTAGTAAACTTTAAATGATTATGTAAAGAGAATTAAATGAGATAAAACAAAGTAGCAGGTACTTGACAAATGTTACTCCCCTTCCTTTGACAGTCCTGTTCTAGTCTTTTCCAAGGACAAATGTGTTTCTAGAGATGGAGTTCATCCTGATATTTGGGGGCTGGCCTACGTACAGATTGCTATACCAGAAGGAGCAGTTTGGGGGAGACAGTCAGATTCCACAGAGCATGTTTTGGTGTGGATTGGATGAGTTAGGTTCTGTATTGCCCCACATGACCTTTTACAGACATGGGGACTTAAACAGTGTATTTTCTTTGTCTCTCTGCGTTAGCTTCATCTTCAGTGATGAAATCTTGTTGCTTCCTGAAGCATTAAATTCAGTGAGTTGAGAGTGGCCAAAATGTCTTTTCAGAGCCACCAGGTGTAGGTCACACAGAGGGGACAGAACTCTTCAGGTGGCTCAAGTCTCAGGAGCAATCTAGATACAGGGAGAAGCCATTTGTATCCCACTGAGTCCTGTGATGCTGCACACACACAGCTGAGATTTACAGAGGCCGGGCGGGGAGGGCTGCTGAGAGGGGGTAATGGCATGACCTGCCATGCTGCTTCAGATGCCTGGGAGACTGGGTCTGTGCCATTTGCATATGTCCTCTGTACCCATTCCTGATGAAGGATGCAATTGACTCAACTCAAGCAGGTCAAAATCACTTAGGCAGAAAATCCCAGGCCTTGGGAAGAAAAGTCATGTGCCTCTTGGGCCCTTGGCAGAAGTCAAAGGTCCAAGGTAATGTATTGGCAAAGATCCTGTCTGCTTTGGTGCCTTACTTACTGCTCCCTAATGCTTTTAGGTGGAAATATTGTCAACGCTATTGATTAGTTGATCTGATAATCCAGCAGGCTCCCTGATGTGTTAAATTTCCTACTTTTGGAGGACTATAAGTATGGGCAGAGTGTATACTTCTGTAGGAAAGAACTCTCAGTGGACCTTGCTAAGACACTGCTTCTACAGCGAGATTGCTACAGGCATGACAATTCCAATTATTCTTTTGGCTGTGACATTTAACCCTTCCCAAGACAAATTTTCTATAGTTATCCATTTTTTCCAGCCTTCCTTTAGATTTTGGAAAAACACTTTGTCTTCTGCATTGGGCCTGTAGGGTCTCTTGATTTATTAGCATGGTTTACCTGTACGTTTTTAGATTTTTATTTTTTAGTTTATTATGAGTACATTCCATTATCTAGATCTTTCCCTCCTTCACATGCCCTCCATGGCCAAAATCATATTTGCCTTTCTCCTTGTCTTTTACCATCTTTAAACATTCCATCAGCCATGTCCCTCATTTTTAAAGTATATAGCAACTTCATGAAGGATATATAATTCATAATGTGTAGATATCAAAAGAAAAGGTGACCTTAGGCCAAGGCAGTGGAATTTTCTGTAAGTAAGGAGCATAGAGATGATATATAAACATAGTGATGACAAATAAGCATTGAAGTTTGTTTGCAGATTGTTTGTTTAGAGCTTGGTCTGGAATAGCAAGAAACCTACATACCCTCCGACTCGTCTCGCTGTAGTTGTTGGTTATTCACCGCACCCTCTCTCTGGCTTCAGTCTCCAAGCCCTTCAGCCTTGTTGAAAGGGTCTAGAGGTACCCTTGCACATCCAAAGGCCACTTGGACAAATGATGCCTTCAGCTTTTGGGGTCCACAGTGCCATTTCTTCTACATCCCAGCTTACTATGCTTGACTTCAGTTATATTCCCCAGTACCAAGAACGCAGGAGGACTACTTTAATCCCCTTTGCAAAATAACAACAACAATAAGGCCTCCAGGCAGAGCACATTGAGCCTAATTCAGATTTTTTTTAAAGTGGAAAACAAATCATAAATACCTGAGAAATCAGGTTCATAATGGAAGCCCCACGAAACCCCTTAACCTGGGCAAAATCCTATAACACAATTATATAAAATTTCACACCTGACTGAAGCTGTTATTGGAACAAAAATAACCATTTTTCTGCTCGTGCTAAATGAACCACAAGACCCATGTATCCAGCCACAGAAAAACACAAGATTGCCCATTCCATCTGCATATAATCAGCATACTTGCTGGCAAGGGCACTGCAGGATCAAAAGAGTTAATAATTGGATCCTGCCCACAGCAACCACACAATTAAGGACAAGATTAGCAGAGATGAGGAATTTATGGTGAAAATGCAATGATAGTCTGAAAAACAAAATGATTTCACCGAGCAGTTGTTCTGTTGCCATAATCCTAATGATCAACTCTATTACACCAATAATAGGAGAAAAACTAATTGCAGTGAGGACAGGACAAATCTTTTTAAATCTGCATTGTCTTCCCAACTAAGTCCCAACCCATTTGTATTAACCTTTGCTGACAGAGTCACATGATGGACATAATTTCTTATAATTTACCAGCTATGGATCTAACCTTTCTTCATCAAATATTCATAAAGGCAGGATTCTCAATGATTTTCTGTCTCTCTTCAATTTAGAGCTTGTTGTCTTCTTTCTTACAGTAATTTGGACACAATTGAAGTCAAATGGAATTAAAGTTAAATGCCTTTAGCAACTGAGGTGCCTAAAAGCAAACACTTAGGGGAGGGGTCGTGAACTGAACGGGGAGAGCTTGTATTCCCAAGACCCTCCACGTCCCAAAGGAGTTCAGTGGGCTGCCGGCCCCCATAAGGAAAAAGCAAACTCAGCCAGAGAATGAGATGCCATTGCTTTCTCTTGGACTTGCTTGGGCCTCTTGTGCTGGGTGCTCTGTAGCTGAGTTAAAACTGAGAGCCCAAGGCCTTCCCCTGTCTTCAAGGCTTGCCAGGAACTTAGGCTGCCATGACCAGGCCCTGTTTGAGCATGTGTGCCCAGCAGGGTGCAAGGAACATGCCAGGGGCTAGAATAGTGGACAAGAAAAGTTGGTTGGTACAGTTACTTAGAAAACAAGCGTGAACACCTAAAACCATTCCTGAAAGCGTTTTTGGTTTCTAGAAAAACATCTGTTTCCACTTTGCATCTTTGTTGCTTTGACACTTTTCTTAACAGGGATGTAGATAGGAAAAAGTCTTCTAAAGCTTAGATGTTTAAAATAAGTATAGTAAATGGTCCTTTACTCTTCCCGTCGCAAGGCTTCAGTTTTACTGGGATGGCAGAAGTTTGGGGAAGGTGAGATAGACAATCAAAAGAACTCCCTTTTTCTACTCCAATCCTCAGACAGCCCTACCTTTACTACAATGGCAAGGAATGTTGTAAATTCTCCCTCAAGATGCAAAGGAGGCCAAGCACAGTGGCTCACACCTGTAATCCCGGCATTTTGGGAGGCCAGAGAGGAAAGATCACTGAACCAACAAGTTCGAGACCAGCCTGGAAAACATAGCAAGACCCCATCTCTACAAAAAATTTAAAAATTAGCTGGATGTGGTGGCATGCTCCTGTAGTCCTAGCTACTCAGGAGGCTGAGGCAGGAGGATTGCTTGAGCCCTGGAGTTCACAGTGAGCTATGATCACGCCACTGCACTCCAGCCTGGGAAACCGAGTGAGACCCTATCTCTAAAAAGACAAAGAAATTTACAAAAACAAGATGCAAAGAAATTGTTTCACCTAGTTGACTTCAAAGTACTGTATTGACCAAGCCAAGAATTTACTTCTTGCTAAGTTCCCAGAATTTTATTAGAAAGGAAATGAGAATTGAAGGCAGTTGTAATCTTTAACAGCTGATTCATGTCTGCAGCTAAGGTATTTAGTTCTAGTCACCACCATTTTTAGCATCTTTATCAATTTTTAACTGTACAAGTAATGCACAATACATTCACTTTGTAAAAATTAAAACTTTATAGATAAGGGTAAAGTCTTTTGACCACTGCTTCCAAACATAGACCTTCTTGCCCTTCCAAATATTCTTCTATGCATTTACAGACATACATGTATCCAACGACAAACATATGTTTTCCTTATTTGTTTTACATAAGTGGTTATTATGCCATACAAATCAATACCCACATTGCGTTTTTACTCAATAATATGCCTTATGTTTAGAAATCTTTCCATGTTAGAACATATCAATCTATTCTTTCAGAGAAGTCCATATACTGTAATTTAGTATCATTCCTTCAGTGATGGATTTTGCTTCCAGGTTTTCAGATTATAAGCAATTCTGCAAAATGTCATTATCTGGTTGGAACTAAGTTCATATAATTGTCTTAATGGCATGCTTAACTAGCTTTTGCAAGTACAGTTTTCTTCAGTATGTTTCTACTGACCTGATCATTCAAAACACTCTTTTAATGTTTTCTACCAAGCCACACCTCCTTCTTGATGGTAAGGACAAAAACAACTATGAGATATTTCGTATTTTGAATGCCCCACAAATAAACAGATATTCCAAATACGGCAGTGAATTAAATGTTTTCAATAGGGGGAAAATGAGAATCTCCTGTCAGAAATGCCCAAGGAAAGGTTGTTATGAAAGGAAAACATCATTATGGCAAGTTTCTTGTTACACAAATTCGGTTATACAGATCAGACCATGTCCCTTGAACTACCACTGCACACTGGGAAAATTCATTCATTCATAGTAGCGTCCTTCCACACAGTATTCAGTTTTCCATTTACCTTGTTTGCTAACACCCACGTTATAAAGAGTTGTCACTGATTACATAAAGGATGGTTTGCCAATCAGGATATGCATACATGGCCTCGATAACCATCCTTCAGTCCAATATAAATCTCTTACAAATCCAATAGGAGATGGCAGGAAGTTCTTTTGAAGAATGAGAAAATTTTTCCAGGAAGGTTTGAGGGCGAATTCCGTGAGAAGTTTTTCACCAGGGATCTCAGGTACTGTCATTCCTCTGGACAGGAATTGAGTAGGTGCTGAGATACTCACCAGTTAATTGCCTTTGGGTTAGTGGAAGAAGTAAGTCACCTAGCCAGATCTTATGCATTTGCACAAGTAGAGAATGGAAACTTCCAATCTGAGTGAGTTTAATTAAAGATTCTAGAATATTTTTAAAACAGTTCACACTAATTACTTTTAGTTTAGGGAATAACTCAAAGTTGGGTTAATTGTGTTGTCAGTTAGTGAAAACCAACAACTGACTTGAGAATGGCAGAGATAGGGAAACAGTCCTTCCAGAGTGTAAGAGATACTGGATATCTCATATTCCTTCAGCTCCAATTTGTGCTGTTAATTGGCTCAGTCTTTCATTCTATACTGAGCACTCATATCTGCATCTTATAAAAAGGGAAGTTGGGAGACACGGTTAAGAGTTAATGGAAAAAACAGATAAATTGGACTTCATCAGAATTACAAACTCTTATGCATCAAGAATGCTACCAAGGTGAAAAAAATAGCGTATAGAATGGAAGAAAATATTGCAAATCATATAATCTGATAAAAGTTTAATGTCCAGAGTATGTAAAGAGTGCCTAAAACTCAATAACAGGAAGACAATCTAATTTTTAAAATGAGCGAAGGATTTCATTAGACATTTCTCCAAAGAAGATATATAAATGGCAAATAAATACATGAAAAGATCCTTAACATCATTAGTCAATAGAGAAATGCAAATCGAAACCTCAAGGAGAGATTACTTCACACCTACTGGGATGGCAATTAAAAAAAAAAAAAGAAAAGAAAATAACAAGGCAAGCATGTGGAGAAATGGGGCTCCTCCATTATTGGTGGGAGCGCAAAATGGTGCAGCACCTTTCAAAAACAGTTTGATGGGTCCTCAAAAAAATTACACATAGAATTACCATGTGACCCAGCAATTCCACTCCTAGATGTATACACAAAAGAATTGAAAGCAGGGACTCAAACAGATACTGTGCATCAGTGTTCATTGTAGCATTATTCACAGTGTTCTAAAGGTGGAAACAACCCACATATCCATCAACAGAGGAATGGATAAACAAAATGTGTTATATGCATACAGTGGAATATTATTCAGCCATTCTAAGGAATGAAATTGAAACACGGGCCACAGTATGAATGAACCTTGAAAATATTATGCTACGTGAAATAAGCCAAACACAAAGGACAAATATTGTATGATTTAACTTACATAGAATATCTAGAATAGGCAGATCCATGGAGACAAAGTAGATGATAGGTTACCAGGGGCTGGGAGAAGGGAAATGGGGAGTTTGTTGCCTAACACGTACAGCATTTCTGTTTGGTGTAATGGCAAAGTTTTAGAAATAGATAGTGGTGATGGTTGCACAACATTGTAAGTGTAAATGTGATAATTCCACTGAACCGTATACTTAAAAATGATTCAAATGGCATATTTTTGTTATATATATTTTGTCATAAAAAAAGTTAATGGAACCATATACAGAATTAAAGCATGTCATCGACAGTTACAAAGGCATCCAATGAAAGATCTCATAATATGGAAAACGCTATTTCAGTTATGCATTGCAATGTAACAAATCACCCCGAAATGTAGTGAGTTAAAACAACCACAGTTTATTATTCCTCATCTAAGACTCCGGCCTTCTGGGGTTGACTAGGGCTCAGCTGGACAGGTGGTTCTTCTGCTGGGTTCACTGAGGGTCTTACCCGTGACTATAGTCAGGGAGCAGCTGGGACCAAAAAGCTGGTTCTGCTGTGACTCTGAGATTTCTGGGCCTCTCTTTCTCCTTGTAGTCTCAGGGCCTCTTTCTCTCCAAGTGGCCTTTCCATGTGGGCTCTCCAGCAGGGCAGCCATGCTCCTTACATGGCGGCTCAAGACACCTAAGAATACAAAAGCAGAAACTGCCAGGCTTTTTTAAGGAAATGGCCCAGAGTCACCTGTGCCGTGATCTGTTGTTGAAAGCAAGTCACAGAAAGGGCCAGTCCAGGTTGAATGCAGGAGTGAGTGCTGGAGGTGTGGTCCGTTGGAGGCCATGTTTGGAGGCTAGTTACCACAAACACCATGGACATATGCATGGAACAAGTGAGAGCAAAATCCTCATGAAACATTATAGGAAACCAACAGATAATATCTAAAATTAATCGATCAAGAAATGGTATGCCGGTACAGTGGCTCACACCTGTAATCCCAGGACTTTGGGAGGCCAAGACAGAAGGATTGCTTGAGGCCAGGATTCAAGACCAGCCTGAGCAACACAGTGGGACTCTGTCTCTACAAAAATAAAATAAGCCGGAAATGGTGGTGAACACCTGTAGTCCTAGCAACTCAGGAGGCTGAGTTGGGAGGATCACTTGAGCTTAGGAGTTCAAGGCTGCAGTGAGCTGTGATCACACCACTGTGCACTCCAGCCTGGTGACAGAGAGAGACCCTGTGTCTTAAAAAGCAAACAAAGAAATCAGGGTACATGCATATTAGTTAGAGATACAGAAGGTAACTACCATATGAAACAAATCTGCGGGTTGGATGGATGGAGTGGAACAGTCTTGCTTTTTCGTTGTGAACCCTTCTACGTCATTGGATGTAAACCTGTGAGTGGGCCATGTTTCCATCATATTATAGGGGAGTGATTTGGAGCATGGGCTCTGGAACCAGACTGCCTGGGTTCACATCTTGGCTACCTCACTCACAATCTTTGTGACCTTGGGCAAATTACATAACCACTCAGTGCCTCACTGTTTGCATCTGTAAGGTAGGGATAATAATCATAGCAACCTGATGGGGTTACTGGGATTATTACATGAGTAAAGCACTTACAGTGCCATCTGGCACATAGTAGATGCTCAGAAAATGTTGGCAATTAACAATTACAACATTAGAAAAAAGAAAAAGGGCTGGGCACTATAGCTTATGCCTGTAATCCCAGCACTTTGGGAAGCCAAGGTGGGAGGATCCCTTGAGGCCAGGAGTTTGGGACCAGCCTGGGCAGCATAGTGAGACACTGTCTCTACAAAAAGTAATAAAAAAACAATTATCTGGGCATGATGGCACATGCCTGTTGTCCCAGCTACTTGGGGGGCTGAGTTGGGATGATCACTTGAGCCTGAGAGGTCAAGTCTGCAGTGCACCATGATTGTGCCACTGGACTCCAGCTTGGGCAACAGAGTAAGACCCTGTCTCAAAACAAAACAAAACATTAAGAGGAAAAGGGAAAATTTGCAGGCAGGCCCATAGTGAACTAAGGATCTCAAGACCTGGATTCTAGTCTCCTGACTTTGACACAAATGGGTTGAGCAGTCTATTAAACTTGCCTTTAAACTGAGGGGGGTAGGAGAGAAGATAAGAACCTCCCAAGAACAGAGTCTCTACCAAATCTGAAGTCTAAAAGAGCAAGTCATGGCTGTCCAAAATTACCTTGCTGAAAAATGAGAATTCCTTCTCTTTGAGGAAAGATCTCTAGATTCTTTACAGTTGAACCTGTTCCTTCATCCTCACACTGTACCCACCATGGAGAAATAATTCACAGACCCACTCGCTGCCTCCCCAAAAGACCTTTCTCCTGGGAAAGAACTTTATAAATCACTTTAAGTTAGCAACCGTAATTCCCAGACGCTTACATGAGACCCACTGAAAAAGGACGTTAACTTGGAACCAGTTAAATTGCTTCTAGTCTTTATTTGCTGGCCTCCTGTACATCTCTCTCTTGCAGAAGGCTATTCACGTGATCAACCCTAGGTGAGACTGTAAGGAAGTTTACCTCTGCTTCTCACCCAGGGACTGCAGAGGTCATGGGATTCTCCCTTCTTCACACCAGGAAGCAGCAAGGAAGCAGCATGCTCTATCCAAGAGGTGGCTTAAACTATTATCCTCCTTAGAGGTAGTTGCATTGTAAAAATACCTTTCCCTCCTTTCCCCATACATTTGAACAAAATAAATTAATGGTAGACTTCCTGGCATTAGTTGAAAGCCAGAGCAAGAGTGTTCCTGGAGGGACAGGAACACTGTCCTGGGACCCATCCATTCATGCCACACAGGCAGGCCACTTGCTGATGGCACTTACGCATCCAACCCTGGCCCCGGAACTTACTGGCGGATGCCTTTGGGCACTAGGACCTTTGCGAGTCAGTCTCCTGCTAGAAAGAACAGTTTAAATTAGGAATAGCAAGTTCTCCAAGTCTCACAGTCTCGCCCGAGCTAACCTATCAGCTAGCGCGGCAGAAAACGCATAATGGAGCCTCCGTAAAGTATTCTGTGCCAACTCCCAGGTGGTCTCAGCTGCAGAACTGTTCTTCCAAAAAGTGTAAATTCTAACTTAGCAGTCTGCTGAGAAGCCCAGCTCCCTGGCAGGCCGGGCACGGGGCAGGAGGTCACAGCAGCTAATCAAGTCCTTGCTGTGTTCTCCTGACTCACCGCCGAGCTCTGGCCCAGTCCCAGCTGACCCCACTCCTGTAATGCTCAGTGAGGAGCCGAACTTCTCCATTAATCGGCCTGTTTGCAGGAGCTGGAAAGGTGACTTGTAACAGGCCTCTTGTTCCCAGACTCCTCTATAATGACATTCTGCACAAGCAGATGTCGTCCTTTGATTCCTTATGACCTTCTGAATTTTGGCAAATGAGAAAGCATCTGGGATCCGCAGTGAGGGCCTAAGGGTGTCTTTTCTACAAAGAGCTACTGTCGTCCTCCACCCCACCCTGCCTTTGCCCCCATCTCTACCAGGCACGTGGCAAGGACATGGCCTTGCTTATTTTCCCTGTTGGAAAAAGCCTTCTTCCCAGAGCCAGGGGGCTTTGAGATGAGGTGGCCCAGACTGTCCCATGCTTGAGCATTTACCAGACGTGACTTTGGGTCCCTGTGGCTGTCTCAGTTTGACAGATGAGAAAATGCTGTTGCTAAGGGCCCTTCCCAAGGTCACCCCACAAGCAAACATTGGTGCTGGGAGAATGAGATCACCCCCAGACAGTGAAGGAATGACAGACCCACGCTTTCAAAGCCCCGAAATGTGACACTCCACCAGCCCGTTGACCAGAGACTACAAGACAGTAAGTAATAAATAGATAATGGCCTGTCTCTCCTCTTGCTTTCTCCTTAAAGATGCCCAGGTGGGAAACTTGTGGTTGTGATGATTAATTAATAAGTCCGCCCAGTTAACCTGAAGTTTGCAGGCCATACTGCAAGCCTAAGGCGGTCTCTTTGGCAACTCATCCTTCTTTTCCGAGGCTCCAGTGGGCTTTATTCAGTGGCGGCATTGCTAGCAGCACCGCAAAAACTTCAGTCGGAGGACTTCAGAATTTGGCCTGCTCTCTATTGAACTACGATGTTTTAAAACTCCTTTCTAACCAAGTCATTTCAGAAGCAAACCTTGCACTGACTCAGAAGGCCTGTTCAGTCTTCCGTGGCTCTCAGCATATAGGATTACCCTCCTTCCTCAGCCTGAATTCACGGCACCAAAAAGAAAAAGAACAGCATAAATTGGATGTGTGTTGAGTTCTGAAGATACACATCAGGTGGACTTGGGAATCCAGGGAGGCTTTGGCGTGATTCCTTCTTTTCTATTCCAGCGCAAAGGCGAACAATACATCAAAGCCTTGAAGGATAAGGTTTACAGCCTTCCCTCCCTCCCAGCCCCAGAGCTGGAGTGGCCTAGGACGCCACCGAAGAGGCGTAAGATATTTTGCTTCATCAAACGAATACTGTGTGTAGGTAGAGCATAGAAGTTTAGTCTCATGAGATGACTCCATTCCTAAGGGAATCTAGAGGCTTTCTGCGGAGCACCGTGACATAGATCATATCATCCTCCTGCTTAAAACCCTCCGGCGGTTCCCCATCTCACTTAGAGTAAAATCCAGTCTCCACAGTGGCTTCCAAGAGCTCAGACTTCACTGACCCCATCCTCTCCATCCCCTCTCTTTGCCCCCTTCCTCCAGCCACAGTTGCCCCCTTGCTGTCCCCTGGGCATGCCTAACTCTTTTTTCTTTCTTTTTTGGCAGAGACAGAGTCTCGCTATGTTACCAAAGGTGGTTTCAAACTCCTAAGCTCAAGCAATCCTCCCACTGCAGCCTCCCAAGTAGCTGAAACTGTAGACTTATGCCACTGTGCCTGGCTAATTTATTTATTTTTTGTAGAGACAGAGTCTCACTCTGTTGCCCAGGCTGGTCTAGAACTCCTGACCTTAAGGGAGCCTTCTGCCTTGGCCTCCCAAAGTGTTGGGATTACAGGCGTGAGCCACTGCGCCCAGCCCTAATGCCTAACTCATTCTCACTTACAATACCCTTCCCCAGGACAAGCGTCCATCACAACCACCCCAGCCTAGTCTCTTCCCTCAGCCTCTCTATTCACTCTTTTTTTTTTTTCATTTCTCTGCTTGATTTGCTCCAGAACACTTATCTCTAGCAGAAATTATCTTGATATTTATTTGCTTACATTGTGTGGCAGGCAGAGAATGTTAGCTTTTCATCCTGTCTCACTTTTTGCTTCTTCCTTGAAGTCTTGGTTTTGACAGGGAAAGGGAGCAACGTCCAGCTAAAATCTCACACTTCCCAGTGACTAAGTTCTAATCAGTGAGATCCAGATGGAGGGGGTTACTTGTCCTCCTTTCAAAGAGGAGGTAAGGGGATATTATAGCCCTCTGTCTTTTCTGCTGCCCCCCGCCTGGGACTCAGATATGGTGGTTGGAGTGTCCTGGCCCCAAAGGTGACTTCGCAGATGGCAGCCATGTGCTAAGGATGACAGAGCAGAAAGGTGGATGGAACAGCCTGGGTTGCAGACGTCCATGGTCTGCTTCTGTGTGATGGTCCTTAGACTTCTTTAATGTGAAATAAAAATAAGCTCCCATCTACTTTGACCACTGTTATTTCCAGTCCCCCTTGCTAGCAGCTGAATACAGTTTATAACCGATACATGTGTTTATTACCTGACTTTCCTGCTAGCATGTAAGCGCCACAAAACCTGGGACTTGGTGTAGTTCTCTACTGGATCTCTAGATCCTGGCACCTAGTAAATATTTGTTGAATGAATGGATACTAAAAGCACAAAAGTCACAGAAGTCCTTCTGCCCATATCCTGGCTTTATCAGTGGACACTTAGCAAGCATCTTCTTGATCACTGACCCAGCGGCATAGATATTTATGTGGGACAAAGCAATGTTAGTTTCCAAATGTTAGCTGTAGAAAGAGTGTCATTCATTTCCTAGGTGTACAAAATGCAGACTTGCTTTGGATTTAAGGCCAGGACACTATGACATCTTTGGAGTTCAGGGGCTTGTTAACATGACAATCCTGATGCTGCAGTGGCCTGGACTTCTTCCCTTTCTACAAAACAGCTGCACCAACATATAATTGTGCTCCTGTCATAAAACATCCATAGGCAAATGGAGCAGTTTATTATCTGTAACCTTGGAATGAAGCGGCAGCTTAAAGACTCCATAGGTTCTTTGGCGAGAGTGAAATAGCGCCCAGGAAGTACTGGAGTCAATGACACATATCGCTCAGAGGATTAGAACTTGCCTGCAAAAATAGCTTTTGAATCAGAGTTTAAGAGTGAGTGGCAGTAATCCCAATTTTACCAAGTTCAGTTTAGTTGAAAAGTGTTGGACTAGTGAGTGACCTAAGTTTCAGCCCCAATTAATATGACTTGTTATTTATGTGGTTGTGTGACCTGGAACAATGCTTTCACTTAAGGGCACTAATCCCTTTCATAAGGGTACCACCCTCATGACCTAATTACCTCCCAAAGGCCGACCTTCAGATACTGTCACATTAGAGGCTAGGAGTTTAAGATATGACTTTTAGGAGGACACAGACATTTAGTCCGTAACAGATGATTGTCACTGCTTCAAGTGGTGTCAGCTGTGTTGTCCTAGGGCTGGAGGCCCCAAGATGGACTCATCTGTTAAGGCCTTGGCACTAGCTGTGGCCTCATTTTCAAACTGGGATTACACCTTTCTTTGCTGCCCTAGTAGTGAGGATCACATGGGATAATGCATATGGACGTAAGCCATACTGTTTATATATATAACTACAGTTTTTTTAGAGATGGGAAGACCTTTAGGGATTGTCTAACTCAAGCCCTCATTGTACAGATCTAAGTAATGATGGCCAGAAAGTCACAGTTTTGCCCAAGATCCTAGGGTAAAGTAGTGGCAGAACTGGGTCTTTAACTCTCAGACCAGTGCTCTCCCTACTATACCATCTGGCTTGTTAGGTTGTTAGCTTGCTCTTTTTTTGTTTTTTTTTTGTTGTTGTTGTTGTGTTGTTTTTGGTGACAGGGTCTGGCTCTGTTGCCCAGGCTGGAGTGCAGTGGTGTGATTACTGCTCACTGCAACCTCGACCTTCTGGGCTCAAGTGATCCTCCTGCCTCAGCCTCCCAAGTAGCTGGTACTACAGGGTACTATTACTTTTACATGCCCAGCTATTACTTCTTCTTATCACTGTTATTAACTTGCTGTGTAGCAGGGAAATCAGCTCCCTGTTAAGGAGATACAATTCAGATGCAAGATGCTTTCAATCCCTTGTGCACTCCACAGTATTTATTGCTGCTACCATGTGTCAAACTCTGCTCTAGGCTTTGAGGATATAGCAGTGAGCAAAACAGACAGAAATCCCTGCCTTCAGAGAGCTTAGCTCATGTGCGTGTGCACACACAGACACACACACGCACACACAAATGGCATCAAGTGCTACAGAGAAAAATAGGACAGTGAAGGAAGATGGGGAGTGCTAGAGTTGGGGGACAGGGAGGGGAGATGTTTGCTGTCCTGAGTAAGGCGGTCAAGGAAGGTCTCCCTGATTGGATTAAGGAGTGACCTGAAGGGGTAAGGGGAGGAAGCCATGTGGATATTTTAGGGGAGGAGTGTTCAAGGGAGAAGGAGCAGCAGGTTCTAATATGCTGAGACTGCTCTTGGCCCCTTCAGGGTGAGCAAATAAGCCGGTCTGACTGGAGCACAGTGAACAATGGGATGAGTGCAAGGAGAGGGCAGAGAATCGGGGTCAGGAAAGGGTCCATCATGGAGGGCCCTGTGGACCACTGTAAGAATTTTGACTTTGACTCAGCTTTTAAATCAGTTTAATTCATCAGAAGACTGATATGATCTTTATAAATTAGCATTTTTCTTTTGACCCACCATTTTCTCCCTAATCCTGAATTTGAACTGTGTCACACAGTTGGTATTAGATGCTACTGAGTTCCCTACCCTAAGTGACCTGTTAGTGAATGTTTCTAAAGAAGAGAAATCCAGAAAGACCCAGGAACCTCATGTTCCAAATAAGGTTAAAATGAACTTGTGAGGTGTTTCTTGGCATCCAAAAACCAATTAAGCAGGTTACACGGAAGTAGTTCTAAAAACAGCAGTTCAGTGGCAGGAGACTGACAGGTGAGCAGATGGAGGAATCATCAACTCAAATTTATTTCATAGCCTACAACTCAAATGAGCATTCCAAAGTCAGAACAGCTGGCCTTTTATTCTGTAAGCCATTGTCCCTTGCTTTGCTTATCTCTCAGGAGTATGAGTGGATTATACTCACTGGCAGTCTGTCTGTCGGTCTTTGACTTTGCAGGGGAAAATCCTTTGTAGAAAAACAGGCTGTTTGTGTAAATCAGATTTTTCTGTAATGTCTGCCGCTTCCTGCAGATTGTGAAGTTTCTAGATATGGCATTGGCCTTTTAGCTTTTATTTTCATAACTGTATTCGTTACTTACATGACTGCTATTATTTACTCAGAATCAAGTTGATTCTGAGTGAATGGAATTGAACCACATAGTCAAAAAGCACAGTCTTCCAATTTGCAAGAAGAAATGTTTTTTAGAATGTTGTAGTGCGTTTAAAAATCACAGCCACCTTGGATTTCTAATCAGAAGTTATTCTGGAATCTTTCTGAAGTTTGAGACTGTCCCATGCAAACGTTACTTAAATTTCAAGCAACAGGGAAGTCATGAGATTTGGAAAGGGTTATCTTTTCTCAATCATGGTCCTTTGTGGAGTTCTGTGGTGACAGAGGACAGCGGAGAGACCGTATTCTGTGGCTGAAAGGAGGGCTTGATACTACCCGGTGGGGATTTTGTTCCAGTAATTGCATCAAATTGGACCTGCTGCCATGTCGTAGGTATAGCATGAATATCATTCATTAAGTCATGCACCTATATGCCTTCCCTCCCAATGGCTGAGTCACTAGCAGAATATATTTTCTTCCAAAGTGTTTGTTTTCATTGTTGCCCTTTAAAAATAATGAGTTCATTCTATTCCCTTGCAAGGAAAGTTACTCTAGACTGCTTTGAAATTGTATATCTTTTGTTGAGCACATTTCTGCAGTGGTTCCATAGCATTGTGTGCTGGGGAACCCAACCCGGCCTCTCTTAAAGCGTCCAACCAAGCGGCCTCCGACTTGATACATATAATCGTCCAGCTCATTTGACCTTTATATTGTTACCTTTGGGCAGGTAGAAGTCATGCAAGTTTCGGGTGACCCTATCATGTGACCAGAGATCAAAGGTCAGCAGCTCCTAAATGTTCGGCTGTCAAGATAGCCCATTCATCACTATCATTATGTAACTGACAAGCCCACAAATGAACTGGGGGATAAAATTATTCTCAGCCCTCTACCTCCTGGGTTTACACCTCAGTGGTGGGCCAAGCAGTCTCACGTATTAAGTGGTTCCAAGGGCCTGCCACAGTCCCTGAAGTAGGGGGAGGACTTCAGGAGACCTATTTCATGTGCCAGACCCTGGGAAGTCACCAGCTGCCTGCCTGGGGAGCCAAGTTGCCGCTCTACAGGACTCTACAGCGGCCTGAGTCTGGTTTCCTCTGAAATGGAGCTGAATTGAATGTTAGTTCTTTCTGGACCCAAAGACACGTATGTCTCCCCCACCGCAACCCACCTTTAGCATCTTTGTGGTCCTTTGTGGCAGGTTAACACAGTGCAGTGTTTTCACCAACTGGCCTGATCTTAAGAGTCACCTATGAAAATGAAGATTCCCAGGACATTCACCTGGAAAGTCTGACTTAGGACCAGGTGCCATTAGGAAACTCAGTTTCTAACAAGGGCCCAAATGATTCTCGTGATGTCTGTATTTTGGAAGAATGCAAAGAGATTTCGAATCAGACAATTTTGGCTTCAAATCCTGACCCTATCCCTTGTTTGGCTGTGAAATCATGGATGGGTTAGTTAATCTTCTGGGCCTCATTTTCAATTTTGAGGACAAACATTTTAATAGAAGATGTATAGAATCCTAGCACTCATCTTTATTATTGTGGGGTTTTTGTTTGTTTGTTTGTTTGAGACAGGGTCTTGCTCTGCCACCTAGGCTGGAGTGCAGTGGCACAATCACGGCTCACTGTACCTTCAGCTTCCCAGGCTCAAGTGATCCTCCCACCTCAGCCTCCCAACTAGCTAGGACTGCAGCTGCCCGCCATCATGGCTGACTAGTCTTTTTAAATTTTTCGTACAGATGGGGTTTCACTATGTTGCCCAGGCTGGTCTTGAACTCCTGAGCTTACTATCTGCCTGCCTCAGCTTCCCAAAGTGCTGGGATAACAGACGTGAGCCACTGTGCCAAGCCTTATTGGCTCTTTTAAATGTTTTTATTAGTATTCTTATTATCCCTTTGGTGTGAGAGGAGATGTCATCGAAAGAGCATTGGCATGAGGTACAATGTCTTTATAATCTCTCCCATGTCAACAAAAGTCTCTGATAAACCTACAGGGGCGGTTTTGAGAGGGACAGGAGAAAGGCAGTGCTGTGAGGATCACACATGCTCATCACATGGCTTGGGAGGTGCCCTGGTGGATCCCGCACACTGTAGCAGTAAAGGGGAAAAGGCAGGGCACTCCTCTGGACCCCTGAAGAAAGCGTGGAGATGCCTTTGAGCTATTTCATGACCATAAGTGGCCCTGACTTCCAAACCAGCAAGGGGCTCTTGCATCCCTTATCTCCTCATCTTCTGACCTCCTGGAGGTACGATCTGAGCACTTTTACCCTCACCCCATAGAGCCTTTACCATAGGCCAGAGGAACTGGGTTTTTTTCTTTCTTTTTTTTTTTCCACTTTTATTTTAGGTTTAGGGGTATGTGTGGAGGTTTGTTACATAGGTAAACATGTGTCACGGAAGTTTGAGGTACAGATTATTTCATCACCCGGTTATTAAGCCCAGTACCCAATAGCTATCTTTTCTGCTCTCCCCCTCCTCGCACACTCCCTGCTCAAGTAGACTCCAGTGTCTCTTGTTTCCTTCTTTGTGTTCATAGGTTCTTATCATTTAACTCCCACTTAAAAGTGAGAACATGCAGGATTTGTTCCAGGGTTAGTTTGCTAAGGATAATAGCCTCCAGCTCCATCCACGTTCCCATAGAAGATACGATCTTGTTTTTTGTTATGGCTGCATTGTATTCCATGGTGTATATGTGGATCTTGTTGTTTTTTATGGCTTTATTGTATTCCAGGGTGTGTATATTTTCTTTATTTAATCTTTCATTGATAGGCATTCAGGTTGATTCCATGTCTTTGCTATTGTGAATAGTGCTGCGGTGAACATTTGCATGCATGTGTCTTTATGGCAGAATGATTTATATTCCTCTGAGTGTATACCCAGTAATGGGATTGCTGGGCTGAATATTAGTTCTGCTTTTAGCTCTTTCGGGAATTGCTATACTGCTTTCCACAATGGCTGGACTAAATGACACTGCCACCAACAGTGTATAAGTGTTCCCTTTTCTCCCCAACCTCGCCAGCATCTGTTATTTTTTTACTTTTAATAATAGCCATTCTGACTGGTGTGAGATGATATCTCATTGTGGTTTTGATTTGCATTTCTCTAATAATCAGGGCTATTGAGCTTTCTTTCATATGCTAGTTGGCTGCATGTATGCTTTTTTTTGAAAAGTGCCTGTTCGTGTTCTTTGCCCACTTTTTAATGGGGTTGTTTTTCTCTGGTACATTTGTTTAAGTTCTTTATAGATGCTGGATATTAGACCTTTGTCAGATGCATAATTTGCAAACATTTTCTCCCATTCTGCAGGTCATCTGTTTACTCTGTTGATAGTTTCTTTTGCTGTGCAGAAGCTCTTAAGTTTAATTAGATCCTACTTATCAACTTTTGCTTTTGAAACCCTGGAAGACAAACTAGGCAATAGCATCCTGGACATAGGAATGGACAGAAATTTCATGAAAAAGACACCAAAAGCAATCATAACAAGAGCAGGGGAGCTCTTAACCATGATTTACAGTGAGACACTCTGGTTCCATAGCCAGGATGATGGGAAACCTTTACCAAAACAAATCTCTTCTTGGAATCCCAAGTTGGAACTCTGAATGTTCTATCTCATGAAAAATAACAATCAGCTGGGCATTGTTTTGCGTGCCTGTAATCCCAGCTATGTAAGAGGCTGAGAAAGGAGGATCACTTGAGTCCAGGAATTCTAGACCAGTCTGGGCAACCTAGAGTGACCCCATCTCAAAACAAAACAAAAAGCCCTGATGTTCATGGCTATTTCACTTTATAGTATTATTAATATTATATTTCAGACAAACTGTAGGTCATGTAGGTGCTGAGGGAAAGAATTGGGAACTGTGAAAACCATTGTTTATATAGAAGCTGTCTTTTGAGTTCCAAACAAATGTGGAGAACGTAAGACATTGACAGCAGCTGGGTACCGCCTGCACTGTCTCCTTCTCCAAGGCAGCAGGATGGCATAGACCCACAGGAAGGACTCTCTAATTATGCTAATTGGCCAAGATCCAGGCAGCAGAGTTATCTATGCTAAATGGAAGAAAGATTTCTTGTCTGTGCATGGTGGCTTATGCTTGTAATCTTGACCCTTTGAGAGGCCAAGGCAGGAGGATCACTTGAGCCCAGGAGTTTGAGACCAACCTGTGCAACAAAGGGAGATGCTATCTCTACAAAAAACAAAAACAAAAATAGCCAGATGTGGTGATGCCTGCCTGTACTCCCACCTACTTGGGAGGCTGAGGATCACTGGAGCCCAGGAGTTGGAGGCTTCAGTGAGCTATGACTGTGCCACTGTGCTCCAGCCTGGGTGATGGAGTGAGACCCTGTGTCGAAAAAAGAAAGAAAGAAAGAGTTCTTGAAAAATGGATGGTATTTATGTGGCTGAATGGCGTTATGTTGGTATTCAAAAGCACTTCAGGTATATTTGGCAGTCAAAGGGTTTTTAAAGCACCTGAACAGCCTATCTTATATAGGACTTCTCACCTCTTCCCAGAAGCGTGAGGCCCAAAAGTAGATGTATATACAACTGGAAGTTAAGCCAAACCCGGCTTCTCAAGTGGTCATGGTTGAAGAACACTAACTACTAAAAAGGTGTATTGACCCGGGGGAAAAAAAGCTGACCCCTAGGGAGAAGTCTGGCTTTTCCTCACTCTCTGATGTGTGTTGACTTTACTGATCTGGAAACATTAACGTGGGGAACAGAGGCAAGAGGTTAAAAGCCTTTCAAAGAAAAAGTGAACGTGTCTTTTGTCAAAACTCATTTAGGAATTGGTTTGGTTTAGTGGTTCTACAATAGGTAAACTGAGTTATTTGACATGCTGACTTGATAAAGCCACCTTTGTCCGAGTAGACCGTTATGATAGCTGTAAGTATGACTGGGTGACTATTTACTTGTAAAGTTGTCCACAGTGTCATGATAGCAGTGACAAAAGTCCAAAAAGACACATTACAAATTCATTGACTTGTTCTTTTCAGAGGATTTAGAGTGTCAAGGGAAAGATTATTATAAACTAGACTGCAAATTTTTTTCACCACTCGCTATAACAGATTATTTGGAGCAAAATATGGTGAGACTATGAAAAACAGTGCAATGGAGTGTCCTCTTCCATGAGGTTAGATTTTAAATGTAGCGCTTAAGGTAGGCATCATGGAGGTGAGAATTATACATGGAAATCCCTTCAATTTGTACATCAGGTACTGGCAGGGATTTAGATACCATGTTAATATGAAAAATACTTATCTTTACACCCTGGAATCACTCTGTATGGCAAGACATTTGCCACACAAATACACATTAGAGTGAAATGAACCCTCAAGATACTGAATTGAACAGAGGACATTAGGGTCCCATATTGGTCTCACGCTCCCTTTAAAGCAAAAGGCCATTGAGAGGATTGTTGCCCTATGACATCATTATTTCCTGCTGATCTGGCAGGTGGGTTTTGCAGGTTCATGTGGACTTGATGTAACACCAATGTTTTCTACCTGAGGCCTCTTTTTTTTTTTTTTTTTGGGATGGAGTTTCACTCTGTCACCTAGGCTGGAGTGCAGCGGTTCGATCTCGGCTCGCTGCAATCTCTGCCTCCCGGGTTCAAGTGATTCTCCTGCCTCAGCCTTCTCAGTAGCTGGGATTATAGGCGTGCACCACCACACCTGGATAATTTTTATATTTTTAGTAGAGACAGGGTTTCACCACATTGGTCAGGCTGGTCTCGAACTCCTGACCTCGTGATCTGCCCACCTCAGCCTCCCAAAGTGCTGGGATTACAGGTGTGAACCACCTTGCCTGGCTCCTGAGGCCTCTTAAGCCTTGGTATTGGCTTATGCTATTGCACATTAGGAGAATGCATTATCATGTAGCTGATGCCCTCAAACAGACTCCTACTCAGCATTTGGCCAAGTGACTGTCAACTCCTTAAATTCAACTTCCAGAAAAAACACTGACTTAAAGAAGAGGAGACTTTTAAACACTGGGTATTTTCTGATGAAGCTGTCCATTTAAACTGCTCTAGTCTTTAGAAGTGTGATGTCTTTCGTTTTTATTTGCGAGCGTTACAAGCCCTTCTGGCCAGCGTTGCATGATCACTAGATTGATCAGCGAGGTTTTAAAAATAGGACTTGTATCACATAAGAAGAGGGATACTGAGGCATAATTATACATTTATATGGTAGTTTACATATTTTAGAGTGCTTTTATATGTGTTATTTGATTTTATCTTCACATAACCCGGTAAAGCAGAGAAGCATTAACTTCATTGTAATAGTTGAGGAAACTAAGAGATTGAGATATTTTTCTCAAGGTCACCCAGGGAATATATTAATAATTAGAGATAGTTTATGCCCTCAGAAGCTGAACATGTATCTTTTATTTCTATAGACTGTAGATACTTATGCTGTAAGGGCCTCACAGTCAAAAGAATGAAAAGAAGAAAACTAGGTTTTGTCAGTCATCTGACATAATAATAGTCCTTCTAGAAACTGGAGGTAAAAACAACATTTGCTTCTTTCCTCTGAAATGATTTGGAATGTCCTGCATATTTAAATTTGACAAGAATAGCTGACTAGTCAATGGACAGGATCCATTTTAGTCCAAATGGAAATCCATGAAAAAGATGGAACGGAGTGAAAAGGGCAGCCAGCCAGATGTCCAGGGGTCTGACCCGCCCTGGCTCACTTGCACACCGTTCCATCAAACCTTGAGTAAGGCAGCCCTCACTCAAACTGGGGATCCAAATACCTACCCCTGCCATCTCTCCTAGATTATTAGGAAAGTAAGAAGCAGTGCTGTGGATTGACATTATTCGGGACATTTAAACATTGTACAAAATGTAATTGTTATTTTAATTAGGAGTTGTTCTCCTCTTTCCCACTGAAGAATTCCCTCTTAGGAGTTCATTTCTGTTATCTCTTCAGTGGCCCATGCTTGGTAATATTTCTCCATCAAGTTCTAGTCTGTGTGTGTGTGTGTGTGTGTGTGTGTGTGTGTGTGTGTGTGTATGTTACATTTGCTTATTCTGATGAATCTTTCAGCAGAAACCATTTCTCCTGAAATCTTTATCATTTCATCAAGAGTAATGGAAATGTTACCTGTCCTTTATTTGTTGCAAAATTTAGGGACAAGGAAGAAGACCGTGTATGTTTTCTTAAAATCAATGGCCAGCACATTACTGTAAAACCTATTGATTAAAAACACAAAGTATAATGTTAGTCATTTAGTCTGTGAAGTGATGCAATAAGGGAAGAAATTTATCCTTTGACTTTTGCATTAACCTTTTATTGACTGCTTGCATACCCATAATTAACACACACTTTAGCTAAAGTGGTTAATTTTAGCATGGTGACCAGTGTTCACTAATGTAGCTGCAATCCCGATCTTCTAAATGTAAGTGCAGCCCTGGGGGAAATCAGCGGGCAGTGACGCCCTTCATGAGTTACACCTTGGTCAGGAGGACCTCTAGACAATCTGCTAGCAGCCAGCCAATGTGACACCTTTCGGCTGCTTCCTGTTACGTCACTAGGTCATTCAGGGAGAACCACTCCTAAGTAGCTGAGAGTTTTAGGAGGTGGTTTATAGAGTGCTTTGAGTCAAAATAATGTGAATTTAGGAAGGAGAGAGAGAAAAAGTATATATATAATATATATACTTTATATACACATATAATATGTAATATAGTATATATTGTATATAATTATATGTATTTATTATATAATTATTTTATATATTATATAATATTAGATATAATTATTCTATATATTTATTATATAATTATAATAATAGTTATATCATATAATTATATAATAAATATATAAATTTATAAATTACATATAATAGTTATATCATTATATATTATATAATAAATATATAAAATTATATAATTGTTACAATTGTATGTAATAGTTATATAATTATATATTAAATATATAAAATATATAATTGTATAATAATAAATACATATAATTGTATATTTTAATAAATATATAATTACATATTATATATACTTATTATATATAATTTATGTATATCATTATATATAATAATTATATATAATAATATAATAAATATATTATTGTATATAAATATATAATACACGATATATAATATATTAAAAGTATATGTACCTACTATATTATGTATATACTTTATCTCTCTTCCTCCTAAATTTGTATTATAAATTCACATTACATATTATATATTATACATAATATATAATAAAGTATATAGTATAAAATACGTATATATAAAATATTTGTATTTATTATATTTAAAATATTTATATATAAAATAATAGGTATACATATAAAGCATATGTTTACAATATTTTATGTGTATATACATATTATTTTCCTTTGCTCTCCTTGAACTGCTTCATGAAAGGGGCAGTATTTTCTGAACAGATCCAAGTTTATTTGCTAACCCAAGAAACATTTTAAAAAATGGGATTTTTCCTTAGGATAGGATTAGAGAGGACAGGATTGAAAGGGGAAACTGTAACTTTCTAATTGTTTAGCTGGGTTCAGTAGGACTTGGGAATGACACTGAGAAGGGAATCTTGTTAACTTTCTTTAGCAACATTATCCAGCCCTAGTCCTGAAAATTGGCTTATTTTCATGCAAAGGCCAGTGTGGATGGACCAGCATTCTCTTGTTTTCTGGGCAGAAATTTGTCCCAAATAGAAATACTATTTGAAACAAAACCAAATGTCAGTGTTTTCATGGGTTCATACCCAGGTATTCTCTGCACACACTACGCTGTATCAACCACAACATCTCAGTTTGGAGAGACTATCTGCATTCACTTGGCTAAGGCAATGGATGTTATAAAAGGCAGGAAATAACTGACAGCAAGGAAGCATGGCCGGCATATCAGCTAGGATTCTTTACAGAAAAACCTAACTCAGACAATAAAGTCTCATGAAACTGAAACATCTAAGTGAAGCATGACTCAGATACTCAAACAGCATCGTACAGGACCCACCCCTTGCTGGACGGCAGCAAAATGTTGATGGCAGTTCCACATCACACATCCTAATTGTTCATAGGCCAGGAGAGGAGAAAGTCTTTTCCTTTAGCTCCCATACCAGTCCTCTGATTTATTCTCTTGATTTTGCCCCATATTGGGTCATGTGCCTCCTCTTAAACCACTCCCTGTGGCTAGGACAGCGTGATGTACTGACGTAGCTTAAGCCAATCAAGGCTCTCCCCTGGCTGTAGAGGTGGAGCTAGTCCCACCCACATCAAGTCATGAAGCATGGGGAAGGGACAGGTACCCCACAGGAAAATTAGAATCCTGTTGGTGGAACGGTGGGAGTAAATACAGGACAACAAATTTCCATCACAGTCAGTATTCCTCACACATTTCGTAAGACAATTTGGGGCCCCTTTATTTTGCAAGAGACTATGTAGAGTATTGTGTGCTAAGAAACAATCCAACTTTATTTCCTGTAAATACAAAATCAGTCTGGAACAACCACCATTTGGAAGGCCAGACGACAATGCCTTTTATCAATCCTAGGTCTTCAGGAATAACTGCTGATCCCTTCTGAATCTGAACATTTTAGCCTGACACTGGAAAGTTGTAGCAGCTTGAATACATAAGCCTCAGGGTCTTGGAATGTCAAAATGTGATAGGATCCAGCCTTAGGTGCAATTTGATTCAAGCCAGACAGAGCTGCTCCTGTATCCCCAGAGCTTCCCCTAGAAGGAGTCTGTCTAGAGGCTACGCACCCAGTTAGTATGAAGGAAGGAGACTGCCCAAGTATAACAGGCAACTCTCTCATTGGCATTTCTCATCTGCCACTGGTACCTGGAGTAGAAGTAACGATAGTGGTAATATTATTTTATAGGTATTGGGCGCTTGCTATGTGCCAGGAAATGTTCTAAACACTGCGTATAATTCATGTAATCTTCACATCAACCCCATAAGTAAGATACTATTATTACCGTCACCACTTGACAGATAAGAAACTGAGGCTCAGCGAGGTAACAAAACCTGCCCAAGACGTCATGCCCCTGGAGAGCAGCAATTCCGGCAATCAAGAGAACACACTCTTTACCACCATGCTGCAGTCTCCCTGCTTCCCATCTTTGGAAATTAAGATCCAAGAAGGAAGAATGAGTGACCTGAGCAAAAGAAATGAAACCCTAAAGGGGGACAGATGTGCCTTCCAGTAATTCCCAACCTTCTCTTTATCAGTTCCATAGTCTGGCATGATTCTAAATCACAAAATATCATTTGAGTTGGGGATGTCTGTCCTTTTTCATGGGTGACTACATCACCTCCAATAACGAGCGCTCTGCTGGCCCCTATTACTATCATTTGGAAATTGGCAAGGAACACTGGACATTAAAGAAAAAACTTTAAAGTAATCTTGAAATTTCTGAATGAAGGCTCTGAAGAAACCCAACAAAGGGTTCTACTCCTGGCCCAGATGGATGCAGTGACTATGTGCAGCTTGTCTGTCAGAGCTTGCATGCAAAGGAGCCACTTCCCATACCAGCCAGTCTTTGTTTTTTTCTTCTTCTTCTTCTTTTGGAAAGAGTCTTGCTCTGTTGCCCAGGCTGGAGTGCAGTAGCACAATCTTGGCTCACTGCAACCTCCGCCTCCTGGGTCCAAGTGATTCTCGTGCCTCAGCCTCCCAAGTAGCTGGGATCACAGGCTGGCACTACCATGCCCAGCTAACTTTTGTGTTTTTTAGTAGAGACAGGGTTTCGCCACATTGCCCAGGCTGGTTTCTGACTCTTGGCCTCAAGTGATCTGCCTGCCTTGGCCTACCAGGGTGCAAGGGATTACAGGTGTGAGCCACCACGCCTGGCCCCAGCCAGTCCTTTGATGAGAAGAACAACAGCAGAAAACTGTGAAACAGCTTCGCCCAAAAGAAAAGCCATTGGGATTGGGAAGCTTGTACAACACAGCATAAGCAAACCTCTGCAGCAGGCTTCGATATGTTTCATACTTTCTCAAAGTACGGAGGCAAAACCCATTTGACAGGTGAAAAAGCATCTCTATTGACTTTCTACAAACTTTATGATATTCTAGGTGGATCGACACTTATCATAGCCCTTTAATCTGCCAGCCAGGATAATGTGTGCACGGACAATTTATCCACTGTGAGATTGAAATGCTCAATTTGGAATAACTTTCCCTACCCAGTAAATTGAGCATTACTCTAGGATTCTGAGACAGAGAGAAAGCACAATTTTAAAAGCTTTGCAGAGTTCCTTTGTAATTAGTCGCAGCTTTCCTTGAATATTAATTTTCCCTGCATCCCTTTCAAGTGGTTGAGAGACTGTCTCTACAACTACAGAGATGCACCCTCAGAACAACGACAGCAAGCGGCATGGTCTCAAACACCTATGATTAAGTAGTCTACAGAACGCACCCTCTGTTCTTCAGTGCAGTGTGTAGCTTATCAGTGCAAACAGTTTAATATTTATGCTAAGAGGATTGTCAAAAGCAGCTTCTGTTGCTTTAATTCTTGTTTTAAATAAATAATGAGAACATTTAAACACATTACTCTTCTTGGGGCCCCGGGGTCAGCTAATCTTATTATTTATGAAGTGATGTGCTACATAATAGTACTTAGTGCATGTTAACAGACGCTATTATCAGGGCCGGATGCAGAGAGCTGAAGATATATTAGAATGTTATGTGTAATGTACGACGGATTGAGTGCATAGGATGCCGGTGTAGCAATTAACCACACTCGAAAATAGGTGTAAAGTTGAAGTATGTTTTCCCCGGGGGGATCCCCTCACCATTAATAATTCCCCAGAGAAGAAGATGTCTTTCAGTTAGGAACCCTCTCTACCATCAGGCTTGGAAATGGGGCCAGGATATTCCATTCTTTGATCTCTTCATAGTCAGTCCTACACAGTCAGAAGACAAATAGTGAGCATGACCACTTTTTAATTGATTTAGACAAAAATGGAGAGAAGGCGGGGGTGGAGGGAGGCACATGTGCAATGCTCCCAAGTGTCCTCATAGTGTTTGGTTTTGATCCACTCGTTTTCACTGCCACGTACTCCAGGAGAGTCGAGAAATTGTTCATTCCTTAATGCAATCTGTTTCCTTCTCTCTGATCCTCATTTTGCAGATAAATAAAGCTAAAGCCACTGAGTTTTCCCAGGTCACTTTTTAAATAAGCCAGTCTCTCTGAGAGATAGATGCCTGCCAAGGTGTAAGAACGTTGCCCCAATTTTTTTCCTGTGAGGCTATAATTTAGCTTCATATGATAATTAATTTCTCTACTATTGATGAATAATCCATTCAATAAAAACCGTGATTTAAGTGTTTTCCTTAGGGACTAACTCTTGCTGGCCTCTTAATTTAATTTTGTGCAAGTTTTTCCCACCTCTTCATCAGTGGAAATGATTATTAACCTCTATTTGCATATATCCTTATAAATCGGTCTCTCCTTGGAGTGCCTTTTTCTGAGCACAGCAAGCTGGGACACTTGTAAATCTCCAGGATCTCCAAAGTCAATCCCGGCCTGTAATATTGTTTAATCTATTCTTGGACGTTTTAATGCAGTAAATTCAATTTAATCTTTCCCAGTAATCTAGTAATACATTGAAATCCCACAAACATTTAAATCTGATAATGGCTTAATCACACACTTTAAATAACAGTTGAGATAATGAAAAAATAATTCACCATTTTAAAGGCAGAGTAACTGAATTTCCCTGATGATTGGCTTCTACGAAGCCACCTGAGATAATACAAATCTGGGAGTCAAAGCAAAGGAAGTCCCAACACCATCAGAAACAGTCTTCCTTCTTATAAACACCTGCGTTCCACCTGTAGATTCATTCAGTCGTCACCATGACCTTCACCCCCGAGGACTGTCTTTGGAGCATTGGCCAGTGTTGCTCCAAGCTTCCTGTGGGTTGGGGTCTTCTGGGGGTTTCCTCCCGTGGATTAATTTCCTATTTTTACTCTTCCAGGTGCCAGTCACGAATTGCCCGAACATTACCTGCTGATCAGAAGCCAGAATGTCGGCCATACTGGGAAAAGGATGATGCTTCGATGCCTCTGCCGTTTGACCTCACAGACATCGTTTCAGAACTCAGAGGTCAGCTTCTGGAAGCAAAACCCTAGAAGGAGCACAAGTCTCAGGCGGAGGAGAAAAAGAGATCGGCTTTTCTCCTCCAACGTTGTCATGGGCTTAAGCAAGAGCAGTGGAGACTTCTCTTGGCCCCTAGATTGTAGCACCCGGGTCCCAATCCAAAACAGCTAGGAAATGGTGCCCATGAAGTTTTAAATGTTTTAAAATGACCCTGTGTTATAGTCTGATTTGGTGTTAAACAGGACCTTCTTCCCCCAAAATTGTTCAGATTATAAAATGTGAGCCATTCAGCCCCCAAGGTCCAGGGCAGGCGACAGGAACGAGCCCAGCGTGTGACAAAGCCTAACCTACTTTCCTCTTTCCCAAGCTTTTTCAGAGACTCTGGAGTGGACCCAGCCCTCTGGGGAAAGACAGAACTTAGAGACATCCCAGTTACTCACCACACCCATAGTGCTGTCCAATATGGTAGCCACTAGCTAGCTGTGGCTACTTCAATTTAAATTCAGTTTTAATTTTAATTAAAAATGCAGCTCTTCAGTCGCCCTGGCCACATTTCAAGTGCTTAACAGCCTCATGTGGCTAGTGACTGCTGTATTGGACGGTACAGATATGGAACATTTTCATCATCGAAGAAAGTCCTATTGGACAACACTTCTATAAAAAGTTTGAGAGCAGGAATTCTCATTTCCATTCGTCTGTAGCTTCTATCCCCAAAGGCAAAGAAACTAAAAGAGAAATGACTCATTGAAGATTGGCCTCTTTCCTTTCTCTAAGACAAACCTAAGTAAAAGCCTGAGCTTTGAGTCCTATGCTCAGCACACGGGAAGGAGATGTTAATAATTAAAATAAAGTTGATATCCTGTCTTTAGGGAGTTCCCTTGATCTCTTGAAAGAGACACAGCCCCATTTACATTATTTCGTGGATTTCACCAGCATAGTATAGTTTTTTTCTGTAAGTCCCTCATTCTTATGTAATAACAGGTGGAACTGAGGTTTGAAGAACCTCAGTGGCCCATCCTGATGACATTGGAGACTCAAAGAGACAAGAGAGAGTAGGGTTTAAAACCTGAGCTTTAAGACTCCCACTAGCTTCGTGTCCTTTGGCATGTTAACGTGCCTCAGTTTCCTCATCTGTATAATGGGGATATATGAAAGGCACCAGTCCTAAGGTGAACATTAAGTGAGATGATTCTAGTTACAGACTTAGAACAATTTCCAGCACATAGTTAAATATCCAGGAAATTCTGGTACTGTTATGTGTGGGTGAGCTGACCTGGATGTAGATGTTTTCCTCTCTCTTGCTGACCCCTCCGCCAGTTTTGTCTTGTGATGCCATTAACACATCTCTCCCTTTCTGACCTGGCTCCTGCCCATTGGTGTCCCAAGAAATCGTGAGAATAGTTAGCCCCCCGTCTCCCCAGCCTGTTGCTTTCTCGTGTAGTTGTTCACAGTAGTTGAGAAGTTGAAGAGCTTTTGCCTATTGAAGGTGCACTGAGAATAAACTCTTTCCTGCCACCAGAATTGCAGTGGTTCACGGCCTGCACTCATTCCCATGAATGCAGTTAATAGCCACAGAAATGTCACATTAAGCAAAGCAGCCAGGGTCTCATCGTGTTGAGACTCGAGTCTCTCAGACCTTGGATTCATTCCCTGGTGTCTTTGAGCCTCAGTTTCCTCATTGGTAAAAGAGAAGTGAAGCAGTGTCTCACAGGGTCATTACAGAGATTAAATGAAATAAATGAAATAACATAGACCAGGAGGGCGTGGTGTTTAAAAGTCACAGATGGGGCACCCTCGGGCCATCCAGCCCAGTGTTTTCTTTAGCCCCTATGATGTTCATTTTTTGTTATATCCCATTAGGTGCCCATATTTAAAAATTGGGAGATTTCACATAAAATTAAAAGGTCTGCATTTTCTTTTTTCTTTTCTTTTTTTTTTTTTTTGAGACACAGTCTCACTCTGTCACCAGGCTAGAGTGCAGTGGCACGATCTCAGCTCACTGCAACCTCTGCCTCCCAGGTTCAAGTAATTCTCCTGCCTCAGCCTCCCAAGTAGCTGGGACTACAGGCACGTGCCACCACGCCCAGCTAATTTTTGTATTTTTAGCAGAGATGGGGTTTCACCACATTGGCCAGGATGGTCTCGATCTCAACCTCGTGATCCACCCACCTCGGTCTCCCAAAGCGCTGGGATTACAGGCGTGAGCCACCGCGCCAAGCCAAGGTCTGCATTTTTCTTTAGAACTCAGAACACCCAATAGTCCTAGGCCCCCATCCTCGCATGGCAGCAAGCTAAATAAGCATCTTCCCACTGCGAGTTGGGGCATGACCCAGCCTATGGTTTGCCATACTCCCTCTTTTTCTCCGTTTTTTCATTAATTGTGAACCTGACCTGCATCACCCTTTCATGTCAGTGCTCTCCAAACCTGCTTGCTTGCACCCCTCTAGTCGAAATATTTTGTGCTTACCCCAATATATGTGTGTGACTATTGAACTCTATTCGTAGACTGCTTGTACTAATGTCATTTGCATCATAAAATATTCATATCCAATAAACATATTAAAAGGATGAGATAAGAAACCGAGAGATTTTGCTGTTTTTTTCCTTTTGCATGGATGAGCCAGCTTCACTGTCCTGGGTGGGGCCCAGGTGGAATTAGTTCTCAAAGTCCTCCAGGTGGAGTCAGGGAATGTGCAACAGGGTTGGAGAAATCACTACTTTAAGTGAATCCGAAAGGTGAGATCACATTTGCTCTAAAGAAATGGTGATCCCAGCACTTTGGGAGGCTGAGGCAGCAGATCACTGGAGGTCAGGAGTTCGAGACCAGCCTGGCCAACACGGTGAAACCCCGTCTCTACTGAAAACACAAAAATTAGCTGGGTGTGGTGGTGTGTGCCTGTAATCCCAGCTACTCGGGAGGCTGAGGCAGGCAAATCGCTTGGCCCGGGAGGCGGAGGTTGCAGTGAGCCGAGATCATGCCACTGCACTCCAGCCTGGGCCACGGAGCGAGAGAAGAAAGAAATGGTGACTTTCATTGATCATGTGTTTGAGGATTTCATGTGCTCTCCAGGGAGGTTTCAGGTGGGTAGAAGGAGGTGGGCAAGACCCAATAAAAAAGCAGCTGGTGCGGGCAATGACAATGAACTCGTATCCTGCAGGGTCAAAGGAAGGCTTGCTTCTGCTGTGAATTGGAGAAGGACTTTCCTGGAAGCACAGGCCCAGAAATCGCACCCTTCTCCCCATGTGTGCGGATAAGGGACCACTTCCATCAGCAGCAGCCCCCTCCTGCTTTCCTGCCAGTCCTCCCTGTGGTCCCAGGTCTCTTGAGAAAAGTGATCTAAGAGATCCCTTTGCAATGAGGTGCTACTGACTGCCCTACCTCCCTCCCTTCCTCCCATGAATGTTTCTTGGTGCTGACCACAGCCTCAGCAATGAGGCAAGCCTGGGGACCCAAGACAGATCTCTGCCTCCCAGGCTAGTGGATGCCCTGGGATATGTAGTCACCAAAATAGGAACTTACCCCATAGTGGGGAAATAGACAGTAAGCAGCAAATCAATAACAAGAGTGTTCCAGATGGTTGTAAGTGCCAGGAAGGGAACCAACTGGGAGAGGGACAAGAGGAGATGGTGACTGACCAAGGGGACCTTGATCAGGCTGTGGGGAAGGGAGGTGGTTGGGAAGAGCTTCCCAGGAAAGGGGACGGCGGGCCCAGGCAGGAGAGCCTTGGGAGGGGGTGCCCAAGGAAGGAAAAGGGCCCTGAGCCTGAAGCCGAGAAGACCAGGAGGGGAGAAGGGGAGATGTAGGGCAGAGCAGACGGGAGCCGCTCGGGTTTTATTCCACACACCCCAGGAAGCATGAGAGGGTTTCAAGCAGCAAGGGCATGGAAGTAACTTGGTGAGATATTTTTATGCATTAGATCATCGCTCTATCTGGATTCCAGAGGGTCTCTGAGAGAGCAAACAGCTTAATCCAAAGGAGCGGCTTTCCAACTGGGAATGTCCCCCTGGCTGGGTGAGATCTCAAGATGGCCTGCGGCCCCTCTAGATTGCCTGCCTACAGAGTTCACTCTAAACAGCCCCTCCCCTCCACACCCCAGCAGATCCATTCCTGACGCCCTCACTGGCAGGCTCCAGCCCCACAGAGCTTTCTAGACATAAAAGAGCAGGGTCATGGCATCATTGGTGACACAATTTTAGTAATAAGCTTCAAAACCCATCACTCCACTGAATCCAGGGATGCCAGAATTGAGAGTCCATAGGACCCGTTTAACGGATCCCACATTCAGTAGACGGTTTTTTGTATGCTTCGAGGGAAGGAAGGTATTTTCAAATGCAACTTCTTTTTTTTTTTTCTTGCTCTAGTTAGGGCTGATTTTACCACTGGGCAAATTGCATACATTTGGATCCATGCCACGCTAAAAACTGTTTATTTTGGAGATCTGTCAGAGGCAAGCACATGGAAGACAAGGGGATTCTGGTTTGAAAAGGCAATTCTCATCCAGACAGATTCAGATGGAGAGGAGCGGTGTGGATTAAAATGCGCCGAAGTGGTAATGCCGTTTATCCCGTTTGCCTTTGTTACTCTGTGATTAAATGGTATTTTTAATTAAGTTTCATTGGGAGCCATAGGTATCGCGGTGGTGAAATCAATTTGACAACCATAAAGGGGAGAGACGGCACAGGCGTGTTGTGATGATTGCGGCTGTAGGGAAAGCCGGGCAGCTTGCAGAGGATGGGTGGGAGGAGGGGAAGCCGGCTAAGAATGACTTCCTGCAAGACAGCAAGGGCACCCCTGGGCCACTGCTGTGTTTGGGAGGCAGGTTTTGGGGGTTGTCAGAAGGCATTCACCTGGTTCTCTCGCTCACCTGAGACACCCGATAGATTCCTGGAAACTCCAGGAAAGTATCTGAAGATCTGGTTCTCCATTCTCTCTTATTAACAAGGAGAACCACAAGTGCCCCCCAGATCCCGGCTAGAAGGACCAGACAGCTTTCCACCCCGGTTCCCAGGCAGCCCTGCTCCCATAGTCCTGTGTCCCATCGGCCCCATGCTCCCAGGACAGTCCTAATTCCCACCTCTCAGAACCTTGTCAGCCAAGTTCTTCCTGCTCTCTGGCCCAAATCCTCCTCCTACATTGGAAACTGAGCCTCTCTGCATCCTCTGCTCTTTCTATCCCGCTGTCATTCATCAGATTTTCCAAATCTTTGGATTCCTGAGTGGCAGAAGAGGTTTTCTGAGTTTAAGTTCTGATTCTGTGTGTGATTCTCACTCTACCACCTCTTCAAACCTTTGTTGTCTTATCTACAAAATAGAATAGTAGTAATCCATCACCTAAGGTTGTTGTGAAGGTTCAATAAGTTAATGCGTATTTAAAATGCCTCCCACAGTACCTGACATATACTGGGCTTCAGTGAGGTACTAGCTATTATTATTAACCAAGTTTCCTGTGGTAACAGTTGTAGCTTTGTGACTGGGCCAAATCACTTAACCCCTCTGCGCTCCAGTCTTTGTTTCTATAATGGGGATGATGATAATGCCTAGCTCATTGGATTGTTCTGTCCCCTACGATCAGCCATGTTAAGTGATTCATATCATGTCTGGTACTTAAAAATCACGCCACGCATGTACATTATTATGATGAAAAATATGATCCGTGATATCCTGACCAAAATATTAAAGGGACTAAAGATAGCTGTGGCTTGTTCAAGAAGAATATTGTGTCACTATCCCATATATTATCCCATTTGCTCTTCACAGCTTCCATTTTTCGCTAGGCGGATGGCATGGAACTTTTTATAAATGAGATATTATGAAAAATGATGTTTTAGGACTCTCATTTCTACAGTGGGAGTAGGTCACCCATTGCAATTTTGGATTTGCTTAAAAAAATTCTTGCCATCACCTTCTAATGGATGATCTGTGTACAACAATTGTTTATTGACTCTGAATGTCTAAGTACCAGGGTCAGTCTATTTCAAGGGGAGGGAAGCATTAATTAACCTCCAGCATTAGATTCAGTGATTCTTTTCCAATGATGCAGTTCATGACTTTGCTCGCATTTACTTTTCATCAATCCTGAAAGAATTGAGGTAAAATAGTTCCTCTGCACATGTGTGTCAAGCTAAATGGATAACAGCAGATACAGATCTGTTTGCCTGTCTGCACTTGCCTTTAGACAAAATTCATCAATTTTACAAAAGCCACTGACTAAACATGGCACCAATACAAATGAAGCACTTCTAGCAGGCGGAGATTCCCTTTGTTTCTGATCTGGTAAATGCGGTAGTTTCCTGCTGAGAGATGGGAAGTGCTGGCCTAGGACAGCAAGGTGCCCTACAGGTGGGGCCAAAAGGGTCAAGACCGTTCTACAGGAAGTTTAGGAGAAGTTCAATGGTTCCAGATCCTGTGTGCTTCGGGTAATTCTGACCCTCTTCATTAGTGATAATGGCATGAAGCTCTTTCACACAGTCTTTTTTTTTTTTCTTTTTTTTTTTCAGACAGGGTCTCACCCTGTCACGTAGGCTGGAGTGCAGTGGTGAGATCACGGCTCACTGCAGCCTCGACTTCATGGGCTCAAGCGATTCTCCTGCCTCAGCCTCCTAAGTAGTCGGGATCATAGGCACTTGCCACCACATCCGGCTAATTTTTTTGTAGAGACAGGATTTCACCACATTACACAGGCTGGTTTCAAACTCCGAGGCTCAAGTGATCTGCCTGCATCGGCCTCCCAAAGCGCTGAGATTACAAGCGTGAGCCACTACGCCTTGCCCTCCACACAGCCTTGCTTGGTGTTAAAGATTAAACAAAGACCACAGGTGATCACTGTCTTCGTGGTGCCAGTTTCAAGGGCACCCTTCTTCCCTTCCCAGCCTCCGAGAGAAGGAGAGAGGGTCCACAAGCCAGATCCATCCCCATCCACACAGGTAAAACCACGACTGTGCAGCTAGCAGGTGGAGATAACATTTGGAAAAAGGCTTTGTAAATGCTAAAGTCCTACTCAAGTCCAAGGGAGAGAAATTATTATTATTCGTTTTGTGAAACCAATTTAGTTTGGCTGGGTAATGGAAGAATTTCTACATACATTCATTACTTCTGATCAGGCAAGACCAGTCTGACACAGGAACAGTCTATGGCTCACTCTTAAAGCCACAGCAGGCTGCCAGGGCTTGGAGAAATAGAAACCTCTCTTGCACAAGAATAGTCTCAATGAATCATGTTAAGGCCTCTTTAGGTTTTTCAGACTCCATGCACCCTGTGGAAACTGCCTTTCTTGAGTAGAGGTACGTTCAGCACTTCATAAAATAATCTTGGAGCCTCCAGACACACGGATGGAGGAGCATGATTTCATTTGTTTCTTTGCAAAACTGCTGTCCCCAACTGAAAAACCTGATTATCCTTTCAAATAGGGAATTCGGCTTTCCACGTTGGAACCAGAACAGTTAACCTTCAAACCCCCAAGGCTTGCAAGAGATGAATCAGTTTCTCAGACAGCCAAAGCCGTGGCTTATAACTCATCCAACCCAGAAAACTGGACCGCTGGTCACCTTCCTTCCCCCTGCCCCCAACTCTGCAGACAGAGGTTTCCCGTTGATTATGCCTTGATTAGAGTCAGGAGAGAAGCAAACCAGGTATATAGGATTCCATTATCCTTCCCTCCTCTGCTCCCAACCAGGGTCACGCTGAGAGGGATCTCGGTGAACATGTGAACAATCAAGCCATGTTTACCATGGACGTTTAGTTTTCTTTTCTCAAAATCAAAACAGAGTTTAGTAGGCAGCGTATTTCATACATGCCCCTTGATCAATGGAATGATCTGTCAGAAGCCATTAAAGCCCCCATTAGCTTGAATGCATTCAAAGCTAAACTATTGGATCATTTAAGGGCTGCAGTGATTGTTTTTAATATACCGTACATTGATTTCTCCCTGTGAGCAGCAACATAAGTTTGAAACTAACTGTGTATGACTAAGGCTCCATTTGCTGTCTCCAACCCTCTGTGAGAAGCATGGTTTCACTTCGACCAGAAATGTCTGTGTATAGTTTTCAAAGAGATGCAGACCCTGTTCGATTTCCCAAGATTTAGACTGGGTCGGGTTGTTATTTCTTTTTTCCCTGAGCTTTCTCCCATTTCTTTGTGCCCATTAAGTGAGCTGTGCGTGCAGAATGGGAGAGGCATCCCTGCCAAGGACTTCAAGTGAAAGGCGGTGGGAGAAATTGTTCTGAAAGCATGAAGCCCAGCTGAGGCCAAAATCAAAGTGAATTTGACAGCCTTGGGCCAGCAAAACTCTGTACCCAGCAGAAAACAATAGATGTGTGGCTGTGTCAGGGGCATCCTCACTGGGACATAGCTTGGGGAGCTGAAGGTACCTTGGAAGGGCCAGATGAGGAAGCTAGCCAAGGCCACAGGCCTTCCTTTGACTGCCATATTGCCAGCTCTTCATAGTATTGACTCTTCAGTCTTAGCCAACACACACTTGTTGATTCCTTCCGGAATGTCAGACTCTGCTAGCAACACAAGGTCCCTGTCCTCAAAATCCTATTCTTAATCAGCATTTCTAATTTCTGCCCTTTGCTCATTTTAATACAGAGCCTGAGGATAGGAGAGCAGCGTGGTGAAAGAAGCAATAGTTACCACATTTGCAAAGGCACATACCCCAAAGAGAAGTTTTTAATATGTCACACCCATATTTTATAGATGGGGCAATGGAAGTCCAGATGGGAGAAGTTATTTCAGGTGAATTATAGAAACTGGATTTCAAGTTTCTGATAAGTATTGAATTTGGGAAGGCTGTGAACATTCTTGAGCCCCCCTCCCAAGTTCACCTTCAACATCCTAAAGCAGGTTGAAGAGGAAGATGGTTCCAGGTCACTTACAAGAACAGGAACAGCCCCTCCCTCCAAATTTGAGCCCAGAAAGGAGAACCTTTGTTACTCTAGAAAACAGTGTGTGTGCTATTGTTTTCTCCATAGGTCACAAACATCCACAAGATATTGGTGATTTTACATATTATTAGAGCCACTGAAATTTATGATGCAGGATATTAACGTCAAAGAGGCCAAGATGCATCATTCAGAACACTGGCAGGTCAAGCAGAAACCACCGTAGTAAAATTGAAAGCTGGAGTCAGCAAAGTATAGCCCACAGCCAAATCTGGCCCATCCCCTGTTCTTATAAAGTTTTATTGGAACGCAGCCATGCTCATCGGTTTATGTATTATCTATGGCTGTTTCCAACTACAGTGGCAGAGCTGAATAGTTGCAAAGGACCATAGGGCTATCAAAGCCCCAAATAGTCATTGTCTGACCCTTCATAGAAAAATTTTGCTGAACTGTAGTCTAGCTCCAAGGATTGTTGTATCACCTGTGATCGTGCCTATTAAGCAATTAACGTCATGTCTAGTACTTAGTAATGACTCAGCATGTATCAATTACGATGATAAATATTATCATGGCATCCAAACCAAAATACTCATGCCAACATCTCTCTGTACAGAAACATGGAAAAAGAGCGATGCTATTAAGGAGGAAAATGGAGCCAGGAGCAAAACCTAAGGCTATTTCTGAACTAAAGAGGCCTGAATAAGGTAGTGAAAGGACCAGGGAAAGCCTTCCCACGGGGATGGAGAGCCACCTCCTCCCCGGCTTTCTGGTTCAGATGTCTTGTCTCAACAGACGGCAGATTCGCAGGGAAGCAGGCCGAGCCTGATCTTTTCTCCGCTAGAACTGCTCAACAGGTGAAGAATCTTTTTCCAGCACTCCTGAGCCCTTCGGGTCGCGGAACAGTGCGAAGATTATTCCAATGCCTCATTCGGAGAGGTGATAATCTGGTCTGTGGTTTCTTTTTCGGTGGGGCATGGGGTGGGGGTGAGTGTCATGCTTTCTAAGGCACAGGGCTGACTAAAGGGTGTCCTATTTATAAGTCAGTAAAACACAGCGGCTTCATACTCTGTGCTTATTACCCAGAAGCCCCGGCTCTTAGAGTTTCTATTAAGATGTACCTCATAAATATATACGCCTCCTATGTACCCACAAAAATTAAAAATAAAAAAATTGAAATCACTCATTTATGCTTGGTGTTATGATTGTAACTAAGAATCCTGGAGTGAGCTGGTTACAAAGTGAGCCCGACTTTCCATGGATGCACCATCCTAGAGTGCACCGTGAGCCCGGCTTTCCGCTGATGCACAGTCCCAGGGTGCGCCGGGAGCCCCGCCGTCCATGGAGGCACTGTCCCAGGGTGTGCCGTCGCCCTGAGCCCCGCCGTCCATGGAGGCACTGTCCCAGGGTGTGCCGTCGCCCTGAGCCCCGCCGTCCATGGAGGCACTGTCCCAGGGTGTGCCGTCGCCCTGAGCCCCGCCGTCCATGGAGGCACTGTCCCACGGTGCGCTCCTCCTTAGAGGTCTCTGCACTCTGCCTTTGCTGCCCACACTCTCCAGGAGCACCTTAGTTGGATCTTTACTTCCTTACTGCCTCTCTTGCCACGCGAATCCTTGAGTCACTTATAAGACACTCCACGTTGATCATTTTCATTTGTCCTGTTTCCAGAGTGTTTATGAACACAATTTTACTTGCCAAATCTGGTTTCCATGTTGGACTAGAGGAACTAGAGGGCAGGACTTGCTGGATCAAATTTTTACTTCCATTTTATGACATCCCACAGGACTCATAAGACTTCATGTCCCCCAGATTATTTGATCTTCAACAGCTGTCAATCCAGCTAACTTTTATCTGACACATAATAGGTGCTCAATAAACATTTGTTAGCTGACTATCTGCTAAAGCAAAATTGATCTGATCTCAGCATCCCCTGCTTTAAAATCTCCTCTAGTTCCCCCTTCTCTTTGGGTTCTGACCACAGCTTGCAAGGCTGTTTGAAATCTACCCCCGCCTCTTACAATTTCACCTCCCAAAACTTGCTTCTAACCTTTGTTCCAGCTACACCCAATTTTGTACCACATCCTGAGTTGTTTCTTGTCACTGGTGCTGTATAAGGTGAGTTGACCATGATCCTAGTGGAACCTTAGCAGCAGGTAAGAGGAGAAAGCTGATAATGGGCGAAGCTGGGGGGAATTTGGTCAGCGAAGTTAGTGTCTCAAAGCAACACTTAATTGGGGAGGTACTGATATGATAGACAGGTGTCTGAGCTGGTGCTTGGGGCAGGGCAGCCAGTGGGATCTGCAGAAGGTCTTGGTGCTGTCTTGATTAAAGGGGTACGAGGAAGCACTCCAAACAAGGCACTGCAAGGCCACAATGTGGGGACAGGGCCCAGGCCAGCCCCAGAGAGCAAAATCACAAAAGACAAACTGCTTTGGCCAATGGAGTTGAGGGAACGCTGGAAGAGCTTGGTGGACATGGACTTGGGGCACTGGACTGACGTCAGATCCCCCTGTGCTACTAAGATAGTGGTGTCACTTCATAAACTTTTTTTTTTTTAGACAGAATCTCACTCTGTCGCCCAGGCTGGAGTGCAGCGACACCATCTCGGCTCACTGCAACCTTCGCCTCCTGAGCTCAAGCAGTTCTCCTGCCTCAGCCTCCCGAGTAGCTGGGATTACAGGCGCCCACCATGCCCGGCTAATTTTTTGTATTTTTAATAGAGACAGGGTTTCACCATGTTGGCCAGGCTGGTCTTGAACTCCCAACCTCAAGTGCTCCACCCACCTTGGCCTCCCAAACTGCTGGGATTACAGGCATGAGCCACCGCGCCTGGCCCCATCGTAAACATTTAACTCACGAATTCAGTTATCTGTGCTCAGCAAACATGCACAAAAAGGCAAAAAAGCATAAGGGTTCCATCCCCAAACTGCACTCAGGGATTGCACAGCCTAGAGTGTGGGAAGATGTGAGAACAGAGAATCTGTTTTCTCATTTGGGAAGCTACTACATGGCTTCTAACCCAAGCCAGAGACTTCACGTCGTGCTCAACTGAAGAACAAGGATGTTTTCCTGTGCCTGATGAAGAACTATCCAGACAATTCACTGAAGAGGATAAACAGGTGGCAAATAAGCACATAAAAAGATTATCAACACCCTTAGCCATTAGGGAAATGCAAGTTAAAACCACAATGAGAAATTACCACACACTTCTGAGAATGGCTATCATTTTTCTCTATTGAGAATGCAGAGATGCTGGATCACTCACACATCGCAGGGGGAGAATGTCAAATGATATCACCACTTCGAGAAAATCATCTGGCAATTTCTTCTAAAACTAAACATGCACTTACCATTTGACCCAGCAACTGTACTCTTAGGCATTTGTCCCAAATAAATGAAACCTGTATCCATGCAAGACCTGTACATGAATGTTCATAGCAGCTTTCATAAGAGCCCCAAACTGTAAACAACCCAAATGTCCTTCAGTGAGTCATTAGTTAAATTTTGATACATCCATATCCTGAAATACTAGTCGGCAATAAAAAAGGATAAACTATTAGATGGATAATAGAGAAAAAGATCCAGACTCAAACAGGTATATGCTGTATAATTCCATTTACATAACCTTCTTGAAATAACAAAAACATGGAGCTGGAGAACAGAATCCTGGGTGCCAAGGCTTAGGGAAAGGAGGGAGGGAGTGGGCGTGGCTATAAAGAAGCAGCAGCACAGGCCCCTTGTGATGAAACAGTTTTGTATCTTGATTGTAGCAGTGGTTGCATGAATCTACATATAGGATAAAGTCATATAGAATTGTGCATGTGTGCACACATGCACACACACATATATGCCATGTGTGTAAAACTAGTGAAATCTGAATCAGCTCTATGGATGGTCCCAATGTCAGTTTCCTGGTTTGGATATTACATTATAGTTATAGAAGATGTTACTGTCTGGGGAAACTGGGTGAGGGATACAGGGGACTTCCCTATATGTATATTTTTTGCAACTTCCTGTGAATCTATAATTATTCCAAAGTAAAAAGCTAAACAATGAAACTGGCCAGGAGACAGCCTGCTGGCTTCCAACCTGGCAGCTCCCTAGGGGATTCTCATGAGTAGTTTCCACTGTACATAACTTCATGCATGGACCCCTCATAAGATGGGACTCCTCTTTTGAAGCACAAGTGCGTATCCACGCTTTGTTCAAGCGGATTGACTTCCCTGGGATGCTGCTGCCGTGTCCTCATGCATCCCGCTGGGAGGACACTCATTTCCCCATTCACTGGGAAGAGACTCTTTTGGACGAGGTCAGGTGTTTGGTCACAGGGACCTTTGGTAATCTGAAATGTCCTTTTAGTTTATTTAAAACATTTTTGTGCAAACATGTAGTATTTAATTTCTTTCTTTTTTTCCTTCTTTTTTTTTTTTTTTTGAGATGGAACCTCACTCTGTCATCCAGGCTAGAGTGCAGTGGCGCAATCTCAGCTCACTGCAACCTCCACCTCCCAGGCTCAACCGATTCTCCTGCCTACAAGCGTGTGAGCTGAGATTGCGCCACTGCACTCTAGCCTGGGTGACAGAGTGAGATTCCATCTCAAAAAGAAAAAACCCCGTCACAAGTGTGAGCCACCGCACCTGCCCAGATCTCCTTTTTAAGAACAGCAAAAAGACAGGGTTTCACCATGTTGGTCAGGCTGGTCTTGAACTCTTGACCTCATGATCCACCCGCCTCAGCCTCCCAAAGTGCTGGGATTACAGTCGTGAGCCACAGCACCCAGCTACATTTAATTTTTTATTGATATGCAACATGCATATAGAAATGCACACGGAAACAGTCACGAAGGCTTGATGAGATTTACTCATATAACTGAGAAGTAGAACTAGCTTCACTCATGCCCAGACGGTAACTTTCTCCTTTCCTTCCTTTCCAAAGGTAACCAAGTTAACATTGTAGGTGAATTGTGTCTATTTATACAAGTATTTTACTGCACAATTTTTAAGCATAAAAATAAAATCATAGAATAGACCTGTCGCCCAGCTTCAACAACTGCTAACCCTGTGTGAAATGGCCTTTTAACCAAACATATTTGTAATACGTTGACCTAGGCTATGTTCCTAAGTGTCTTTTGAAACCCAGGGACAGAAACTAGGCTTCCAAATGTTGAGAGCTGTCTATGTGCCAGGCAAAGTTGTGAGTGCTTCACACCGCTGTCTTACATAACTCTCCCAACAACCGTATGTGGTCATTACTCTTCTCTCTCTTCCAGGTGATGAAATTTAGACACAGAGAGGCTATGTAACTTGCCCCAGGCCACACAGCTAGTATCTGGCAGAGGTGGGTTTCAAACCCAGGCACTCTGGCTCCAGAGCCTGAGCATTTAACCTCTTAACCTTAGCAACACTTTCAATTTCATCCAAGTGATTGGTTCCATCAAGCATAGAAGATACCAGATGTGGTAGAGGGAGGAGACAGAATTCTTTCCAGACACTGCCATTTGAGAGCAATGCACCATAGCAAAGTGGTTAGATACTTGAACTTTGGGGTAAATTGCACCTAGATTCTAGTCCCCCACTACACACACAGACAGCTGTGTGACCACAGGGAAATTGCTTAACCTCTCTATGCCCCAGTTTCCCTTGTATAAAATGAGGCTACTAACAGCGCTGTTAACATAGGATTGCTTGAGGGTAAAAAAAAAAAAAGTGCACAAAGCTGTTAGCATAAGTGAAATACTTAGCATAGTGCAATACTCATAATGCTCATTGCTCATAAATGTTAACTATTATGATTAATGAATGGACACCTGGCCCTTCAAGAGAGAAATTTTGCTCTTGGGTTCTGGGTGGTAGCTTGGGGAGGGGGGCCGCTTCTGCATGAGCACTGTTGTATAAAAGAGGGCAATTTCTGATCCTTGGTGAAAAACAAAGGTGCCATCTAGGAGTCCCATTGTTTGAAAGTAAGTCCGTGCCCTTCAAAGCTTGGAAGCCATCTGATTAACATGTCACCTCTGAAACCAAGGCGGAGGAGGGGACTGTTTCAAGCATTCTACCTATATGTGACAGGGACCCTGGGGAGGACCGCCTGCAAGGATGGCAGAGATGCCACGGCAAACTCATTCTTAAACTATCCAAGAAGCTACAAAGGAGGGTTTTGGAGTGAAACTGATGGATAACCCTACTCTCTCCCAATATTCTTCTTAGGAATATGTTGAAGATTTGGGTTCAGCTTCCTAGAAAACAAAAGGAAACTCTTGTTTTTTCTGGCACCTCTCTGATCTCATCACCTATGACCTACCTTCCCCACCCCCACTTCCTGCCATCTCTGTCCGCACCATTCTCTCTGCTTCCCCACACCAGGCACCCGCCCATCTCGGGGCCTTTGCACCTGCTCTTCCCTTGGCCAGAACTCTCCTTTCCAGGCAGCCAGGGGTTCGTTGCCTTAGGTCTTTCCTCTGTTACCTCCAAAGTGAGCCTTGCTTGACTGCCCTCTACAACAGTGAGCATTAGGATTTTTCAACATTAAACCCAACAACACTTTTAATAACACTTTATTTAGATGTAGTTCACATACCATAACCAAGAGAACACCTCATCTAGTTTTATGGACTGTATTTTGTGGATTCTAAAGTGCATTTTTTTCTGGTTTTTTTTTTTTTTTTTTTTTTTTTTTAAGACAGGATTTTGCTCTGTTGCCCAGGCTGTGGTGTAGCGGTGCAATCATAGCTCACTGCAGCCTCGACCTCCTGGGCTCCCCGCTCAGCCTCCTGAGTAGCTGAGACAACAGCCATGCACCATGACACCCGGCTAATTGGTTTATTTTTTGTAGAGATGGGGTCTCACTATTTTTTGCCCAGGCTGGTCTCAAACTCCTGGGCTCAAGCGATCCTCCCACCTTGCTCTCCCAAAGTGTTATAGGTGTGAGCCACCATGCCCAGCCTTTTTGCAGTTTTAACGTCTCTGACATCAGGATGCAGCTTACAGTGATAGCATGTCATAGTCTACACGGCAGTGTTTTATTTTTTCTTTCTTAGTGATACATAAAATGATGGTGTACCTTAAAATTGAAGGACTCTTTGAATCAATGAAATATGGTACCCAAAGTCTTCATAATCATTTATTCTCAAGAACTCCAAGTACAGATTTCAGCTGGACAGTTAGTAAAGATGTAAAGTACATTCTTGAACCCCCATTTGGGGTTAGATAACACTGGGGTGTGTTGTAAGGTATTGAATCTGCAGTTGCTTCTAAGTTCATGTGTATTGGACGGTGGGAATTTTTTTCATTAATGTATAATTCTTACCATTCTTTTTAGAATTGCCTTTCTTCTTTTCTGTTCCTGCTTCTCTAATGCTTGCTGGGGGATTTCTTTTCTTTTGAGAATGTTAAAAACAATAATAATGAAAAAATTTCACAGTGACTCCGTCTTTGAACACTGCTATCAAGGTGAGCGTCTAGTGGAAATTTGGGGCTTGCTGGGCTGCCACAGGCAGTTTGCATTTAAACAAACTGTGGCTTTGATTTAAGAATCTAACTTGATAGGTAATATATCTAAAGCAGAAAATAATATATACACTGTTTCTATCCGAATTATCAAGTTCTTTGTGCAACGTGTTTATTTCTCTGAGTGATTATGCATTTAATAAATAATGTGTTTCAATGGGTATTATTTTCATTTCAGTGTTTAATACTTCTACAATATGTCTCAGGTTCGGGGTTGAATGGCACCTGATAAATTACGAGCTGTTATTAGCTGCTTTCTTGTTGCATCTTAATTATTAGGTTGAAAAGAAAGGGCAGACTTTTATAAGCATTCATATTTTCTGTTTACAAGGCTTTTACTGACGTCTACTAAATTTAATTACCTCTAATAAGAAGAGGAAATGAAGTTCTATTTAGCAAATCCATAGCTTTGAAACTCATCTTGTAGCTTTATGAGCATGGCAAGCTCCAGGAAGGTGAAAGCTATTTAAGGAGCTGTTGCTGGGTTAAACTAACTGCAAAACTGTTAAATTATTTTTGTTTCCATTTTATTGCTTAACCTCCAGGGTAAACTTCGGACTACCTGATAAAGCAGCCACTCCGGAACTTTAAACTTTACATGCTTTACCCCACAGGGCCAAAGCGGGCTCCTGTATTAAAGGTACATTTTTCAAACATAATTTTAAATTTGGAAATTGATTGTGTCTTGACCTACTTATTTCCAAGAGCTGTTCATTTCTGACTCCTTTGTTTTGCTCATATTATAAATCTATTGTTCTTTCAGGAGGGCTCCCAGCTGCTGAGGGGGTGGAGGGAGGAATCAGTGCAGGGAAGATGAGCTCATTCTGCCAGCACCACCATCATTTGAATCAGACCCACAACTAACTGGGACTCCAGCTGCAGATAAAACACCTCAGGTCTGCGAGCGTCCACTTCTGACAGAGGGGCTAGGACAGAAAGAAGACTGCTGGCTTAGAAGGGTTGTGTTTGGGGAAAGAGGGATCCTACAAAATATTTAAAGGCTTATTTTATAGGGCATCAGATAGTTAATTTGGATTTATTTTTTGGTCCAATATCTTCCCAGATAATACTTTATAAGTGTCTAGGTTTCCATTTATTGTAGTCTACTGGCAGACAGACCCTTGGCAGAAAAACCATGCTACTTAGTGATAGCTCTTTCTTTTCGTGGTCTTTCTTTAAAACCTAAAAACAAGCCAGGTATTAACAGGAAGGTCTTGTGAAAGAATGATCATCTCTGAAAGGTGTCCCCAGTCCTGAGGCCTGCTCTCACTGGGACAGCTGTTCTGCTCTGAGGAGCTGCCTGGGGGCTGTCCTCAGCTCCTTCTTGGTCCTCATCACACGCTCCCCTTCCCTCCAGCCGAGGGGTCGCATCCTCCAGGAGTTTAAGATGAGCCTAGGCATCACAGCAAGACCCCCATCTTTAAAGAAAATAAAAATAAAAATTAGCCCAGTGTGGTGGTCCCTGCCTGGAGTCCTAGCTACCTAGGGGGCTGAGATGGGAGGATCACTGGAGCCTAGAAAATTGAGGCTGCAGTGAGCTACGGTCGCACTGCTGCACTCCAGCCTAGGCAACAGAGTGAGACCTTGAAAAAAAAAAAGGTAGAGAAGAAAAAGAAAGAAGAAAGAAAGAAAGAGAGAGAGAGAAGAAAGAAAAAAGAAAGAAAAGAAAGAAAGAAGAAAGAAAGAAAAAGAAGGAAAGAAAAAGAGAAAGAAAGAAAGAATGAAAGAGAAAGAGAAGAAAGAAAAAATATACAGAAAAAAATTTATTTTCTTTAGAGATGGGGTATTGCTTTCTGCCTATAAGCTTCTGGCCTCAAGTAATCCTCCTGCCTTGTGCTGGGAGTATAGGTATGAGCCATTGCACCTGGCCTTTGAGCATATGCATCTTTGCCATTTCAATTTCTTTTTTTGAGAATTGCCTGTTCAGATCTTTCAACATTTAAAAAATCTCACTCCTTTTTTTATTGATTTGTGGGAGCACTTTGTATATGGTGGAGCCACTGCACCTGGCCTTTGAGCATATTTTAAATGCATATTTGCCATTTCAATTTCTTTTTTTGAGAATTGCCTGTTCAGATCTTTCAATGTTTAAAAAATCTCAGTCCTTTTTTTTATTGATTTGTGGGAGCTCTTTGTATGTTGTGGATATTATCCCCCTCTCTGTTATGTGTCACAAGTATTGTTTTCCAGTCTATTATTTGTCTTTGAATGCTGTTCATGGTATCTTTTTATATTTATAGTATCTTATACAAGCATTTTTTATATAGTCAAATCTGTTCATGTTTTCTATTATTGCTTCTTGTTTTTCTCTTATAAGATCTTTCCATCACAAATTACTCTTTGTTTTCTCTAGGCATTTTTTTTGTTTTATGCCTTTATCTTCAATTTTTTAATTCATCTCACATTGATTTTGGTGAATAATGTGAGAGGAGGTTCTGGTTCTTTCTCCCCACCATGTCCCCCACAGATATATTTAGTTGCCTTAACACCAGTCAATGGATGATCAATACTTCTAAAACTGATTTGGAAATTTCTCTCTTTAATATTTTAACTTCTTTTTTTAATTTTTGAGACAGGGTCTTGCTCTGTCACTCAGTCTGGAGTGCAGTGGAGTGATTATGGCTCACTACAGCCTCAATCTCCCAGGCTCAACTGATCCTCCTGCCTTAGCCTCCTGAGTGGCTGTGTGTACCACCATGCCTAGCTATTTTTTTAAAAAAATATTTTTTGAGAAACAAGGTCTCACTATGTTGCCCAGGCTGATCTTGAACTCCTGAGCTCAAGTGATCTTCTTGCCTTGGCCTCCTGAAGTGCTGAGATTGCAGGCATGAGCCACTGTGCTGGCCCTAACTTCTAATTTTTAAAGGAGACTCATCTTGAGCATGCTTAAAGATCTGGAAGAAGGATCCAGTATATAGCATGAGGTTGAAGAATTCAGGAGAACTCAAAGAATGCTGGAAGAAGTCTTGGTTCTAGAAAATGGGAGGGAATTAGACCAGAGAACAAAGATTCATCTTGAAGGAGGCTGGAGGGAAGGAGGTGAGGATGGATGTCCCATGGATAACACATAGGTGAGATGATGGGAGTTGGAGGAGTTAACATCTAAAGACTCCATTTTTGTGATGAAGGGGCATGCGGCCATTTGCTGAGAGCAGCAGGAGAATTGGACATTTGTAGAAAGCAAATGTCTGACTCATCACGGAGGTTTTCGTTAAAGCAAGATGGGAAGGGTCCAGAAGAATGGTGGGGTTTGTCAAATATGTCTAATCTAAGTGTGTTTCATCACCTCCACCAATACACCCCAGTGCATCCTCTTACGTGGATTGCTGCAGTGGTCCCACACAGGCAGGGACGGGTGTCTGTCTTGTTCACTGCTTCATCTCTGCAATCTAGGACAGTGCCTAGCACATAGGAAACATTTATTAAGCACTTATTGAATACATGAATGGATACTGGGAAGCTTTTTTGCTATGGAACGAAGGTTCTGGAGGACACAATGGAATGAGTGTGGAGATGAGAAGATAGGCCGGGGAAGATACAGATGAGAAGCATGCTGGGACTTTGGGCAGCTACAAGGCAGAGCTGAGGTGTGATCACAGTCCTGGGGAAGCTACAGATGGGTTGCCCCAATTCAGCATGTGCTCAAGATTCCAAATAAGAGGCTGCCAGAGACAAGTTCTTATTCCTCTTTTAGCGGGGCAGGAAGGGGACTTGCTGGCTCTGGGGGCATTTGTCTTCCCTGGGTTACCAGTAGATCCTCAGAGCCTGGCTGCCCTGGTCATCATGTGAAGTAGCTGAAGAGTGTCTTAGGTGGCAAGTGACCAGGGCCCCAAAGAAGCCCTTGCCTGGGTGGCTGGGGAGAGAGGATTGGCTGCCATGGAAGACCACACACCATGATAGTGGTGGACAGGCAGGGGTGACTTAGTGACTGAACCTTCCCTTGACAGAAGCAGAAACCATCTGTGATGTCGAGAAGTGACCGAGCCCACAAAGAAGGCTCTGTCTAGATTGTAAACCTACAAAAACATTTTTGGAATGAATGAGTGATTAGATGGCTGAATGAACAGTTGTATAACAGATGGACATTTTCCATTTCAAAGGGAATGGAGTCCAATGGGATTTCCTCTGGACTATCCCACTTACTTCTCCAGTAATCATTAGTGCGGTTTGTCAAAGACTTCTGTCTTCCCACCTTCTGAGAACATGGTAAGATTGCACTTCCCAGCCTTAGGTAGGACACATGATGAGTTCTGGCCCAAGAGTTTTGAGCAGAAGTATCGTGGGTTGTGTTCAAACCAAAGAATTTACTTGCTGGTGCAAGAACTTTGGACATCTTTTTCTCTGTCGTGTGCTGCTCTGTTAGCTGGAGTCCCTGGATGAGTAGGAGGAGCCCCTTTGACAACCCATGACGGACCAATAGCATGAGTGAGAAACATGGGGGGTGCTTGTTACCTAGCATAACTTAGTCTAGCCCAACTGACACACCTTCTCATCTAATCTGAACTCCAATTATAACTATTCCTAGAGGAAAGAAAAAGGAAGCCTAGTTTTCAGTTACCAAATTTCTTTTCTTTCCTTTGTAAAAAATTTTTTTGTGGTAAAAAATATGTATAACATTTATCATTTGTTTAGGCCGGGTGCAGTGGCTCATGCCTGTAATCCCAGCACTTTGGGAGGCCAAGGCAGACAGATCACCTGAGATCAGGAGTTCAAGACCAGCCTGGCCAACATGGTGAAACCCCATCTCTACTGAAAAAACAAAAAACACCAAAATTAGCCAGTCATGGTGGTGGGCACCTGTAATCCCAGCTACTCAGGAGGATGAGGCAGGAGAATTGCTTAAACCTGGGAGGTGGAGGTTGCAGTGAACTGAGATCGTGCCATTGCATTACAGCCTGGGAGACAAGAGTGAAACTCCATCTCAAAAAAATATATATATCATTATTAATATTTTTAAGTGTACTACTCAATGAAATCAAATACATTCACATGGTTGTGCACCCATCACCACTATACATCTCCAAAACTGTTTTTATCTTCTCATTCTGAACTTTGTACCCATCAAGGAATAATCCCCATTCCCCCATCCCTCCAACCGCTGGTAACCACTGTTCTCCTTCCTGTCTCTGTGAATTTGTCTATTCTAAGCACCTCATGTAAGTGGAATTGAATAGTATTTGTCCTTTTGTGTCTGGCATATTATGCTTAGCACAATATCTTCAAGGTTCCTCTCCATTGCAGCATGTATCAGAATTTCATTCTGTTTTAAGGCTGAATCATGTGCTACTGTATATTTTGTTCCATATACTACATTTTGTTTGTCCATTCATCTTCAATGGACATTGAGGGTTGTTTCCATCTTTTGGCTACTGTGAATAATGCTGCTATGAAAATGGGTGTACAGAGACTTGTTCGAATCCTTGCTTCCAATTCTTTTGTGTATGTAACCAGAAATGGAAGTGCTGGGTCCTATGGTGATTCTATGTTTGATTTCTAAGGGTCCATCGTACTGTTTCCCACAGCAGCCAGGCACGTGGGTTCCAATTTCTCCATCCTCACCAACATTTGTTTTCTGTTCTGTTTTGTTTTTTTATGATAGTCATCCTAGTTGACATGAAGTGATGTCTCACTGTGGACCTGATGGTGTCTTCTCAACCCTTTCTTTGCCAAGTAGGAATGAAGCCATAGTTATCCCTGTCTCTGCAGGTCAGAAAAATACATCCAGTTTGACTCTAGGTAGAAAAGCACCCCTTGACACAATTAGGTCATGAATGAATTCAGGCTTTTCTACCTCTTCTTCCTGTGTCTTATGCTCCTTTCCAAATGCCCCTTTGAACAATCCCTGTTCCTCACTGAGGACCTCATTTACACTAACAAGAGACTGAGACCTCCCAGAAATGTTTGCTGTTTAAACACAGGGAGGGAGGAATACATTGCCAATGGCGCAAGTTCAAAATCCCATGAGGAAATATTTTGGGGGTGGGAAACCCCTGAAATTGAATGCCATGGATAATAATGCCTCCCAAGAAGGATGCCCTATCCCCACAAGCCACATCCTGAGTCACAGCTCTACCTATTCCTCGTGCTGCTGTTTGATTTACTGTATTTGGAGTTAGGCTTTCCTGGATGTGCTATTTAAGTGACAGCATGATTCTATGACTTTACCCAGAAGTTTCCCTGGGAACCCATAAAGCCCGACTATAACATTCAGCATCTTTATTGGAGTTGAGCCTATAATAGGACTGAAATGGAGTTCTAACATTCTGGAATGTTCTTAGGCTCTGCCAAGCGATTGCTGCTTGCAGGATCTCAGAGGCTTGATGTGGGCACTGTGAGGCAAAGGCGTCAGGATATAGACTCAGGCTCGGCGTGTCTGGTTTGTCAGGCCTTGTCAGATTCCATCTTCAAATAGGACAACCATTAACCCTGGAAGCACCCCAGAGTGACAGCCAGAGTGGCCCCAGAGCTCTTAGCTGTGTGCCTTTGGACATGGAAGCTGGGGGCTGCCACTTCCTGTGCCCGTAGGAGGTCGGGGTGTGGAGCTGTGGCCAGTGAGACTGAGGCTACAGGAAAGTTGGCCTCCCCAGCTCTGGTCAGTGATTTGGTCCTAAGTAGCTCTGCTTGACTGTTACAGGAGATAACTCTGATAGAGCCAGGGTCTAAGGAGTGGAGATAGTGGAGGTGATTTCTGAAAAGGTTGGCAGCTACCAGGATAGGCAGCGCCCCCTCCTCTTTCCTCTTGAGTACTGTGGGCAAGAGCCATGCTGACCGTGCAGCCCCACTGTCACCGGCTTCTCCTCTCTCCGCTCCACCTTGGATGCCTCTCACTTGGCTGCTGGGCACCTACTGAGGCTCTAGGACTACATCTTTGCCATGAAGAAGAACCATCATGGGGAAAAGACAATTTCTTTTGGTCCCTGCTCCAAAAGGAGACAAGACCCCACCCCGTAATTCCTCATAAGAAAGCTGAGACCACACAGCAATGATGGCTGAAGGTTGAGCGCGGGTTTGATGACAACTACAGGGACCTACAACATCCAAAAAGAAAACCAAACGCTAATACTCAGACTCTCTCCCTAGAAACCAGGGGTCCTTCCACTTCACAAGGGAGGCTATGTCTGCCACCTCTTTGTTTATCCCCCACCTTGCTACCAAATGCAAGAACCAGACAAGAAGTCTCTTCCTGATGGTCCTCTCTTTCCTCACTCCTGGTCTGAAGTCCTCACTGTTGAGCTCTTGTAAGAAAATGTTTTTTTAAAAATCAGATAACATCGTAATAGTTTCTGCAGAGATAGGCATCGTTCTTTGTGAAGCCAGCCTTTGACATGCTTAGCGTCTCATCTGTGATATGTGTCTCTGGATGACTGTACTACCTCAGGACAGTGAGGGAGGGTCTTATCCTAATTTCAGCATGAATTAACTTGCCCCCCACAAGGGGCTCCTCCCACAGTGGGAGTTACCTCAAAGGCCAGCCCAAAGACCTGTCCTTGGAACTGCCAAGAGTTTAGAAACACTGGAGTCGAGTTGCAAGCCACCCTGCTAATACTTCCTATTTCTCAACTACAGAATGGCCAGTTGCCCCCACAGCTGCAAGGAGATAGCAACCAGATCATTAGATTGGATCCCAAAGAACATTCCAATCCATTCTCCAGCAGGCTTTCATTGAACACCCTCACCTCCTGCTACATCCTGGGAGGACCCTGGCCCAGATAAACCCACTTTAGTAGAAAGAAAGAACACAACAGAAATAGCACAATGTGATTCATAATCAAAGACTGACTCAGAAAAGGAGACTTCAGTTAGCAGGAAACGTGTCATAAGGCCATATTCTGGAGTACATTTGCTCTGGGAATTTGTAACACAATCTTAGAATTCCAGAGCTGGAAGGATCTTGAAAACCAACTATTCTAATTTCTTCATTTTCAAGGAAGGAGGCTGAGATCTCAAACAGTGATATGACTTGCCCAAGGTCAAACAGCTTAGTGAGGTCACAACTGGGCCTGGTGCTTGGGTTTGCTAACTTCTGGTTCTTCATGTGTATCACGGCAAAACTGATGCTGTGTGCAGGAGTCGGCTCCTGAGGCTTTAAAGGAAGGAGAAGGATTAATCTTACCTGAACTCACTGGGGCTTAAGTTGGCTGGAAGCAGCATGAGCTTCCTCTGCCTCTGAAGACCCAGGCCTGACTCATTTGTGACTGGATCATTTGCCTGGCAAGCCAGCAGCATCCTGGCTAATCTCTACCCTCTCCCTCTCCCCTTCAGTCCACCAGCAATCTCCCTTACACCCAGCTCTAGTTGGTGCCATGCCTCCACTCAGGTCCTTCCAGTGACTCCCACCACCCTCTTGGGATCTGCTAAAGTTAGTGGATGCACTTTTTTTCCTTGACTAAGTCTTTCATTGATCCTTTTCATCACTGCCAAAAAGGTTACTTTCTAAAAATGGAGATATATTTCATACACCAAAAAATTCATCCTCTCAAAGTGTTCAAGTCAGTGATTTTTTTTTATTTTTTATGGATACATATTTGTACATATTTGTGAGGCATGTGATTTTCTGATACATGCATACAATGTGTAATGATCAAATCAGGGTAATTAGGATATCCATCACCTCGAACATTTTTCATTCTTTGTTTTGGGAACATTTCAAATCTTCTCCTCTAGCTATTTTGAAATATACAATAAATTGTTGGCAACTGTAGCCACCCTACTGCACTATCAAACCCTAGAACTCATTCCTTCTACCTAATTCTGTTTGTACCCATTAACCAACCTCTCTTCACCCTACCTTCCACCCTTCCCAGCCTCTTGTAACCATCATTCTACCTCTACCTCCACGAGATCAACTTTTTTAGCTCTCACATATGAGTGAGAATATGTGATATTTGTCTTCTGTGCCTGGCTTGTTTCAATTCAGTGATTTTAGTACATTCACAAAGCTGTAACCCCATCACCGTTATCTAACTTTAGAATATTTTCATCACCTCCAAAACAAATCCCATACCCATTAGAGGTCACTTCCCATACCCACTACCCTACAGCCCCTGGCAACCATTTATCCATTTTCTGTCCCTCTGGACTTCATTATTCTAAACCTTTCATATAAATGGAATCATACAATATGTGGCCTTTTGCATCTGATTTCTTTCCCTTAGTACAATATTTTTGAGGTTCCTCTATGCTGTAGCATTTATCAGTACTTTGGTGCTTTTTTATGGCTGAATAATATTCTGTTACATGGCTAGACCACATTTTGTTTATTCATCAACTGATGAACACTTGTTTCCACTTTTTGGCTATTATAAATAATGTTGATATAAACATTCATGTACAAGTTTTTGTGTGGACATATGTTTTAAGTTGTCTTGGATGTACACCTAGAAGTGGAATTGCTGGGTTCTATAATAGCTACATGATTTAACTTTTGTGGGAACTGCCAAACTGTTTTCCGAAGTGGCTGTGCCATTTTACATTCTCAATAGAAGTTTACGAGCGCTCCAGTTTCTTTGTATTTTCACCAACACTCATTATTGTCCATCTTTTTTATTATAACTGTCCTATAACTGGCATAGGACTTGTATGCCAGGAAATGGGGATGAAGACCAAATATATATTTCACAGCATGTTTTCAGGCACTTATTTGTCATTTCTATATAATCTTTGGAAAAAATGTCTATTTAAATCCTTTGCTTATCTTTTTTTTTTATTTTTTTGACAGAGTCTCATTCTGTCACCCAGAGTGTAGTGGTGTAATCTTGGCTCACGGCAACCTCCATCTCCTGGGTTCAAGTGATTCTCCTGCCTCAGCCTCTTGAGTAGCTGGGATTACAGGTGTGCACCAACACACCCAGCTAATTTTTGTAATTTTAGTAGAGATGGGGTTTCACCATGTTGGCCTGACTGGTCTTGAACTCTTGACCTCAAGTGATCTGCCCACCTTGGCCTCCCAAATTGCTGGGATTAGAGGCGTGAGCCACCATGACTGGCCCTTTGCTTATCTTTTAATTGAGTTGTTTCTGTTTTTATTGTTGAGTTGTAAGAGTTCTTTATATATACTGGATATTAGTCCCTTATCAGCTATAAATATTTACTCTCATTCTGTGGGTTGTCTTTTCGCTTTCTTTATAGTGTCATTTGAAGCACTAAAGTTTTTAGTTTTGATGAAGTCCAAGGTATCTGTTTTGTTTCCTTTGGTTGCATGTGCTTTTGGTGTCCCATTTGTCCAAGGGTTTTTAAGAGCCCCCTTTATTTTATTTATGTCCAAGACGATATGGAGTGACATTGCGATGGTAATGGCACATCTCTGTAGGAGTCACCTCTTTTTGGTTGTGCTGATCAGGGTTCCCAAAACGGTCTTAAGGGAGGACACAGAGGGGTTACACTATGGGTGCACAGCTGAGCAGCTGCTTCCAAGGGGTAGGTGGGAAAGCATTCAAGGAACAAATTGTGGGCTATGATGAGATCCAGTTGCAACGGTCTTTTATTTCATTTGAGAGGAGCAAGTACCTCCTATTTGCTTTAAAACATTCAAAGGATAGATAGACAGAGACAGATGTCAAGCTCTTCTCTGGGGGCTTTTTTGCATATTTGGCTGGTCTCTTGGCGTGCATTTGATTAAGGTTTAACCAACTGACATCTTCTTCTCCATGGACAGCAGGCTTTGGGTGCGGAAGTGGCAGAAGGGCCTTCCCACTTGGCCCTTGCCTCTAGTCCTGCAGCAGACTGCTAATCTTGGTGGCTCAGGGGTATCTCCTCTGTCCCGCTCTCTGCAGGGTAGACTGTCTGAGCCCTTGTGTCAGTGATAGGTTTTGCCTTCCTGATTCTAACAAAGCCCATCTGTAGGTCCTGGTGGATGTCACTCAGAGAATGACTCAGTCCTCACAGGGTCCTTTGGTGAACCTAGTCTGTCCCAGAGCAGGAAGGACCCAATGGGAGCACTGACAGATCTTAGCACTCTGGAATTTGGGGGATTTCTGTCACATGTTCAGGGAAGTCATCTTGCTTTCCCCATTGGGCTAAGATCCCTGCATTCTGACATTCTGATGTGTAGGGTTTAAAACCAGATGGTTGCTTTCTTCTATCTACGTTTTTGTTTGTTTGTTTGTTTGTTTTTTAGAGTCTCACTCTGTCACCCAGGTTGGAGTGCAGTGGCACAATCTCAGCTCACTGTAACCTCCGCCTCCTGGGTTCCAGCAATTCTCATGCCTCAGTCTCCCAAGTAGCTGGGACTACAGGCATGCACCACCACACCCAGCTAATTTTTGTATTTTTAATAGAGACAGAGTTTCACCATGTTACCCAGGCTGGTCTCAAACTCCTGGCCTCAAGCAGTCCACCCACCTTGGCCTCCCAAAGTGCTGAGATTACAGGCTTTTGGTTCTCTCCCTTCCTGGTCCAAGTCCCTCTGCCAGCTTCCAACCGGCAGCCTGGGCATAGCCAGAGTTCCAAATTTGCTATGAAAATAAATGAATAAGGCCTTTGAAGAGGAAAGCCCTGGTGGTTTTTGAGTGAAGTCTTTAAGTCCATGGCCTTGTGGCTTGGCCAGTGGGACGTGCCATTGAGTAGATCTTAGAAAGAGGAGAGCTAAGCAGGGGTTGGCCGAGAAGGCACTTCGAATGGCGAAGGAGGCTTTGATGGATTTGCCGCCTAATGCGATGGATCTGTTATGCTCCCAAGCCTCACGCCCACATCCCTAGGATGGATCATGCAGTTGAAAAGTGAGAGATGAAACACCCTGCCTCCTTCTCATTTATTAGGACTTAGAGAAAATGAATCTGATCTGGTGCTCTCCGGGGTCAGCACTGGACTCATTCCTTTTTAGCTGGGAGATGGTGGGTCTGGAAAGGTTAGCATCCATCTAGTTCCCCAAAGCTGTTAGCCAGCAAGCTCGGAGGCCCAGGAAGTAGGGCGGGGGAGGTTTTGGGGGAGGGGCTCAGGGAACCACAACATTAGGGAATGAAGTTTGCTGTTTGACCCTCCTGGCCATGAAGGTTAAGGGGCTCGTGACAACTGATGATTTCTCAAGGGCATTTTGTTTGCAGATGGCTTTCTAGTGATTTAGGCAGGTTGTGAGTGGATCAATACTTTTCTTAGGAGTTCCTGAAATCCCTGACTGCTTAATAGTTGCACCTAAGCAGTTATTTCTAGCAATTGTGCCCAATGGTAGAAGAGCCACCTCGCTATTTGTAGCTGCCATCTGACAGCCTGCTATGTGACAGACACTACACTAGATGTTTTGTGAATTTGTATCATTAGTTTGTATCATTTTGTAGATGAGTCAACTGAAACTCAGAAGGATTAAGTCTCTTCAGCACTGTCCTATGATCAAACTGCTCAAGCTGGAATAGGCCCCCTGCTTGTGAGCTTATATAGGGCACCCAAACCTGCTAAGCCTCCATTTCCTTATCAGTTAAATGAGATAAGACATGCTAAGTCCTTGGCCCCATGCCTGGCATAGAGTCAGCACTCAATAAATGGCAGCTAAGGTGCAGTGCAGACCCCCTGAGTCTGCTCACTTGCTTTCTTTCTCTTTTCTCTTTTCTTTTCTTTTTTCTTTTCTTTTTTTCCTTTCTTTTCTTTTCTTTTCTTTTTTTCTTTTCTTTCTTTGATATAAGGTCTTGCTTTGTCACCCAGGCTGGAGTACAGTGGTGCAATCACAGCTCACTGCAGCCCTGAACTCCTGGACTCAAGCCGCCCTCCTGCCTCACCCTCCTGAGTAGCTGGGACCACAGATATGCACCACCACGCCTGGCTAATTTTTTCTCTTTTTATAGAGACAGGGTCTCTTTTTATTGTCCAGGTCAGTCTCAAACTCCTGGGCTCAAGTGATCCTCCCGCCTCAACCTCCCAAAGTGTTGGGATTATAGGCGTGAACCACTGCACCCAGCTAGAGTCTGTGTTCTTTTCGTAATATCACAGGAACCTTGAGATAAGAAGGAAGATGTGTGGTTGGATTTTGCAAATGTGTATACTTCTAAGTCACACTCAACCAGAAATACACAACACTAAGCCACTGACCTGCTCAGCAGAACACAGCGTGCCCAGGCTCTAGATCCAGGCCAGGCACCCATCCTGGGCCCACCACTCCCCAGCTGTGTGACCTTGGCAAATTAAAGAACCATCCTGTGTCTCTGATGCTTTATCTATAAAATGAAGATAATAACAGTACCTACCTCATAGATTGCTGAGAAGATTAAATGAGTTAATATACAGAAACGCTCAATGAACGTTAGCTGTTATTTTTACCATACTTTCACAGGCAGGGAATGGAATCACAGCCATTTGCTGTGCCAGATTTCTGGTAAGTCAATGGTTAAGTTCATGGGGGTATAAGCTGCTGCTTCAAGGCTACAGAGTAGACATCGGGAAGAAGCTTCTGATATTGCTGGATGTTAAACACAGGAATAAATAAAGAAAGGAAACTGAATATCTTAGAAAGAGGGGAGCAGGTGTGAGGCAGTAGAGGAAATTGCTGGATGGAGTCAGAAGACCTGAGTTCCTGTCCAGGCTCTGCCACTAGCTAACTGGGGTCAGGGGGAGGAGGTCTTGGCTGGGTATAAACTCCTTGGGAATTAATTCTTTCATCCATAAAATGAGAAAGTTAAAGTGAATCCATTTGTTTGGACATTTATTCAACAAATATTTATCAATCACCAATGTTCCAGGCACTGGGGATACATTAGAGAAGACTTCTCTCCTGGGGCTAACCTTCCTGTATAGCGTGTAAGGCGAGGACAGAAAGCAAGTAGACTAGGCACAGTGGCTCACGCCGGTAATCCCTGCACTTCAAGAGGCCGAGGCAGTTAGATTTCTTGAGCCCAGGAGTTCGAGACCAGCCTGGGCAACATAGTGAAACCCCAGCTCTACCAAAAATACAAAAAACAAAAAAAATTAGCGGGGCATAGTGGCACACACCTACAGTCCCAGCTACTCAGGAGGCTGAGGTAGGAGGGTCACCTGAGCCTGGGGAGATTGAGGCTGCAGTGACCTGTGATTGAGCCACAGCACTCCAGCCTGGGTGACAGAGCAAGACTCTGTCAAAAAAAAAAAAAAAAGAAAAAAAAGAAAAGAAAAGAAAGCAAATAGACCACCAAACAAGATAATTATAAATGGTGATAAGTGCCTCTAATGCACTAAAATAGAGAGTTGGAGGAGGGGGGGTTGGCAGGGGTGGCCTCCTGGAGGAGGTGGTGTTTATATTGATCCTAGAAAAATGGCCAGATCTGAGGAAGAACATTCTAGGCAGAGACTTGGGGGTGGCAAAAGAATCGGCGTGTTAGGGGAAGAGAAAGGAGGCCTGGGTGGTAGAGACTAGTGAGCGTGGCGGGGAGAAGTGCAAGCTGCAGAGACGAGTTGTGCAGAAGAGCTTGGTCAATGGAGGCCGTGCACAGGGCGAGGGGCTATTTTTCTCTTAACAACTATGGGGAGTCTTGGGGGCTTAAGCTGGGGAGTAGCATCATCAGATTTTCCCTGTTTGAAACCCAGTCCAGCTGCTGAGTAGAGAAAAGATCGGAGAGCAGCAGGAAGGTAAACTCAGAGCAGAGTACGGGAGTGGTTCAGGAGCTGGTGGGGACAGCAGGGATGGGAAAGTGGATGGATTCAGATGGAGTTTGGTGGTAGGATGGAAGGATGGTCTAGATTGGTGTGGAAGCTGAAGGAAAGAAGGTGTGAGGGATGAGCCCCCACTGTGGGGCCCAAATTCTTGATTTGATTAGGTTCTGCTGCAGTAACAAACACCCTGAGTAGCTTGTAACACAAAGCTTCATTTCTCGCTGAGATCACATGTCAGCTACAGTTTGCTGTGGGCTGCATGTGGCATCTGCTCCACGTCTTTTTCATTCCAGGATCCAGCCTGAAGGAGCAGCTTCTATTCTGGATAGACTGAAAGACAGGAAGAGAACCGGCAGAAACATGCAATGGCTCTGAAAGCTTCTGCCAGCTGGGCATGATGGCTCGTACCAGTAATCCCAGCACTTTGGGAGGCCAAAGTGGGAAGATTACTTGAGCCCAGGAGTTTGAGAACAGCCTGAGTGACATAGCAGGACCCCGTCTCTACCAAAAGAAGAAGAATAATAATAAATTAGCCTGGCTTAGTGGTGCATGCCTGCAGTCCCAGCTACTTGGGAGGTTGAGATGAGGGTATTGCTTGAGTCCAGGAGTTCAAACCTGCAGTGAGCTATGATCGTGCCACTGCACTCCAGCCTGGGCAACAGAGTGAGACAAAAAAAAAGATGAAAGAAAGAAAAAAAGGAAGAAAGAAGAAAGAAAGAAAGGAAGAAAGAGAAGAAGGAAGAAGCAGGAAAGAAAAAAGAGAAGAAAGAAATAAAGAAGAAGGAAGGAAGGAGGAAAGAAAGAAAGAAAGAAGAAAGAAAGAAAGAGAAGAAAGAAAGAAGGAAGGAAGGAAGAAAAAGAAAAAGCTTCTGCCAACATCATGTCCACTCATATGCCTTTGGTTAAAGCAAAGGCCAAGCCCAATGTCAAGGGGAAGGACTGCAAACTCTTCCCGCAGGATGCATGGCAAGTCGCAGGGCAGTGAGCAGAGACGTGGGATCCTCCTACAGGGAGGGCAGTGATTATTTAGGAGCAGCAACAAAATTTACCACAGGGCCCGGGCCACCAGGTGAACAGCGGTAGGGGAAGGGGCTTCATACAGGGCTAATACGGACCTGGGTGGAAGGTAGAGAGAGGAGGTTTGGAGCAAAAAGTATGGGGACAATGTCCATGTCCGTAATCATCCCTTCACCTTTTGTCATCTGAGTTCCCAGCAGGGTTTGGATCAAATGTTAATTGAATGTGTCAGGCCTGGGCCGGCCTGAGAACAGCATGCCCCAGAGGGGGCGATCCTATGTGGTTAAACTGTTTCAGAGAACACACACCAGGTGTTCTAGAGACCAGAGGGCGTCCGGGTTAACTTCCCTCAAGAAAAAGGCAGTTAACCCAAGCCCTTCTGTTTTGTCCATCCACTCATTTCAGTCGAACCACCGAGTTCTTGGCAGGAGAAGAGGGGCCCCCTTCTTTGTTTTCTCTTCTCGACTCCAGGCTCAGGATCTCAAGGGCCTCTGGGAAGGTCAAGCGCTAGTCCCCTACTTTCCTTTTCAGAGATCAAAAAATGGTTCCCTGATTGAACAATGGCCTGGCCATCTGCGAGATGTTAACTGCATAATGGAATGTAACTTGAAGGGCTTTTGAAAACACGAAGAGAGATTTTATTGTAACTAATCGTGATGGATGGTGAGTGTGGTCACACTAGGAACATAAATCTTGGTGCCAAGCCTGGGACTGAAAAAGCCAACTAACTCCGGAGTTCAGAGAGCCTTGTCCTCAGTCACGGGCATGTCACATGTTAAAGGTTCTGAGACCTCATCCGGGGTGAGAGAGGGTAGATGCCCTCGCTTTTGGTGGCCTTTGCCTGGCCGGTTCTCGGCTTCTCCACCTGTGAAGTCACTCTGGCTGCCCTTGCTTGAGGGATAGGCTGCCTGGTGCACCCCCTCTCAGCTCCCATGAGTGGACAGGGAGTCAGGCTCCCTGGGAAGGAGCTGGATAGAGCTGTGGAAGCTCCGAATCCTCTTCCATTTACTAAAAGAGAAGAATGAGTCAAAGATTAGGGCATGCTCTTAGCAGAAAAGTTCATATGTAATAGCTGCTCCTATTAGCGAAGTTCACTCTTTTAGAACCATCTCAGCTCCCATGAACATGGCCAGGACTCTTCCTTCATAAAGTTTGTCAATTAATCAGGTCAAGGTTTTGTGGCTTTTGGTGAAGAGCAAGAACACAGGACCTGGACTTGGAGGTTCTGAACCTGTTTTCCCCTCCATAATCTGTTAAATGGGTATAATAATACTTAGGTTACCTAATTAAAAGGGTTTGTGTGAGGAGCATATGAGATGTATGTCTGAAAGTGTTTTGTAAAACATTAGAATATATTATTTTTGTTCAATTTGAATTTGGAAAACAACTCAAAAAATATCCTCAGATATCACTGTTATTTTTTTTTTCCTGAAAAAACATAGAGCAACAAAACACAACAAAACAAAAATGCCAAAAAGGAGATGGGAATACTGGATTAGCCTCTTTTTCAAAATGGAGAATGTGGCTTGGCTTCCAATTCCCACCTCCTACCTCCAACTTTTAAAGAAAAAATTTCTGAAACTCAGCACTTTGGAATCTGATAATGCTATGGTCTTAAAGTTTGTGTCCTGCCCCTCCCCATCAAATTCATACATTGAAAACCTAATCACCAAGGTGAGCTTTGGGAGGTGACTAAATCATGGGGACCACCCTCCTGAATGGGATTTGTCTCCTTATAATAGAGGCCGCAGAGAGGTGCCTTGACCCTCCACCCTGTGAGGACTGTATTAGAAGGCCCTGTCTATGAGGAAATGAACTCTTTACCCGATGCCGAATCCGTGTTCATCTTGGACTTCCCAGCCTCCAGAGCTGTGAGAAACAAATGTCTCTTGTTTATATGATTATGGCATTTTTGTGACAGCAACCGGAATGGACGAAGACAGAGAATATTTTGCATTTTTCCTATGGAGACTGTGGCAAATCTTGCTCTGAAAAAAATACTCTTTCTAGATAACTTTTCTGTGGGTCTTTGCCACATGATGTTCTAATTTGTATAACACTGTGCTGAGACTAGGCCAGCACTTTCTGATGCTGAGTAATGCACCATCTTCAGGGCAAGGGACCAGTGTCCAGGGGCCACAGAAAGCATCGCAGACCAGGAAGAGCACACGGCTTTCACCCAGGTGACTGTTCCCATCCACTGGTAGTAGCTGGCTTGTCATCTGGAAGAGCCGGGATCAAAGCCAAAGAGGATTATGCCTGAGCACCCTATGAGCTGCCCAGGCCATCTGCATACTAAGCCCTGCTCTTCTGGGATTGGGGGTTCTCCTTGAATTTCCAGATCCTTCTCAGGGCTCCTCTACGTCTGGCATTGAAAATGGCCTCTTTGTCACTCCTTGGATTATTTTTCATTTTTATTTCTTCAGCTTCCAGAAGTACTTTAAAATTTGGGATCCATTAGTTGTAGTCTTTTAAGTCTTCTAGAATAGTTACAGACTGTATTTTATTCTTAGAAGCCTTTTCTATGTAATTTTGAAAATTAGGAGGAGATAACTGTCGGACTCAATTCTCCATGTTAAAACCACCTCTCTGGAGTTATATAGTTCTTTCTGAATGTATTAAGGTCATCCTTAGAACGTAAAAGATAATTTTTTGGGTAAATATTCTATGAATAATTTTTAAAATATAATCTTTCTATGGGATACAATTTGATACATAAATATTATTATATTGTTACCTAATATAATAGCATATTATTATATAACAAATTATATATTATATATATACAAATTATATATTATAACATATATGATCACAAATATATACATTTTATGATCACATATTATATATAATAGCATATTATTATATAATATGCTATTATATATAATATATATTAACATATGACCTTATATTATCCAAATAGTCTATATTCTTATTCTTGAATCCTTTTGTTTTAGGGTTATCTACCTAAATAGCATTTTTTTTACTTTATTTGAGAATCTCTGAATTTAATAGGGTTAACTCATTTGTATGGGTTTGTATTTAATAGTTAATCCATATATTGTGACAGTAATGTTTGGTTTTCTAATGTTTTGTTTTGGTTTTTAGGTTTATTTGATTTCCCTTCATTCCTTTTTAAAAAATATGAACTATGTTTTCTTCCTTCCTTTTATTAAAAAATAATTTAGAGGGACAGACCCCATTTTTGTTCTGCTAACGACAACACAGTTTTTCACATGTGTCTTTGATCATTTTTCTCTATCACTGTAAATCAGTATCTATCAAACTTTCCCATGTGTATAATGGAAAATGTCTTGAATTTGTATTTTACCTTATTAAATTGGTTTTCTGCAGTCTCCAACCTGCTGTTCATATGAGGGTTTTTAATTAATCAATTGTGTTTTCTCTCCATTCACTCTCCCCTTATCTCGGATGGTTTCTTTCTTACCCTGCTTGCTCTAGTTTCTGGATTCAATGTCTTCTTGAATATTGTTGAAAAGGCAAATCAGAAGTTTCCTAAGGCTGTGTCTATTTCCTGCTGTAAGTCTGTATGGCAAGAGAATGTTTTCTACTGCCCATCAGGCGACCTCCTTCTGCAGACCTGCAGGCCCTCCTAAGGTGTAGGGAGTTTTTTATGTCCGTGCAGCAGGAGCCCTGGCTCTTCCTGCCATCTCCCTCCGAGCAAGGACAGTCCTATGGGCTTTTGTCAAGGTCTTCTCCATTTGCTTCCTGGGTAGGCTGCTCTGAAATTGACAGTGATCGTGACCTGCTCTTCTGCACCCCTCTCTGCCACGCTAAGATCACTCCTAAGAAGAGCAGTGGTATTTGACTGATAGGATGACAATAACCAATCCTTACTGGGTTTTCATTGCCTTGTGGGAGACACAAAATAAAACCACATAATGTCACTCAATCAATGTTGGGCCTGTCCCTAGATTATAGGTAGTCTCTGATCTCATACAAAAATACTAATAACCAATTTCTTTCCATGAAAAATTTGATCTTTTAAAAAAAAGTACATTAATAGATACAGCAACTCCTGTTCTTGCAACTGATCCATCAGCAATAATTGCGGCTGTGTACAGTTGGTCTGTGATGCTGAAGGCAGAGTTGTCTTACATTAACATAAAACTGTATATAGACAAGGGGCCTAAAAATGAAGGATTGATTGATTGATCGATTGATCAACTAAGGCCTTTTCTTGCAGCCCTTAAAAATAATGTAGGAATATTTAATGATGTGGTGATAGTTTCATTGTTTAGCAAATAGAGTCGCAAATCCTTGTTTGATCCCATTTAAAAAAAATAATATTCATGGCTAGGCATGGTGGCTCACACCTGTAATCCCAGCATTTTGGGAGGCCAAGGTGGGCGGATCATATGAGATCAGGAGTTTGAGACCAGCCTGGCCAACATGGTGAAACCCTGTCTCTACTAAAAATACAAAAATGAGCTGGGTGTGGTGGTGGGCGCCTGTCATCTCAGCTATTCGGGTGGCTGAGGCTGGAGAATTGCTTGAACCAGGGAGGCGGAGGTTGCAGTGAGCTGAGATAGTGCTATTGCACTCCAGCCTGGGTGACAGAGAGAGACTACGTCTCAAAAACAAAAACAAAAAAAACCCAAAACAAAACAAAAAACAAACAAACAAAAAATTCATAAGAGTGTATGAGTGTGTGTGTGTGCGTGAAAGAGAGAGAGAGGGAGAGAGAGAGACAGAGAGAGAAAGAGAGGAGAGAGAAATAACTGTACAACAATATGCCAATACATTAATATTAATTTCTGGATAAAGTAATTATAGAGATTTAGACATTTTCCTTTATTTTAGTTTTCTGAATTTGCCTACATTACCTTCAATACATATGTAGTACTTTAATAGTAAGAAAAAAGTGGTAATTTTTGAAGAAGCAGTTCATTGGAGGAATTCTGGAAACCGTTATAGACATTATCTCCTTACTACATGATTTTCCTATTGTTTTATTTTTCAAGTAACAAAATGAGAAAAAGCTGGATATTCTGGACACGCTATTGACGAGAAATCATATTAATATTCATTTTTATAATCCTGTTACATTGGAAGGTTCTGAAATAACTTCTGAATTACAAAAAAGAGGTGTAATTCTCTTCTGTGTATGTGCATTTAAATTTAAATTTAAATTACATTTATAAACTCATGGAATTCTTGAACTTTGGAGGATCTTAGAGGCAGCGGTCAGCTGGGGCTGGTTCAAGGTGGCTTGAGGCATCTCCTCCCAACTATGCACTGAGTAATGTCAGATCGGTAGCTTGAAATCAGTTACAGTCACAGTATTTACACCACGGCAATCGGCAGATGCTACAAATTAGGACTCCCCTCTCTGGAGCTGGTTGCTAAACATTTACCAGCACACCATTACTTTAGGGGTGATCTAAACCATGAAGAAACTGGGGCTGGGGGAAATGAAGTGATCTGCCCAAGGTCACTTGACAGCTAGGGGACAGAGCTGGCTTGACAGTCAGGCCTCCCTACACATTCCAGCTTCCAAGGGCTCTGCTAAAAACAGCACAACTCAATTTTTGCCAGTGCTGAAGACAAGTGTGTTTATTGCTTTTAGGAGGAGGGAAAACTTCACTTCTCAAGTCTCAAGAAAAATGAGCAGGGTGCTCATAACCATTATTTTGTTTTATGTGAGTTCACAGAGAGACAGAGCGATAAGTAAAGACAATTAATCTACATGTGAAACTAAGCATTTCCCAGATAATTGTTTTTTTTATAGCTTAAATCCCTGTATTAGACAACACAATATTCTTAGCGTTTGTGCAATGATTTGTTAATTAAATTGCTGCTAAAACAATCTTTATTTTTCACCTTAAAATCAGCAGAATATCAATCTACAATCAATACAGTGTTGCCTGGAGGCATCTCTTGCTTCAAATTTGCTTCACAAATCTGCTGCAGGTAATTTATACCCAGTCAATAAGACATGTTTCAAAAGCCACTTTTCCCTCCCAACAGGCAACCCTGGTCTAATTTACAATTGGATAAGAACTGGCAAACTATACACACCTGAGTTAAATGTAATTTGTAATAGGATTTTTTTTTTTTTAAAGCAGTAGTGAAAGATTTGATTTCGTCTGTTCGGTATGCAAGTAATCTTTGGCTATTTCCAGGATGATAACCAGAAAACATAAATTGCTTTGTTTCCCTTTCAGGCATAATTTTTTGTTGTTGTTGTTTAGGTGGGGAGTCAGGGGGAGAACTTCAGGGACACGGAATGTAATGATTTCTGTCTGCGGTACACGTTTTCAGAGTCCACGGGTAATAAGTGGAAAAGACATCATGATTGTTTAGGTTTTTGTTTTAAGGAAAGGAATTTTTTAATTCCAAGGCAGTTCTCTCCCTTGTTCCTTTATATTTTAGAAGCAGCAAGAGCTGTCAAGTTTCAGCTGAATGAATGACTTACAAATTAATCCCAGGGCTTGAAATCTCAACAAAGGCTGAAGTCTATAATTAGTGTTAGAAACTGCAATTAACTTATTAGGAAGCCCCGTGCAGTTTGGGTACCTCGTCCCCCACGGGTGGGTACCATCATTAGAGACATTCTCCAGGAAGTGGGTCTCTTAGGTCTCACCCCTCCATTTCATTCTGCCAGCTGCCAATTTGATTGGTTAAGTAGTTTGAAGTGCTCAATCCTCTCCTTTTCTTTTGGATTGATGTGTTTATTACTTTTTGTGACAGTGGCTCCCAAGGCAGATGTTCAATAAAGAAAAGAAAAAAATCTGATACAGACCCAAGTCAAGAGAGAAGCAGTGGAGATTGCAGAAAATTGGGAAAGTTATCATAAGCATGGAGCTGTTATTGGAGATTTTGCTTCCAGCGTTTGTAGCAGTTGTGTTATTTACTCTTCAGCAGACGCAAACCTAGTGGGGAATTATTGAAAGCCGAGTTTCCTGCGTTTTAAATTGCACTCGTTTTGTGCACATCGTGGCAGCAGCTCATCAAAGGGAGGGCTAAATTGAAGCTCGGAGAAACAGGAGCTGTTCAGCCTCCGTCTCTCCCTCTTTTTCCAGAATGAGAGGAATGGACTTAGCTGCTTGATGATTAGGTGGTGTCTATTTGGTGGCATCGGGGAGCAGGGTCGCATTTGGACATGACTGAATATGGAACACTGTCTTTGGGGTTCTCTGGGAGCTCCTGACTCCTCACTCCCCGCCCACCTTTGTGGCTTTGCCGGGCCCCGGTGCTCGGTTCTGCTGGCTCCTCTCCTGCTTGTCCTCTGTCCCCACGGCCCTGGACGTCTGCTGCTTTGCTGGGGACCTGGAGACAAACCCGTGCAACTCGACTTCCTCTGGAGCATCTCCTCTGTCTTTTCACACCTTTGTCTTTTCCACCCCTGATGTAACCAAAATGCCTTGACTCGGGTACCTTCTAGAGGCAGGGCCTTCAATCGGCAATGGGCTTCAAGACGTCCAGGTATCCAAAACCTCCAGATTTCATGTCTGGGCAGCTTCTCCTCAAGTCACCCCAAAGGCCATTTATATCAGGTTTATGCTCCTTCTATTTCCCTTTAGTGTCCTTCAGCACAATGGATGAAGCTCTTGAATCTATTAAACTACTCTACCGTAGAACAAGACCACCTCAAGCTGCTGGTTAACTGCATTTCAGAATTTTAGATCCAAATACACTTGCAGAGCAGTTCTTTTTCTTGACATTTCTTGAAGTATGTTCATTGACTGAAGCTTTGAGAAAGCCCAAAGTAAGAAAACTGACTTAATTTTGGCTTTTGTCTGGTGTTTCCCAAGCATATCTGGCCATGTAAACCATCATTCTATGTAGATGCATTGAATATACTATGCGGCAGGCCTCGTGCTAGGATCTGGGAAAACAAGGTGTAAAAGAAAGATGTAACTCCTTCCTTCTCTTAAAGAACTCTTTCTACTGCCCCCAAGATATTGATTTATGTGAACCCAGTGTTCCTTCGAGCCCACTTTGAGAAACAGTTACTTAAGTCAAAGGAGTGGCTTTAATGGCACCTTTAAAGTCACACAGAGCAAACGTCAGCTTTCTTTTCTTTTTTTTTTTTTTTTAGAGGCTCTTGCTCTGTCACCCAGGTTGGAGTGCAGTGGGGTGATCATAGCTCACTGCAGCCTCAAACTCCTGGCCTCAAGTGATCCTCCTGCCTCAGCCTCCTGACTAGCTGGGACTACAGGCACATGCCACCATGCCCAGCTTTTATATATATATATTTCTTCTTTGATTTTTTTAATTTTTAATTTTTTGATAATTTATTCTATTTTGTTTTTTTGTAGGGTGAAGTCTCATTATGTTGCCCAGGCTGGTCTTGAATTCCTGGCCTCAAACTCCTGGCCTCAAGCCATCCTCCTTCCTCAGCCTCCCAAAGCACTGGGATTACAGGTATGAGCTAATGCCTCAGTTCTGAGATCAGCTTTCTTTTTTTCTTTTTTTTGAGATGGAGTCTCACTCTGTCACCCAGGCTGGAATGCGGTGGTGCGGAGATCAGCTTTCTTGACTTACAAAAAGACCTATCCCTGAGAGATAAAAAGCTCACAATGATAAGAATTCAAAACACTGGAAGATATATGTTGTAGGAACACAAAAACCCACTTTCCTCCAAGCCACCTGTCCTGACAAGGCTACTCCAATCTTTTCACTGAATCCTTCAGAAGGCCGGAAGATGAGTGCCGGGGAGAGACAGTTGTGCTGACATTACTGCCCGCATTCTCTCCAGATGAGCTGAGACACGTGCAGCCCAGGGCGGGTCGTCTGGCTGGTTTTGGTTATTCATCGCAGGCTGAAGAGTGGCCTTGGAATTTCAGAGCAGAGACTAATGGCTTTTCTCCTGAGAACATGCAATGATGTGACATTTTAGAGAGAAGTCAAAACACCACAAACCATGGGGACTATCAGTGTTTCCACCACTCGTAAGTGGCAGATGAAAATCATGGCTAATCCCGTTACTTCTTTTTCTGTCCAAAGTGGCTTCGTAGGTAGAGAAAGGTGATCCGAGGGAGGTGATGTTTGTGGGCTTTGCGCATACAAATAAAATAGGAAATGCATCTCTGAGATAGCAGGGATGACGGGCACGTCTCTTAAACATGATTCACGCATCCTTGGCCCTCTTGTTGAGGTTTAACGATGTCTTCGTGGATCCACTTCTCCACTTAGCAGCATTCCAAACACAGTGAGGGGCATAAAAACCACCTGAAGACACACCCCCTTTGTTAGCAAAAAGCTTAGCATCTAGCCTGGGAGGATGTTAGGGACTGAACTGTGTCCCCTCCCACATTCCTATATGGAAGCCCTAACCTCCAGCACCTCCGAATGACTCCAAATGAGACTGCCTTTGGAAATAAGGTCTTTAAAGAGGTGATCAAGTTAAAATGAGCTCTTTAGGGTGGGTGCTGATCCGGTCACACTGGAGTCTTTATGAGAAGAGGAAAGTTAGATGCCAGGCGTGTGCATGCACTAAGATTAAAAAAAATAGCCACACAAAAACACATTGGGAAGGTGGCCGCCTGCAAGCCAGGAGAGAGGCCTCAAAAGAAACCAGCCCCGTGGACACCTTGATCTTGGATTTCTGGCCTCCAGAACTGTGAAAAAATAAATTTCTGTTGTTTAAGCCACACAGTCTGTGGTCCTTTGTTCAGCCTAAGCAAACAAATACAGAAAGGAGTCCGGATTCAGGTGTGGAAAATGATGATAATTCAATGTCAAAATGTTGCAACAGAAAATAAGTGTCTGGACAAAGAGGAAGGAGAGAGAAAAGAGGGAGTGGGCTTAAGCAAGGATCCTGGAGTTGGGAAGGACCTTCACCGATGTCTCCCCACAATCTTCCCTCCACGGATCCTTGCGTGACCGATGCCCCCTCATCCTCATGAGAGGCCCTGGCTGAGCAGAACCGGCCCAGGGACCTTGAGGCAGAGCGTGTGGGGAGCACAGTTTGTTTTTTAAGAGATGGCAGTGGGTTCATTTGATCCTATGCTGCTGAGGTTGATTTTCGTTTTTTGGGTTTTTTCTTAGATGAAAAGTGAATTTTTGAACTTGCCGTTAGCATTGCCCATGAACTGTTTCCAGCTATTTCCACCCTCCATGCTTGGCTACTTTAGGGCCTGAAATGGTGATGCTGCTTCCTGTAGAGATGAAATGATGGAAGCGAGATGAGGTAACCTCCATGTACTTATTTCAAAATTTTTTATTTTAAATCAAGAAACTGCCATGCAGCTGGATGATCGGCAATGGAATGGGTGTTTGATTGAGTCTCAGAAGAAATGCTCTAAATAGCACTGGAAAATGACCATTAAAAAAAACAACCATAACAAAAAAAAAAAAAACCAAACCTCTCTCGGAGTCTGCATCATATAAATCTAATAAGACAGAGCGAAAAATATTGGATTTATTTTTACAAGTTAGCTGTGACCTTTCCAACCTTCTGAATGGATTCACTTTGCACGGTTCCTCTTCAGGGCCTTAGGGTTATAAGTAACTCATAAAAATAAATCCAATATTTTCCCCTTAGCCATGTCATAGCCAACGTAGGAATTCAGATGATGGGGCAAGGGAGGTGGGTTTTCATTTCGTTTGACCTCCCATTATGAGAGGTGCTGAGTCCTCAGCCCTGGCCGGGCCTCCCCAGAACCTGTGTACAAAGAAGCAAAAACAAGGTATTCATGTCGAGGCCAAGCCCAGGGCAGGGCATGGTGGGGACATGGTGGTCAGATGAGATGGCCCATGTGCAGTTGGATAGAGACACGGGATTCCTGGCCTGAGAGGCATGGGGAAGAGGGTTGTTAAAGTGGCATGTTTTCAGTGAGAAGAAAAATCTCAGTGTTGAAGAAGGGTCTTCCCCATGAGAGGGATTCGGTCTCCTTGGGGATGCTCTCTGAGATAGCAGGGATGACAGGCACGTCTCTTAAACATGATTCACGCGTCCTTGGCCCTCTTGTTGAGGTTTAACGACACAAGTCTTCGTGGATCCACTTCTCCACTTAGCAGCATTCTGAACAGGGTGAGGGGCATAAAAACCATCTGAAGACACACCCTCCTTGTTAGCGGAAAGCTTAGCATCTAGCCTGGGAGGATGTTAGGGACTGAACTGTGTCCCCTCCCAAATTCCTATATTGAAGCGCTAACCTCCAGCGCCTTCATTGAGCCTTCATTGGGCAGGAAATGCCACCTGGGTCAGAGTCTCACCCTTTGTCACCTGCAGGGACCTCGTTCATGGGACAGATGTCTCTTGATTACCTACTGCATGCCAGGCAGTGAGGGCCCTGAGGATATGGGGTGAACAAAACCAGCACTGTTTCTGTCCCAGAGGAGCCTGTAGGCTAACACAGTATTCAGACACCAATCAAATAAACAGCAATCCGTGTGTAATCATAAGGTAAGTCCTAGGGAGAAGACACAGGAGTCTTATGGAAGTGAATTGTGATGGGACGGTGGCTGAGTGGGAAGGAGGAACAGTCCCAGGGGGCTTCCTGGAAAAAGTGGCGATTGAGCCGATCGATGACTGGATTCTAACAGGTGGAGGAAGGGGTGGAGGAGAGATTTCCGGAAAGAGGCATTGGCATTCCTGTAGCAGGCTGGGCTCCCTGCGAGTGACTCTGAGGCAGGAGGGGTTTATCAGGCAGTTCACCAGTGATCAGCGTTTGTGGAAAGAAGGAAGGAAGGAAGGAAGGAAGGAAGGAAGGAAGGAAGGAAGGAAGGAAGGAAGCAGAGCTGGACAGAGGGAGAGATTGAGTATGAGTGGATCAAAGGAGGCCTCAGCCAACCCCAGAGAGCTGGGAAGCTGGGATGATCCCTGGTGTATTAGTCCATTCTTATGCTGCTATGAAGAACTGTCCGAGACTGGGTGATTTACAAAGGAAAGAGGTTTGATTGACTCATAGTTCAGCATGGTTGGGGAAGCCTCAGGAAACTTCCAATCATAGGGGAAGCAAACATGTCCTTCTTTACATGGCTACAGGAGAGAGAATGAAGGCCGAATGAAGGGGGAAGCCCCTTATAAAACCATCAGATCTTGTGAGAACCCGCTCACTATCACGAGAACAACATGGGGGAACCATCCCTATGATTCAATTATCCCCACCTTTGACACGTGGGGATTATTGCAATTCAAGATGAGACTTTGGGTGGGGACACAGCCAAACCATATCACCTGGGATGACCACAGTGACTCATCCCTGAATGCAGGCCACTCTGGGGGGGGATGCAGGGGCTTGAACAAGGCAACTCTCTTTCCTGACACAATCTTTGAAGAGGGTTGACTGTGGATGGCCGTCAGCCACTAGATCAGAGGCACATTCCAGCATCCACTACAATGTACAAGGGTCTTTCAGCAGGAAGAAACGTGAGGCCTTCTAAAAACTGGAAAGAGGCCACTGGGGAAGAGAATGAGAGTAAGGTGGGCCTGGAACATGCAGGTGTAGGGGCACCACCAGGATGTCAGCTGCAGAAGACTAGAAAAGAACCCCACAGCACCTGGCTTCCCAGAATACAAGCATCATGTTGAGCCCACGTGATTGACAAGTACTAATTTTAGGGCTTCTTCTGTGTGCTGAGTATGAGGCAGAAAACTAAGAGAAAGATCCCAGCCCTCCAGCAGCTTGCACTCTTATGGGCAAGAAAAGACACACATGCACACATGCACACACACATGTACACACAGGCACACACACATGCATGCACACACATGCACACACACGCACACACACATACACACAGGCACATGCACATTCACACATGCATGTACACACACATGCATGCACACACATATGCACACACAGGCACATGCACACATGCACACACATGAACCTAAGAAGATAAGTCAAGAAAGGAGCATGACAAGCATTCAGAAGTGGGTAAATTTCCATCTGTACTCTCAATGTCTACAAATTCCTCCCCTCCCACTCCTCCTAAATCCATTCCATTTGGGCCAGTCAACAGCAACTATGCTCACCAAAGACCCAATGACCAGTATGTTGCTCAATCCAATTCTCAGTCCCCAGCATCCTTGACCTATCACGTCCCACTGGACACATGGGGTCATTTCCTCCTCTGCAGAACACCTGCCCCTGGCTTCCAGGACCCCACACCTCTGGGTCTCTTCCTACCTCTAGGGCCGCTCTTTCTCAGCATCCTTCGTGGGCCCTGCTTCTCCCAATCTCTTCACTTTGTAGGACCCCAGGACTCAATCCTTGCACCCCTTCTCTCTTCCATCCTCATTCTTTCCCTGGGTCATTGAATCCCTTCCCGTGGCTTTAAATTCTTTTTTTGTTTGCTTGTTTTACAGATGGCGCCTCCCTCTATTGCCCAGGCAGTAGCGCAATCTCTGCTCACTGCAACCTCCACCTCTGGGTTCAAGCTATTCTCCTGTCTCAGCCTCCTGAGTAGCTGGGATTAAGGGTGCCCACCACAATGTCCAGCTAATTTTTTTGTATTTTTAGTAGAGACAGGGTTTCACCAAGTTGGCCAGGCTGGTCTCAAATTCCTGACCTCAAGTGATCTGCCCACCTCGGCCTCCCAAAGTGTTGGGATTACAGCCACCATGCCAGGCCCGTGGCTTTAAATTCTATTAGCAGACCATAAGAACCCTAGAAGAAAACCTAGGCATTACCATTCAGGACATAGGCATGGGCAAGGACTTCATGTCTAAAACACCAAAAGCAATGGCAACAAAAGCCAAAATTGACAAATGGGATCTCATTAAACTAAAGAGCTTCTGCACAGCAAAAGAAACTACCATCAGAGTGAACAGGCAACCTACAAAATGGGAGAAAATTTTCGCAACCTACTCACCTGACAAAGGGCTAATATCCGGAATCTACAATGAACTCAAACAAATTTACAAGAAAAAAACAAACAACCCCATCAAAAAGTGGGCGAAGGACATGAACAGACACTTCTCAAAAGAAGACATTTATGCAGCCAAAAAAACACATGAAAAAATGGTCACCATCACTGGCCATCAGAGAAATGCAAATCAAAACCACAATGAGATACCATCTCACACCAGTTAGAATGGCAATCATTAAAAAGTCAGGAAACAACAGGTGCTGGAGAGGATGTGGAGAAATAGGAACACTTTTACACTGTTGGTGGGACTGTAAACTAGTTCAACCACTGTGGAAGTCAGTGTGGCGATTCCTCAGGGATCTAGAACTGGAAATACCATTTGACCCAGCTATCCCATTACTGGGTATATACCCAAAGGACTATAAATCATGCTGCTATAAAGACACATGCACACTTATGTTTATTGCGGCATTATTCACAATAGCAAAGACTTGGAACCAACCCAAATGTCCAACAATGATAGATTGGATTAAGAAAATGTGGCACATATACACCATGGAATACTATGCAGCCATAAAAAATGATGAGTTCATGTCCTTTGTAGGGACATGGATGAAAGTGGAAATCATCATTCTCAGTAAACTTTTGCAAGAACAAAAAACCAAACACCACATATTCTCACTCATAGGTGGGAATTGAACAGTGAGAACACATGGACACAGGAAGGGGAACGTCACACTCTGGGGACTGTTGTGGGGTTGGGGGAAGGGGGAGGGATAGCATTGGGAGATATACCTAACGCTAGATGACGAGTTAGTGGGTGCAGCACACCAGCATGGCACATGTATACATATGTAACTAACCTGCACATTGTGCACATGTACCCTAAAACTTAAAGTATAATAATAAAAAAAAATAAAAAAATAAAATAAATTCTATTAGCAGATGGCTCACTGATCTGTGTCTTCTGTCCAAACCTTTCTGCCAGCCTGCAGACCCATCTATCCAATGGCCTCCTCAATGTCCCCATTTAGCTGTCTAATAAATCTTCAGGTCCCACAAGGAACTGCAGAGCTCCCTGGTCTGCCAAACTCAGACTTCCCCATCTCAATGGGGGCAGCCCCATCCTTCCAGTTGCTTAGTCTATGAACCTTCGCGTCATCCTCAACTTCTTCCTGTCTCTCCTCTCCCACTTCCAACTCATCAGCAAATCCTGCTGGCTCTCAGCTTCACACATGCTCACCAGACAGTCGCTCCTCACAGCTCCCCTGCGGCCATCCTCATCTAAACCATGGCCATCGCACTCTTTGTCAACTTGGTAGCTTCAGCAGCCTTATCTTGGGTCTCCCTGATCCAACCTTTGACCCCGCCAGATGGTCTGATCTTAACACTGATGCCTGACCATGATTCTCTGCTTAAAACCCTCAGTGGCTCCTGTTTCACTCAGAGTCAAGGCTGAGCTTGCATAGTGGCTCTGGAGGCCCACTGTGACCTGCCTTGGTTCCTCTCTGAGCTTTTCTACTCTCCTCATCACCCATTCTGCTTCCACCACTAGGGCCTCCCTACGGCAGCTGGCAACACCCAGGCTCACCCCACCCCAGGGCCTCTGCACCTCCCTCCACTATGCCTGCTGCTTTCTCTCTCGACATTGCCTCATGGGTGAGGCTGCTGCCACCTCTAAGACTTTCTTCCAATCCCACCTTCCCTAGGAGGCTCAACCGCCACCCTCCACACTGCAGGCTGCTCCCCCTCCCCGTGCTCCTGGTCCCTTTGCCTCTATCCACTCATCCTCTCTCCTAGCACTTAGCACTTTTCTAACATACTTTTGCGGGGTGCAGTGGCTCACACCTGTAATCCCAGCTACTCAGGAGGCCAAGGTGGGAGGATCACTTGAGGCCAGGAGTTTGAGACCAGCCTGGGCAACGCAGTGAGACCCTATCTCTACACAAAATTTTTAAAAAATTAGCTGGATGTGGTGGTACACACCTGTAGTCCCAGCTACTTGAGGGGCTGAGGCAAGAGCTTTGATTGAGCCCGGTGGTTCAAGCCTGCAGTGAGCTATGATTGCATCACTGCACTCCAGCCCGGGTGACAGAGCAAGACTCTGTCTCTTAAAAACAATGAAAACCAACCAAACAAACAAACAAAATCCCCACACTATATGATGTTCATATTTGCTGTCTTTGCTGGTCACTATCAGTATCATACTAGAGGTCAGGCTGCTGGGGCAAGAATCTTCATTCACTGATATACCAAGTGCCTAGAATGCCGCTAGGTGCTCAACAAATATTTGCTGAATGAATGAATGCTGAAAACCAGTTTGAACTGTTTCTATTCTATCTTCCCCTTGTAGTCGGCAGCCTTCAAGAAAGTTCTCCATGGTGTCTGCTCCAGTTATTCTCACCCTCGTGCAATTCCCTCCACCAGGCTGAACCTAGTGACTCACTTTTTATATATTGTAGTAAAATATGCATAATATAAAATTTACTATTTGAATCATTTTAAAGTATACAATTCAGTAGCATTGAATACATTCACAATACTGTGTAATCATCACCACTATCCATTGCCAAATTTTTTTCATCATCCCAAATAGAGACTCTGTAACCATTAAACACTGACTCCTATTCTTGAGGCAGAGTCTCACTCTGTTGTCCAGGCTCATTGCAGCCTCAAAGTCCTGGCTTCAAGCAATCCTCCTGCCTCAACCTCCCAATAGCTGGGACTACAAGTGAGCACCACCATGCCCAGCTAATTTTTTATGTTTTATTTTTGTAGAGGCAGAGTCTTGCTCCATCACCCAGGCTGGAATGCAGTGGTAGGATCATAGGTCCACTGAAGCCTCAAACTCCTGGGTTCAAGTGGTCCTCCTGCCTCAGCCTCCTGAGTGGCTAGGTCTACAGGCATGCACCACCATGCCCAACTAAGTTTTACATTTTTTGTAGAGGTGAGATCTTGCTATGTTGCCCAGGTTGGTCCCAAACTCCTGACCTCAAGCGATCCTCCCACATCGGCCTCCCAAAGCACTGGGCATGAACCTCTGCACCTGGCTGGTAAACTCACTCTTAATGAATATAATACAATGTAAGTGGTGGATGTCACGTCTGACATTAGGTCATAAAAGATGGTGACTCCCATCTTGCTGGCTCTCTCTTGTTTTTCTCCTGACTCGCTCCGAGGGAAACCAGCAGACCCCCGTGGGGAGCTGCAACAGTAGGCGAGGTTCTGAAAGCTGTCATCAGCCATGTGAGTGAGCCTAAAAGTGGATCCTCTTCGCATCGAGCCTTGAGATGGGATCACAGCCCTGGCCAACACCTGAGTATAGCCTGTGAGATGCTGAGCGGTTGCACCCAGCTAAGCCCTGCCGAGATTCTCAATGTGCAGAAACTGAGATCACACAGGTGTGTTGTTTTAAGTTGCTAGGCTGTAGGGTAATTTGTTTCACAGCAATAAATAATGACTACATCCTTGTTCCTGGAATTAATATAAAGCAGAGGACTCCGATGCTCACGCTCCATCCTGCTTAAGGCCACATGACCTCCGATGACCTGGAACGCCTTGTGGGAGAGCACGGGGCTCCTCTGAGCCTAATGCCCCATCCGGACAGAGTCCAGCTTCCTGCAAAGCTGTGTATGGTTCTGACATTTGGAATCATGCCCATGTCCTCCTTGTACCTGTTTATTTTTTCTGCTACCACCACTCTGGACTTGGGGAGCATTGGAAGTGTAGGTGTTACCTTGTGAAAGAGTGTTAGTTTCTTCTTTGGACTAACCTTTCCTTGTTCACCAAGTCCTTGGAGGACTGAGGGTGGAGTGTGCTCTCCGTCTAAGCGGGGCCTGTTGCCTCCCTCTCAACAAGCTCCGGGATGATTGCTGCTGGGGTGGAGGCTACTAGAGCATTCCTACCACTGCCTCATGGCCATCAGTAAAGTCTGGGATAGTGATCTTTAACTCCTCAGGGACCTCTTTGGAGTTCTCCGCATAACCAGGGCTCCCTTTAAAACTACGCCATTTCAACACAGCTGGGACATATAACAATGCCTTTATTTGGAGAGGTTGTGGCTAAACTCCCCAACACTATCTTGCACAGGTCATGCTTGCTTTTATTTGTCCGCAAACAACCTCTTTCAAGCTTCAGGGGCAGCCCTTCCTGTGGTGCTGGCGAGCAGAGTGACTTAGTATTCACATTGCCATGCGTTTTCGGATGTTGCATCCTTTGATCACGTCTGCTCTCAGACGCATCTCCTGACTGATGACACCTGCTTTTGGGTCTTTCATCCAGCAGAAGCCCCTTGACTCCTGGGCCTTCCCTGCATCTTCTCTTGTTTGGCTGTTGTTTTCCTTTTACTTTTAAAAAATATCTACCCTTTTCCTAATTAGAAAAATAAACCACTTTTTTTTTGGTTTTGGTAAATCTTTAAATAATTCAGGATTGTATAAACAACAAAAATGAAAGTTGGTGTCTCTCTTAGGATGGATAATAAGAATTGCATGCAGCCTCCATCTAGGGTGGAAACAAATAAGTTTTCCTCCAAGGCGAGGTTGATGAGAGGTGGCGTGGTAGAGTGGTCAGTATCCCAGATCTCTGTGTTCGAATCCTAGCTGTTCCACTGTTCTAGCTCTTTCCATTCTCTCTGAGCTCCACTTAAATGGTGTATTTGGCCTTTTGTGCATTGCTACAAAGAAATACCTGAGACTGGGTAATTTTTTTTTTTTTTTGAGATGGAATCTCACTCTGTCGCCAGGCTGGAGTGCAATGGCATGATCTCAGCTCACTGCAACCTCTGCCTCCTGGGTCCAAGTGATTCTCCTGCCTTAGCTCCCAAGTAGCTGGGACTACAGGCATGCACCACCACACCCAGCTAATTTCTGTATTTTTAGTACAGACGGGGTTTCACCATGTTGGCTAGGATGGTCTCGAACTCCTGACCTCAGGCAATTCACCCACCTCGGCCTCCCAAAGTGCTGGGATTACAGGTGTGAGCCACCACATCTGGCTGAGACTGGGTAATTTATGAAAGAACAACGGGTTTCATTGGCTCACGGCTCTGCAGGCTGTACAGGAAGCATAGTGGCATCTGCTTTTGGGGAAGCCTCAGGAAGCTTCCAATCATGGTGGAAGGTGAAGGGGGAGCAGACATCTCACATGGCAGAGTGGGAGCAAGACAGAGAGAGGGAGCTGCCACACAATTTTAATCCACCAGATCTCAAGAGATCTCTCTCATTATCACGAGCACAGAACTAGGAGGATGGTGCTAAAACATTTGTGAGAAATCCACTCTCATCATCCAATTGCCTCCCACCAGGCTCCACCTCCAACATTGGGGATTACAGTTAAACATGAGTTCTGGGCAGAGACACACATTCAAACCAAATCAAATGGCTCGGTGAGGACTAAATGACATAATGGACTGGGTGCAGTAGCTCACGCCTGTGATCCCAGCACTTCGGGAGGCTGAGGTGGGCGGATCACTCGAGGTTAGGAGTGTAAGACCAGCCTGGCCAACAAAGTGAAACCCCGTCTCTACTAAAAATACAAAAATTAGCTGGCTGTAGCAGTGGGTGCCTATAATCCTAGCTGCTAGGGAGGCTGAGGCAGGAAAATTGCTTGAACCCAGGAGGTGGAAGTTGCAGTGAGCTGAGATCACTCCATTGCACTGCAGCCTGGGCGACAAGAGCAAAACTCCATCTCAAAAAAAAAAAAAAAAAAAAAGAAAGAATGGAGGTCAACCCTGGACAATGGTGCTTGGGTCAGGGTGAGCTCTCTGTAAATACTACCATGGCCAGCACCCAACTTATGGGCCAGCCACAAGCACTGTCCTCTGCAGAATGTCTGCCTCAGGGACTGGTACCACTCTCCACCCAGAAAGCCAGGCACGTCCTTGACACAGCTTTAGCCCTCGCTCCCCAGGGTCAATGCCTCGGCAAGTCACAGGGACGTCACTGTCTGCTGTGGAAAATTTACCTTTGTGTCCCTCGATCTCTATCTTGCTGCTCCCTGCAGGGTGGTGTGCACCTGTAGTCCTACCTACTTGGGAGGCTGAGGAAGGAGGATCGTTTGAGCCCGGGAGGTTGAGGCTGCCATGGGCCATGATCGTGCCACTGCACTTCAGCCTGGGTGACAGAGCTAGACCCTGTCTTTAAAAAAACAAAGTTCACCATAGAATTACCATAAGATCCAGCAATTCCACTCCTAGGTATATACTCAAATGTGTCGAAGGCAGGTATTCAAACAAAAACTTATGTGCGAATGTTCATAGCAGCTCTATTCACAATAGCTGAAAGGTGAAAACAACATAATATTCATCAATGGATGAATCAATAAACAAAATATGGTTATCCGTACAATAAGCAAAATATGGTTATCCCAAAGACCTCTTGGACGGAAGAGCTATGATGCTGATACTGACCACTGCACCGCCATACCAAGGAATGAAGCACTGATGCAAGCTTCAACATAGATGAACCTCGGAGACATGATACTAAGTGAAAGAAGCCAGACACCAAAGGCCACATACCATATGATTCCATTGGTATGAAATGTCCAGAATAGGCCAATCCATTCAGACAGAAAGTAGACTCAGGGGAGGGGCAATGGGAAGCGACTGTCTAACGGATCACTGTTTAAGGTGATAAAGAAAGTTCTGGCTGGGTGCGGTGGTTCATGCCTGTAATCGCAGCACTTTAGGAGGCCGAGGCGGGCGGATCATGAAGTCAGGAGATCGAGACCATCCCGGCTAACACGGTGAAACCCAGTCTCTACTAAAAATACAAAAAATTAGCTGGGCGTGATGGCGGGCGCCTGTAGTCCTAGCTACTGAGGAGGCTGAGGGAGGAGAATGGCGTGAACCCGGGAGGCAGAGCTTGCAGTGAGCTGAGATCGCGCCACTGCACTTCAGCCTGGGCGACAGAACGAGACTCCACCTCAAAAAAAAAAAAAAGAAAAAAAAAAAAGAAAGGAAGCTCTAAAACCAGTTGGTGGTGATGGTTATGCAACATTGTGAATATACCTAATGCCATTGAATTGTATATTTTTAAATGATTAAAATGATAAATTTTCTAGTATGTGTAAACACATACTACTACAAAAAAATTGTGCTGTTTCTCTGCAATTGAAATTTAACTGAATCCCATGTATTTTTTCAGGCCACCCTGTCCCCAGCACAGCATGGCTCACAGGACTGTTTGAAGGAGCTCTGATGTCTTCTGGCAGGGTCATCTTGATGGGTCCCCTGTTTCCTGGAGGTTCCCCCAGGGCAGGGTGTCCCCTCCTGCACTACCCCTCCCTGTACCAGCAGCCTGGATAGCATGGGGTGCCTGGCTGAGACTCTGCCCAGCTCTTCCTCTTCTGTTTATGCCCCACCCTTAGCAGTGGCCTTGTTGCATGGTGGCCCAGGCTTTGCCTGCGAGAAGAACCCCAACATCACTGAGAACCTCATGCAATGTCTTTTGGACTGGTTAAGTGGTTCATCTTGGTGCACGGGGTTGGGGGAAATTTTGACCTTCTAGAAACCACGGCCCCTCCCTCCACCTCCTGTGTGTCCTTCCAGATCTTCAATAATGAGCTCATCTTTCCTAGCCGTCTGCTCCAGGTGGTCGTCTCCAGCTGTACCGCTGCAGGTCAAAGCTGGTTTCTCCCTCCATTCTGATCTTTAATATAAGCAATATCCTCCCAGCCGGGGCTCCTACGACAGCAGTTTGCTTCAAGAGCACAAATTAAAGTGATGCCACCAAGGGCATGAATGGTCTTAGCAGAGTCAACATGGGGAGCATTGCGCATTCCCTGTGTAATATTAAGAATGACTAAGTGGAGGCACTGCCCTTCCAGCCAAGCCTGGTCTGAATACCAAAGAGTCGGGCTGGGAGAAGGGAGGAGGGGGGAGCCCAGGGCTGCCACTCAACTGCAGAGGCCCAGCTCATCTGCTGGCCCCGCGGGGCTGAAGGACAGAAGGTAAAGGTCAGGAACTCTCAGCAAATATTTAGAGGGCTGTTCTCATGCCCAGTGGGTTTGGACACAAGGTAATCCTCTCTTGGAAGGGCCCAGTAATCCCTGAGCAAATGCACGGCCTAACTGGTAACTATGGCTGAGCCAGCCCAGTTCCTCTGGGACAGTCAGTGAGGGAGGTGGTGGGCCCAGCACCCAGGCTCAGTTTTATATGGGAGTGGAGGAAGCCTCAGCTCCAAGAAAGAGCCCACCTACTGGCGAACGCTTCTGTGTGAGACCTGTTGCATTGAGGTGTACAATGTTTTGTTATCTATGAAAACATTTATGTAGGTTGGGTGTTGTGGTTCATGCCTGTAATACCAGTGTTTTGGGATGGTGAAATGGGAGGATTGCTTGTGGCCAGGAGTTAGAGACCAGGCTGGGCAAAATAGCAAGACCTCATCTATACAAAAAAAAAAAAAAGCCAGGCATGGTGGTGCATTCCTGTAGTCTCTGCAACTCAGGAGGTTGAGGGAGGAGTATCACTTGAGCCCAGGAGTTCCAGGCTGTAGTGAGCTATGATCGAGCCACTGCACTCCAGCCTGGGCAACACAGAGAGACCCTGTCTCTTTAAAAAAAAAAAAGAAAAGAATTATGGAGCATGTACTGTATACCGGGCTCTGAGCTAGGGATGAGGCTTCAGAGATGAAAGACATGGTCGCTGTCAGGAGCCCAGAGTCTGACTGTGGAGCTAGTCCATACGCTCTCTGAGGACACTCTTGGATCCCCGCCAGTTAACATCATGAATAAATGAATAAAGAAATGAATGGGTGACTTGTAATACACTGGAGCCCTTTACTTCTCCCATAGGACTCAAGGATGGCTTCCTGGAAATGAACCTAAAGGGAGATCAAAGAGCTGTGCAGAAAAGTGAAGGAAGGGTGGGCCTAGGCAGAAGAAACAGCATGTGCCAAGACATGAGGGTGCAGGGGGTCCTGGCACAGCTGGGAGGTGCCAGTGTGTCTGCACATCTGGCATGTGGAGCCCGTTGGGTGCAAGACCTAAAGCTGGAGCCACCTGCAGGATCTGGATCTGGAAGAACCGGCTCTGGTGAGGAGCTGGGATTCCTTCTTGAAGCTCCTGAGGGATTTTACATAGCAAAGCAACAAGATCTGACTTGCATTTTCCATCATCCACATGGAGGATGAGTTTGCTCATTACATCTATTAATGCATCTTAAAAACAAAGTCTCGCTACTTACCAGTGTTGTGCTGGGTCTAGACTGGTGCAGTCCAACAGAAGCATAATGTGGGACACATGTGTAATTTTATATATTTTATTTTATTTTATTTTTTTCTTGAGACGGAGTCTTGCTGCGTTGCCCAGGCTGGAGTGCAGTGGCGCGATCTCGGCTCAATGCAACGTCCGCCTTCTGGGTTCAAGCGATTCTCCTTCCTCAGCCTTCCAAGTAGCTGGGACCACAGGCACGCGCCACCATACCCAGCTAATTTTTGTATTTTTTTAGTAGAGACGGGGTTTCACCATGTTGGCCAGGCTGGTCTTGAACTCCTGACCTCAAGTGATCCACCCACCTCAACCTCCCAAAGTGCTGGGATTACAGGCATGAGCCACCGTGCCCGGTGTGTAATTTTAAATTTTCTAGTAGACACATTTAAAGAAGTAAGAAAACCCAGGTAATATGCTTTAATGTATTTTATTTAACCCAATATATCCAAAATATCACAATACATTTTACATTATCGTTTTCATTTGAAGTTTCTGAAATCCAGGTGTATTTTACTTTCATAGCACATCTCAATTCACGGCTGCCTCACTTGAGTACCCAGTTGCCACACGTGGCTCATGGCTGCCATTCTGAACAGTGGGTGCAGGTCTAGACAGTGGTGCATGAGGCCAACAGGACCTCTGTCCTCACAGTGCTTAGAGCCTAGCAGAGAAGAACCTCAATTAAACGAGCAAACAAAATAGTGCAACAAAAGTCACAGTGGAGAGAAGGGTTGGAGAGGGGATCATAACAGCCAGGGGACATGGCAGAGGGACCTAATTTAGAGTAAATATGAGTCTTTAAGGATGAATGGGAGGGGTCAGTGAAGTGAGGGGCAGGCGTTCCTGGCAGCAGAATTGAGTGTATGAATGGCGGTGGCCATGCTTGATGAACAACCCTAAGCCCAGGAGAGTTGGCCTGACGCATCTGGCAAGGCTAGCAGGGCCAGATCATGCATGCCTGTAGCCATGGTGGACAAGTTGGGCTTCATTCTAAGAGCAATTGGAAACCAACAGAGGGTCATAAGTGACCATGGCCAGGTCATTACAAATCTATTACCATGGGTGGGTGTTGTGTACAGGTGGATCAAAGTGGGCAGGACGGAGCAGAACAGCCAGTTGTCTAGTACAGTTGTTCTAGCACAAGATGCTGGTGGTTTGGACAAGGATGGTGGCCATGGAAACGGGAAGAAGTGGGTGGTTGCAGGAGAATGAAATTACAACCAATAGGCCTTAGTAACGGATTGGAGGGGTGTGCTTGTATGCGTGCGGATAGGGCTGAGGTTCAGGTTTTTGTTTGTTTGTTTGTTTTGAGACAGAGTCTCGCTGTCACCCAGGCTGGAATACAGTGGCAGAGTGGCAGGATCTCGGCTCACTGCAACCTCCACCTCCTGCGTTCAAGTGATTCTCATCCCTCAGCCTCCTAAGTAGCTGGAATTACAGGCACCCGCCACCACACCCGGCTAATTTTTGTAGTTTTTGTAGAGATGGGGTTTCACCATGTTGGCCAGGCTGGTTTCAAACTCCTGACCTCAAGCGATCCACCCACCTAAGCCTCCTAAAGTGATGAGATTCCAGGCACTGGGGTACAGTTTGAAAGAAAGGAAGTGATAAAGAATGACTCCCAGGTTTCTGCCGCTGTTTCTGGGATAGGGAATGTGCAAGAGGAATCGTAGCTTTAAAGATCCAGGGAGATGGTGGGATCAGTTTTGAATCGTTGAATTTGAGGTGATTGTGAGATCTTCAAGTTTGAATTTTTAAATGACAATATATAAATTCAAACTTGGGAGAGAGGTCTGGGCTGGACAAGCAGGTCGGGAGAAGGGTTGGTATCTGGATATGTAGCTGGTAGTTAAATACATGGAAATTGGTAAAAATCATCTAGAGCAGTGGTTCTCAACAGGGGGCAATTTTGCGCACTCATTCCCACACCACCAAGGGGCATCTGGCAATGCCTGGAGACATTTTTGCTTATGACAATTTTGGGGGGCAAGCTAGCATCAAGTGAGTAGAGGCCATGGATGCTGTTAAACACCATGCAATGCACAGGACAGCCCCTGCAGCAAAGAGTGATCACCCCCAAAATATCAGCAGTGCTGAGGTTGAGAAATCCAGATGGAGGGAGACAGAGCCCTGAGAAACTCTGGCATCTAAGGTGAATCAAGTAGGTGTGAAAGGAATAATCAGTGAAGTAGGAGGAAATGCAGATGAGAAAGGAGGAAGACATGAACAAACAGGGCACAGCGGCTCCAGTTAGGAGACTGCGAATTCAGTGATAGAGAACGATCACATTATTGTATCTTTTTATTTTTTCCATTTTCATTTTCTTTCTGCAGGCGAGACCTTATGGACGCCCCAGATTTCAAGCACCTGGACTACAGAACCGCACATGAAGCAAGCCCATGGCAGGGTGGGAAGAGCCCAGGCTCCTTGCTTACTTGTTAGCTGTGTTTGCTTGGGCAAGTGGCTCACTCCTCCCAGCCTCAGTTTTCTCATCTGAAAAATGGGTTTGTGGGACAGTGATCAAGGGAGAAGATAATACATTTCACACACAGTCAGTGCTCAATTAGTGGTACTTACTTTTCTTCCTTTCATTTAGCATCTTCTGGCAAGGCTTGCCAATAGGTTAGTCTTCTCTCAACTCTGCCAAAGTCCGCTGAAAACAGGACTTGTTTTCGGATGAAGCCTCTGGCTGCTCCCTTTCCTTACAGATACAGTTTGCCTGGTTGTTTTCTAGGCTGTTGTGTATGCTACTGGTGAAGAACAACTTCTTCCACCCTCTCCCCTCCTGCCCCAGCCTTTTCTTCTCCCTCATTAAGGTCCTTTGTATTAAAGATGACCTGATTGGCAGATGAGGTCTGCTGCTGTGACATGGTTTGGCTCATTATTTATCAGACTAGGAAGCAGGAAATGATGAACCAGACTGGAAACTCTTTGAGGGCCATGAGGATCCCAGATCTTTTTAAACTTTCTCACTACTATTACCCAGTAAAGGACAGTAAACCTGAACCACCTTTCACTCAGCTTTCCAGGGTTTCGGGTATGATGGGGATGAGGATTTGGCAATGTACTCCAATAATGTTTTTTCTTTGAAGTCTCCTGGTTTGTCTTAAAAATTTAATAAATTTAAAGTCCTAGTCCATAGTGTATCATTTTTCATTTTAATATAATAATACCATTTTGGCCAGGTGCAGTGGCTCACACCTGTAATCCCACCACTTTGGGAGGCCTAGGCAGGTGGATTACTTGAGCCCAGGGATTCGAGACCAGCCTGGCCAACATGGCAAAGTCCTGTCGCTACTAAAAACCCAAAAATTAGCTGGGCATGGTGACAAGCAACTGTAATCCCAGCACTTTGGAAGACTGAGGTGGGCAGATCACCGGAGGTCAAGAGTTCAAAACCAGCCTGGCCAAAATGGTGAAACCCCATCTCTACTAAAAATACAAAAATTGGCTGGGCCTGGTGATGGGTACCTATAATCCCAGCTACTCGGGAGGCTGAGGCATAAGAATCACTTGAACCTGGGATGCGGAGGTTGCAGTGAGCAGAGATTGTGCCACTGCACTTCAGCTTGGGTGACAGAGTGAGACTCAGTCTCAAAAAAAAAAAAAAAAAGAGAAGAAATCATAATACCATTTTATTCTCTTCTAGCTAAATTGTAGAGTCTGCCCCTCCCTCACTGGTTTTCCCAAGGCTCCTGTCACACCACCCCCAGGAGTAGGAGTATCTCAGCTTGAGATCAAATCCAACTTGAACGTCATAAACACCCAAATGCTCTTCTTGGGTACCATGTACCCCTTTGACATCTGACAAATTTCTAATGATGTAGGGGATGATAATCTATGAAGGCAAACAACCACAGAGAACCCAATTGTGGAATAAAGAATTCTCTCGGGAAATGAGAAGATTCCTGAATTCTCCACAGCTTCGAAGATAATTAGATTTTATTTTTCCAGTGTAGAAAAAATGTTTCCAACTGATGTAGGGAATCTATGGAAGGCACTTGATGATATTTATGTTTGGTGATGGTTTGGTCCTCGAAGGTATTGAAGTTGGAGGTGTTTGTTTGCTTACTGTGAAGACATTCATTATAGACATTCTCTATGTTAGCAGGCACGGTCTAGCAAACTGGCTGTCAGAGCCTCCCAAGAATGGTACTGAGAGAAACGGAAAGTCAAAGACAATGTCCTATTCTTTGTGTCTTGAGAAAGAAGTCATCCCAAGACCCTCAGGGAGGGGTGTAGTTGACTTCTCTGACATATCACACATATTACAGTTAAGTTTGCAGAGCTCCCAAACAGGGATTAATGTTCCCTCTAAGAAAAACAGTCTGCTTATATTTTGCTCCTGTGAACAAAATGGCTCTGAATTTACATAATTAAAATTCTGGTGTCTTTTCAGATCATAATAATGGGTAATTAACATTGTTACCTGTCAGCTGGGAAATACCTTGAGAGGAGGCTATCAGAGCCCAGTGGTTTTATTTTGGGCCACATCTCATGGACAATCAGGGCTAATTGAATCCCTCCCCGTCTCATCGAAAATGAATGAAAGAACATTGAAGGCTGCTGGCCAGGCTCACAATCAACCCAGAAAGGCCGTGTGTTCACACAAGCTAGCTCGAGATCAGAACCTCAACCCTGCATTGAGGATGGCTGCCTGACAGTCTAATTTAGAAGCGTTGCTTAAAATCTTAATCAGCGCAGTAAAATGAACAGAGGCGAGTTTCGACACCATGTTTGTTGTTTATGGTTATCATTTTAAATAAACGTTAAAATGTTTTCACAGGTGTGGAAAAAGGCACGTCCCTGAGACATCGCTCTGTTAGGTCTGTACTCTCTATCAAGAAAAAAAAAATGTCATCATCAAGAATGAAGACGTAACGTATTCATCAGAGCCTGCCTGGTTTTTATTTTGTGATTCCCTGAAAGCTATCTGCACTCCTAAGCCTGAGTCCATCTTCCCTGTACAAGTGATATCTTGATTGACACATCTCCAAATAAGCTCCTGAATAGCTTTCCGTATTAGCCTCAGAATAATTCAGATGTCAAATTACGGCTCGCAGACTCCCTGACTCCACTCAAGCCCCAGAATGAATTTTTTAAATATTTGGGAGAAAATATTAAATTTTGTTCAGGTTGGGTCAAAGTTCATATCATTTGGTAATAAAGAGCCACAGAGGGTGTTTGCCTGGGGTGGGCTGCGTTGATTTTATTTTGTGCAACAGCTGCAGGTAGAGCTGACCCTTGGTAGGCGGTTTGGAGTCGGCTTGCGTGCCTGCGGCATTTACGCAGTTTGCTGTGGGTTTCCTTTGGACAGAAAAGGGAACGGGGAAAGGAAGAAAGAAAAAAATGCAACGAGTTTTTCTCTCTGTGCAGGATTCCTGGCTGATATCATCTCTAAATATGCAGCCTTAATTGCTCTTCTGCAGCAATAAGGGAAGAAGAGATCTTAGTTACTTGTTCTCATCACTGTTGAAACCGCACTGCTGATTCAGCCTGGATTCTTGTCTTGAAACCCATGCAGCAGCATTCCTCGCAAGCAAGACGGCACAGCAGTGTTTGCCGGGCTGATAATGACCACTTTTCATAGTATTCGTTGGGTGCTCTGTAACGTGAGGCTGAGAAAACTCTCATTATTACCGGCTGTTTGTGCAGCTGTAAATATTTAACCAGGAATGCTACCTGCTTTGTGGAAAGACTTGCTAATTACACCTGCTTCTCTCTATAATTACATATTGTTGTAAAATTCTATGATAATGACACAACTGTGTCTTCCTCTTGCAAAGGGTAAATTTATACCAAGCGCGGCACCTGAATTTCCATAAGCAATTAGCCTACACATTTACATCCCTGTGTTTTCCTGTGATTTTATTGAAATGAAAGATAATGAATTAAATCCAATTATAGCAGGAAGACATCTAGTAACTTGATGTTTGTTTTGAACCGCAGCTTCACTTCATAAGCAAAGTGAGGAGAATTAGGCTGCTGCTTAATATAGTTGAAGCATCCCGATAAATTAAAAATATCACTCTGATAGCAGGGACCCTGACGAGCAGCCCTTATTGGAGACTGGGGTTCCCTTGACAAAATGCTTCTATAAAAGCTGCATATTTCTAGTCTGATGAATGTGAAGTACTGCTTTTGGCTTGTAGCCTGATTATTGGAGGAACATTGCTATAAAAAATAAGTTTCACTAGATGCCGTAATAAAACCCAGGGCTATCATCCATAGTTCACAGGGTTTTTTGAGAGGTGGGTGGGCGGTAGGGCCTTGGAATTCTGGAACTAGGAGATTAATAATATCTGTATTTTATTATTTTAAAACATGGGCATTCCTATTCTTTTGGAAAGCTTGGCTCTCCGGGAGATGCAGAGAAATATAGCCCCTATCTAGGCTACAAAAAAAGCTTCATTTGCTTTAATCAGGAAACTGCATTTTCAAAAGACGTGGACCCAAAATTCTTGAAAAACAAAAACAAAACAAGTGGCACATACGTACGTGTTTCCAAAATGAATGTCTCTAACGTCTTTACTGTTTTTCCTTTTTGCTCTCGTTGCAGTCGTTTCTCTCCAGCCCTCTTTCTCCCTCTGTACAGATGCAAACATCTCAAAATGTCAAATGCAGAGGGGTGACCCATCTTCTCATGACACGGGACAATTTTGCTCTGATCTCTGTGTGATTTCAGACACAAACACTATTCCCAGATTATAGGCTCTCCAGCACAGTTTTCAACCTGGTGATGAATTTACTTACTTTTTAGTGGTCACGACTATTCTAACACTTTGGTAACTATGAGGGTGATGGCGTCGTCATGCCATGCGGGGAGAAGAGCCGCAGCCTGGGCTGGGATGATCAGTGACAGTGACCAGGAGCTGATAGGCTGTCCTGCCTGGCCCGGCCAGGGAACTCTTCTCTTCGATTTCCTCTCAGTGGCTGGGCTGGAGTGTGGCTGCCTAATGGTTTGCTGTCGATACAGTAAAAATGCTAACCTGTCTTTACATATAATCCATTCTGAGAGGGCTCTTTACATAAATGGCCTATTCCATTTCTTCATTTTCAGAAAAGGCAATCAAATAAGATTGAACTGCACAGGCTGTTGGTACAGGATTTGTGTGTGTGCGTGTGTGTGTGTTTAAAAAGCACGTTGATTAATTTGGAGGCACGGCATTTTGTGTTGTCTCTATTTTCTTCCCCCTTCTTTTTAAGGGCTCTGAAAATCAATGCTATGCTTCACTCCCATCCATCTTTATATAGTAATAAATTAAGTGGGAGGTATTGATATTTTTGACTGAGCTTTTAAAATTTACATGCTAATGACAATTAGACCCTTGTGACTGTTGATTTCTGTGGCTGTGTACTCTTTGTGACTTGGGAAATGTCTCGCCTGTTTCGCCTGCTATTCCTGAGTGTCTCAGATCCTAGACTAGCTGGAACTGTAATTCTAACAAGGGATGAGCTCAGAAAAGCTGATCCATCTGCTGTCTTTCTCACTCCCAGGAAGAGGCACTGCAGAGGGTCACGGCATGAGAACCCAGGACAGGCCAAATGACATCAGGCTGGGGCACCCATGAGGATGTGAGCTAGGGGTAGAGTCAAAATATTTAGCCACTGCTGGCACTGACCACCCCCCCACCGCCACCAATCAGCACTGGGGTCGGGGTGCTGGGAGTTCCTGCTGCCTTAGATATTAACCCTTTAGGTGCTGAATTAAGGAAAGGGGAGGAAGTTCTGAGGAAAGGCCAGAGCTGTGGGCAGCAGAGGGCTTGGGGAGGGGGGCGATGACTATGTTTCAACTGGCACAAAGCAGACCAATATTTAATAGTGGTGCAGACTGGGTGAGTTTTACCTCTAGATATGAACCCCCCTCCCCCAACTCCTCCCACACAAACTTAGGGATCTTGGAAGTCACAGGAGTATATGTGCCCTTTATATTCCTTAAGAAAAACTAGAATTTTGCAATCTTGACATTGAGTGCCTTGCTTACCCCAAGCTTCCAAACTACTTCTGCTAAACTTAAGGGTTTGGGCAGCAATGTAGACAATCACTGCCTACTTCTCTCTTGCCTCCTGCCTCCCTCAAGGTAGGTGAAGGGCAGGCATCTTCTCAGCATTTGGCAAAAGTGTTTGTTCTGAAGCCAGGACAGAGCTCTAGCACTGAGGGAGCTAATGGAGCAAGGTCAGGGCCACTGTATGATTTTATTTTATAAAACCAATTCCCTCTGGACAACCTGAGTGCTACCCACAGGTAGATGACCAGAAAAAATAGCTGCAAACTGGTGAAAAGGCCTCAGCTTCATTTAAGCAATTATTCTGGGTACTGGGACAGCCTTGAAGCTAACAACAGTTTATTTGCCGAGATTAATTTATTTGTCAGTAATATTGATTGTCGGGGGCCTGTTTCATTCTACTTAAGATTCCACAAGGCACAGACAGCAGCAACTCGTGCGTTATTTTTCCCTCTAGAATTTCCAGGACGTCGAGGAGACGCTGTGCAGCAAGTTCTGTCAAACTAGATCTTGCCAGGCTGATCCCCAGGGCAAGGTGCGTGGGTTCTGTTTACATTTTGCCAAGGCAGCAAAAAATTGTTTGTTTACACAGAGGGATCTTCCCCCCACCCTCGCTTTTTCTCCCCCAAAGCAGGTCACCCAGCAGTCTGGGCACCTAGTATGCATAGAGAAGCTGATAGAGCATTCTGTGACTTAACCCTGAAATCATTATGCAGGATTATCCAAATATTAAGCCTGCTGAAAGTTGGGCTTTTCTGGTTTCCCGTTGCACGGAGATTGCTCAGTTATATCCAACTGTCCAGGAAGTGCCTGAGCAAGAGTGTCTGCAAAGAAAGGACAGAACAGAGGAGAGGTGTGGAGGAGAACTCACTTTCATCAGAGGATCGACTTTCAGGATGGCCGGGGAGCCCAGAGCATTATTGTATTACACATTGCACTGAAATGCGCCTTGTTCTGCCCCCCCCCCACCCCGCCCCCTCTTTCTTTCTTTTCTTTGAGTGTTTTCGAAATGAAAGAGTTTCTTCTTCCAAATTGCGCTGGGAGGCAAATTCTTGAACGGTGTAATAGAAAATGTTAGACAATATTCCTTACTGGAGCTATTGACATTTTGGATAGTTGTGACACTTTGATTTTTCTCAAAACATATGGATCAAGCCTGGCTGCATTATTGGACAGGAAGTCCTGATGAAAGGCCTGCCTTTATCTTTCTTTTTGTTCCCCCCTCTCTGTTTGCTCATGGCTTTCTCTCTGAATATAATCGTGGATTTCTTAAGCTGTCCGGGGAGTCGTTATTGCCTTACTAAATATTTCATGGTGCACAGCACACCGTACCTGCCAAATGCCTCTTATTTGTTGTCAAAAATAAAGGGTTCGTCCTTCGGAGGGGGAAAGAAAAAAGATAGAAGGTTTCTTCTATTGTTTTTATTTTCAAGTTTCTCGTATGCGCCAAATGCACAGAAACGCTGGAAGCCTAGGAGGGTGTGCCTTTTTATTTGCCGGGGAAAAGGCTGGCCACTTATTTATTTGTGGCTTATTTATTTATTTGCTGCACGCTTTTTTCTATGATTCCCAGCACTTGTTTCCTTGCAGTTTCCCTTCCTATTTGTTCAGAAGGGAAAAGTTCAAAGCGGCTCTGTCAGCAGAGGGAAAAGCTTTGCTGAATACTAACCCTCCAGCGCCCGCCTGCGCTGACCTTGAGCAGCGGTAAACGGTCCCATCGCAAACCGGCATGTGTGTTTGGTTAGGCCAGGTCGGCAGGGGTCAGGGCTCACCTGAGGCCAGCGGTGCGGGGCCGACCTGCCTGAGCGAGGAGTAATGCATTTTTAAAAGGGACATTCTCGCCTTCGAATGGGCCTAATATGGTCTCTGTTTAAAAACCTGTCAGAATCCCAAGCACACACTCCATAAAATATAAATAAGTACTTACTGTTTGCAGATGTTGCTTGTTTTTCATAATGTTTGTATTTGAAGTTTCGAATCCTCACTTCCTGTCAGCCTCCCTCGTGCCTCCCCCTCCTGCGTCTCTAGGAACAAGGGGGAACTTCAGATGGCAATTTCTCAATGAAGACACTTTCTGTCAAATCTGTCAGCGTCCTTAGCACAATTAGCATTCTCTTTTTCTTTCTTTTTCTTCTCTCCCTCTCTCTCACTCTAACACAGAGGTTTATTTCTCACCACGGCTTTACCTGTGCCGGGGGAGAGCCACCTCTCGTGTTAGTGGCATTTGAAAGAGGCTTAAGTCTCAGCGAAGTGTGATTTTCTAGGCCCTGAAAAGCGATGCTTTAACTCGAGAGGCCTGTGATCTGCACACTTAGATTTATTGGAAAGAATTAGGAAGGGGACCACGGGGAGCCTCCGACACCATTCCTGGGGACATTCATAGATGAGGTCTCATACATCTTTGCCACCTCCACCCTGGGAGCCCTGTTGATAATCCATGGTGTAGGTGTCTGATTAATTTCGATGTGCCTTTGGCTGCATTGGGCCATTGGGCCCCTGTCTCTGACCTACGATTCCTAAGCTAGGCAGTGGTCTTCCCCCTGTCTCCGCCACTCAGCCTGTGACTCACTCCACAGCTCCAATCTGTCTCCAAAGAGGATCATCTGGGGGCCTGGTGGAGAGCCTCATCTCTTTCTGTGTGTCTGGTTTAACTTCTTCCGCCACTCCTTGGCTTCCTTCTTGGTTACTATCTTCTGCCTCGATGGGGACGGTGCGGGATGGCTGGATGGGGCCACATCTTTTTGCATGACAAAGTCAGCAGGTCATTTATTCCAGCGTTCCCGTTGGACGATGCGTGGAGAGGACTGTGGAAGTCGGTATTTGTTCCGCAGCCCTCCCACCATCCGCCCGAACATTTTAATAACGCGCTCTCTAGAGCACCCGCCACAGGATGCGTCAGCTCTCCCTGCAAACCTGTGTACTTGCTGACATCGGCAGTTTATGCTTGTATTTTTAAAATATGCTTATTTCGTACTGCTTATGCAGTCCTCCAGCTAAAAAGGCCAGCACAGCCCTTGTTTCTTAGCCCTTGCCACTTCGAAAGTGGTGAGTGATGCTATTCAGGTGCTGGGTTCGCTAGACACCCAAACTCCAGCATTACGCAGTACGCCCATGTAACGAACCTGCCCATGCACCCTCTGAATCTATTTTTAAAAAGTGGTGGATTACAGGGGCCCATGTGAGGGCCCGCTCTCTCTGTGAAGCTCTTATTACTTAGTTGTCCTGTTTTGAAGCCAATGGTCACCAAGAACCTCAAGAACTTAGACGACTGCCAAGAATCAGACTCCTCTTCGCCCACTGTAGCCAGGAGATTCATGACAAATGTTATTCTCTTGCAATTTGCCATAATACCTATTATTTAAAAAAAAAAAGAAAGAAAGAAAGAAAGAAAAAGAGACACACACCAAGCCCTCCCTCATTTCTAGGCAGTTTTGGGAGGATCTGATTATAAACACATGCCCAGGACGGCATGTCTGCATGCCTGAATCAGGTCAGTGGAGTTTGCTTCTTCTTTAAAGCACAGAAACCATAAATCAAGATGAAAATCCGTCATCCCAAAAGCCTTACCAATTGATACAATTTGAAAATGGGCAGCTGGAGAGGCTGGAGAGAAAGCTGACATGATGACTTTTATAATAGCAGAACGTTTAAGGTTATAGAAATAAAAGGAAGAGGATGAAATCAGGCCCGTTGATCTCTGCCTGCAGGCTCTCTCAGCTCACTGGAAGCTCCAGCAATTATTTCTGCTCCGGTTTTCCCCTCCTTTTTTTCCAGCAGACTGTTTGAAATGAAGCAGAACCAGGCATGGCAGGCTTATCAGTGTCGTTAGCTGACAGGGCGCCCAGCACACCTGCTTTTACTTGCTGCCGTTTCAGGCACTAATGCCACAGAGAATGTTGCTTGGGCCCTTATAATGTGTAAAGATTCATTTATTTCACCTTTTGAACCTGCCTGACCCCGTGGGCTTGTGTTGGGGAGGGGGTGGAGGGCTGCAGAGGGCTTTTTTCCTGGCACTTAGAAGAAGCTGGCAATTAGGGGTCTGGCCCTGGGGCTGTTGCTATGATAGAGGCTTAAAAGAGAGGTAGGAGCTCAGCCAGGGAGGCGCTGGGAGCTGGGACTGGGGGCTGGTGCAGGGCAGAACTCCCTCGGCCACTGCTTCCCTGACTCCACTGTGTCCCGTGTGCAGAGCTGTTTAGAGACCCAGGCACCCTGACTTTTGGAGACCCTACCCCATATCATCACATCATCACAGGAGTTAAAATGCATCCACCTCTCATTTTCACTGCGATTGATGAAAAGATTTTTAAAAACCATTTTACCTTTGAAACAATTTGGCTGTGAGTAACTCATTTCGTTGATGATGGCTGAGTTTTCTTGGCAATCATTGTGTGAACTTCAGAATTCCTGCAAAGTGGACACTATCTACCCTTCAATTGTTTTTAATATAATGAGATTTTTAATAAATATTAAATTTAGCCACTAATAAAGTTGATATAGTATTAAGTTTTGCACACATTTAGACATTCAATTACACACCAATTGATTTCAAGTTTATAGCTTGGAGCCAAATATATATATATATATATATATATATATATATATATATATATATATATCTCAAACATTTTTAATAGGCCACTGGAAAGGAACTGTAGCCAGATATCTGATACCTCAGGTGCCTAATGGTACCTTTTTTCCCCTTGCCTTATTTTGATAAGGGTTTGCTTCAAATATTTTCCCTTCTATAAGTTTTAGTTTAAGGTCTTAGTTTCCTTGGAATATAAAAAGTAGTTTTTACTGGTGGACATTAAACTCTTTCAAGCCTTTGGTTTTAGTTCCTTCAGTTTCTTTTCTTTTCTTTTCTTTTTTTTGAGACAGGGTCTCACTCTGTCACCCAACCTCCCAGGCTCAAGTGATTCTCCGGCCTCAGTTTCTCAAGTAGCTGGGACTACAGATGCACACCACCATGCCCAGCTAATTTTTGTATTTTTTGTAGAGATGGGGTTTCACAACATTGCCCAGGCTGGTCTTGAACTTCTGGGCTCAAGTGATCTGCCTGCCTCAGCCTCCCAAATTGCTGGGACTACAGGCCTGGACCACTGCACCCAGACAGTTTCTTCAATGTCATACGTCATGACTAGTACTGGAAAGAGGGGGTCATATTCCTCAACCTCAGCCTGGAAATCTGGAACTTCCTTCATTTCTTAATTTTCCTTCTTTTAAAGAAGTTTACTATATTGGGCTTCTGTTGTTTATGCCTCATTAGCATGTTCTCCTGTTCTTCTGTGAATAGAACTCAGATTTCCCTTGGGAAAGCCATTCTTCCTCACTGGTTCAGTCCCTTTGTCTCTAGGAATGGGCACTTGACTCGGGCCTGGCCAAAGGAAGCATCTTATTGCCCGGGCCACGGTTATTGGTTCAGTGACTTCTATACCTATTTGGGAAAAGGAATTTTCTTTTTATACAGAGATTATTAGTTTATAGAGCTTCTAAGAGAAACACCAGGTAGAAAGACCCTGCCTGACAAGTAAGTCAATGCAGAGAAAAACAAAGTGGTTGAGAGAGAGAGAAGCTAAATCTTAATAAATATCATGAGGGCCCCTGGATTCAGCCATGCCCAAAGCCGTAAACTCATACCACCTCTAATATACTCAGTCACATGAATACTTTGCTTAAGCCAGCTTGACTTGAGTTGCTGTCACTTGCAACCAAAAGCATCCTGACAAACACATACTCTGGTATCACTGAGGGGCAAGTCCTACTAGAGAGATTTCATTTCAGCTGTTCTGTTAAGAAACAATTTGAATTAGAATGTGGGAATGGTGGGTGTAGGAGTGATGAGAAGGAGACCAAGGTTAATAGCAAGGAGGATAATGTCATGGAGAGCGTCCCATGCACCAAGCACTGTGTTCATGTTTCCCAGCAACTCTCAGAGGTTTATTATCCCCACTTTACAAATAGAAAACTGAGGTCCAAAGTTACTTAGCTCATAAGAATACAGCCTAATTGGCTTCAGATTTATCTGATCCTAAAGTGGAGCCCATTGACACCTAGACCAAAAGGTTGGGGTTCACATCTTAATCCTTAGGGCACAAGGACCTGGAGACTCAGAGCCTAATGTTGGTCCTATGGTCTTGGGTTAGATGTTCCATAAAGTTTTTTGTATCCATTACCTCACTTTGTTCTCTCTGCAACCTGTATGGACTTTGAACCATGAAAAATTCCATTCCTTTTAGTTCTGAAAAATTTTATGCAATAGTAGTTAGAAGCTCTTACTACAATGCAAATTCCAGTTAATATTTAGGTAATCAGACTGCCTGGAATGTGTGAGGGGAGGTTGGGGAGGATGGGGGGTGGAAGTAGCTATCAAAGGAAAACAAACTTTCCTCTGTCACAATTATTGCAAGATTTGGGCCTGTCAAAGAAAAACAGGCCTATGTGTGATACAAAAAAGGTAAGGGTCTGGAATAAGTGGGTTTTGGATTATTTCTGCCAGTTTTGTGTCTCGATGTGAGTAAATTTTATGTACATTCCTCCCTTTTCTCTCCTCCATCGTCCCAGCTGTCCTTCTGCTGGGTCTCATGCCTCATCAAAGTGAAAGGATCTCAAAACCTATTTCAGGAGGTACTTTATTAAAACAGATGGATTGGGTTTCTGGGTTCCTCTCTTGCCAAACTCCGAAGAAAACCCCACCAAATCTTTGATCTTGCAGTGTGTACAGGTATATGTGCAATTAACTCCTGTTTCCCAAACTACCCAATGAGGCAGGTACTAAAAGGAGGGTCCCAAATAAGAGTAACAACAATCCCCTGCCCTAAGTATGCTTCTCCTGGTTCTGCGGACTCTCGAGCCTGTCTTATTGTTTCTGAGACAAGGTCTTGCTCTGTTGCCCAGGCTGGAGTGCAGTGGCATGATCATGGCTCACTGCAGCCTTGATTTCCTGGGTGCAAGTGATCGTCCTGCCTCGGCCTTCTGAGTAGCTGGGACTACAGACATGAGCCACCATGCTTAGCTCATTTTTTAGTTTTTGTAGAGACAGGGTCTTGCTATGTTGCCCAGGCTGGCCTCAAACTCCTTAATTCAAATGATCCGACTGCCTCAGCCCCACAAAGCACTGGGATTACAAGCAGGAGCCATGATACCCTGCCAAGAATTCCCTCCAACTTCTTCTTCTTCTTTTTTTTTTTTTTTGGAGGGCGACGGAGTCTCGCTCTGTTGCCAGGCTGGAGTGCAGTGGGGGCAATCTCAGCTCACTGCACCTCCACCTCCCAGTTCAAGCAATTCTCCTGCCTCAGCCTCCTGAGTAGCTAGGACTACAGGCGTGCACCACCACCCTCAGCTAATTTTTGTATTTTTAGTAGAGATGAGGTTTCATCATGTTGGCCAGGATGGTCTCGATCTCTTGACCTTGTGATCCACCCGCCTTGGCCTCCCAGTGTTGGGATTACAGGCATGAGCCACCGTATCTGGCCATTCCCTCCAACTTCTTAAACTCATTCCAACTCATGCTGGGAGGTGTCTCCTCTGTACATACTCCCCAGTCTTCTCAGCTACCATCAAGAGGCCATCATTTTTCTTGTTTCCCACCCTCAATTGTTTTGCAGCCACTGCTGCTGCTGAAACCACCCCATGAAGTCCTCTCCCATTTCTCCACCTGGTACGTGTCCTCTTCTGTCTTCTGAATCCATTTACTGCTCTAATATTAGATCCTTCCTGTACCCCCTCACTCTGTGCATCAGTTACAGAACAGGTCTGACTTGTGCTCTCAGTATTTTACAGAGATACCAGTGAACCAGCTCTTCGCTTTTAATTGCTCTTTCTTTTGGCTTCTTCTTCCTAGAAGAAGAAGAGTCCTGGGCTGGGCAGGCTGGCAATCTGAGCAGTAGACCATCCTCTTCTCTCACACCAGCCCACTGTCCTAGCACTGCAGGTCCACAGCTGACTTGTCACTTCCTATAGGATGAATGCTTTCCCAGGAAGTCTTAGGGCTCAGTGCAATTTACCCTCCCTGCTCTGCTGGACTCATGTTGGGTTTTCTTTCTTTCTGCTTTTTTTTTTTGAAACTGAGTTTCCCTCTTGTTGCCCAGGCTGGAGGGCAATGGCGTGATCTTGGCTCACTGCAACCTCTGCCTCCCAGGTTCAAGCGATTCTCCTCTCTCAGCCTCCCGAGTAGCTAGGATTACAGGTGTATGCCACCACGCCTGGCTACTTTTTTGTATTTGTAGTAGAGATGGGGTTTCACCATGTTGGCCAGGTTGGTCTTGAACTTCTGACCTCAGATGATCCACCTGCCTCAGCCTCCCAAAGTGCTGGGATTACAGGCGTGAACCACCGTGCCTGGCTCATGTTGGGTGTTCTAACTGAGGGCATCAGTATTCTAGATATTGGAGCCCCCTTGAAACTCCAAAGCATCTATGCCAGAAAAGAGCCTGTTCCTCAAACATAAAATGAACTCCTTTGTCATTCTCAAAGCTAATGATTTTAAGGGTTTAGCATCTTTTGTGAATGCATGACTTTCCAATGGTTCTGTTTTTCTACTCTTGATGGCAAAATATTACTGGATTTGTGATAAGATTTGTTCTGTTGTTTAAAGAAGCAAATACCAAGTGGAACTATTATATCAGTTGAATTCTATCTGAATCCCTTCCCTGGTGGAATTTCATTCTTGCAGACATTGCACAGTTCAAAGTTCATAGACTTGAAACATGAAGATTCTTCTAGAAGGAAATATCTCAGCTCATAGTCCTCGAAAGTGAGTAGAGCTTCACAGAATCTGGGTATGTACACGGCTGCACTGAGAATTAACACATATCAGGCCTTGCTATTGTGAAATAGCTGTGGCGGGTAATGACCATCATTCATTCTATTTTATTAGTTTTTAAATGTGATTCCATTTTGGCTTTGGCAGAGGTGAGGGAACTGACTTGTATTTTCTCTTTATGCTTGATATCCAAAAGCCCCTTTGGGGAAAATGACACTAGCTAAAATCACGTAAATTAAAGAGGAAATTTGCTAAGACACCTTGACAAACTCAAAAATGAAAATACTGAGCTTTAACTCTTTGGTCATCCTGATTCTTGACTCTTACACTCATAATTAGTGAAGGAGGTGTGGAGAGGGCATGGAGCCGGTGTATTCTTTGTATGAGTGGCTTTTTTACACGCAAGTGAAATGATGGTTAAGGTTTAGTGTCCATAAGCAGAAAAGCTAAGCCTGGCATCGCAGATACTTTAGAATAGGAAGCAACTGAATGATGAAACTTCAACTGAACCTAAAAATCCTCCTTAGATCTGTTAAAGTACCTACAATTATGAGATAGGGCACTCAGTGAGGCCAAGTAGTTGGGGGTATTCCCAGGGAAAGAACCCATTCGTTTTTTTCTTTATTTTTAGATGGAGTCTCTCTCTGTCACCCAGGCTAGAGTGCAGTAGCTTGATCTTGGCTCACTGCAACCTCCGCCTCCCAGGTTCAAGCGATTCTCCTGCCTTAGCCTCCCAAGTAGCTAGGATTATGGGTGCACGCCACCACGTCCGGCTAATTTTTTGTATTCGTAGTAGAGATGGGGGTTTCACCATGTTGGCCAGGCTGGTCTCGAACTCCTGACCTCAGGTGATCCACCTGCTTTGGCCTCCCAAAGTGCTGGGATTACAGGCGTGAGCCACCTTGCCCGGACGGAAAGAACCCATTCTAAGTGAGGACTTAAGAAGAGACATTTGGTGCTGAGACAGGAGAAAGCATGGATTAATTGGAAGCACTATGAGTTCAGATCTCATCTGACACTTACTAGGTATGTGACTAATTTTAAAATAGATTGTTTTATCTCTTATTACAAAAGTTTTATAGTTTTTTATAAAAGCGAAAGAAGGGAAAAACACATCCTCAATCTCATACAGAAAACAATTTACTCTTAATTCTTTCATGATTTTCTTTCTAAATCCTCTTTCATGTACAAACTACCTACTCATTACAAAAATAAGATTGTACATGGCATTTAGTAACCCTCTCTTTTATCTTATATATTCTGTACATTGCCGACATCATTTCTGATGGCTGCACAATGTCCCATCTTATATATATGTTTTAATTTGATCAATTCTTCTATTGTCGAACACATAGGTTGTTCTAACTCTTCACAATTACAAAATGGCTGTGATAAATAATTGTAGGTAACTGTTCACCCAAGTTCAAGATTGTAGTATTTTCTTAAGAAAAAAATTCCCCAGAAGTCATATTTCTAGATGCATGAGCACATTATAATTTTCCTACTTGGAGTTTGTTGAGATTTTTGAACATATACATCCATGTTTTTCATCACATTTGGGAAGATTTTGGCCATTATTTCTTCAGATAATCTCTCTGCCTCTTTCTCCCTCTCTCTCTCCCTTCTCTCTAGGGCTCCCATAATGCATATATTAATCTGCTTAATGGTGAGCCGTAGTCCCTTAGGCTCTTTCACTTTTCTTCATTCTTTTTTCTTCTCAGACTTGATAATTTTAAATGACTTCTCATTAAGGTCACGGATTCTTTCTTCTGCCTGTTTGAGTCTGCTCTTGAGTGAATTTTTCAACTCAGTTATTGTTTGTCACCTTAACAATTTATTTGGTTGTTTTTGTTATTTATAATTTATATCTCTTTGTTGGTAATTCTGAATTTGTTCATATATTGTTTTCCTGATTTTCTTTAGTTCTTTGTGTTTTCTTTGAGCATGTTTAAGGTACTTGTTTTAAAGTCTTCACCTGCTAAGTCTGATACCTGTGTTTCTCAGGGACTGTTCCTGAAGATTTACTTTGTTCTTTTGAATGGGCTATGTTTTCCTGTTTCTTTGTATGCTTTGTGATCTTTTGTTGAAAATTGGGCATTCAAAAAAATCAGCTACCTCTCTCAGTCTTTGGAGATTTGTGGATAAGGCCTTCACTAATTAGCAGGACATGTTCTGAGCTTTGGAATCAGCCTAGCATAAAGGCTTAAAGTCTTCCAAGGCCTTTTCTGAATATATGTCTTACCTAGGCCTGCATGTGTGATTTTTTTCCCGCAATCTCCTGTATACATGGTTGCTTTTAAATATCTTAATTTTCCCAAGAGTCTCACCTGTTTCTTCTCTGGGCCTTAGCTATTTTATTAGACTTATCCATCAGTCATCTTTGTCTCAGTTGTCTGCAGGCCCCGCTTGCTCCCTTGCTGTTTTCATGAGCCATTCTAGCTACTTCCTGCAGCCCCTTCTAGCCTGAGGTCCAGGTTGTACCGTTGTTGGCTTTCTGAGCTCCAAATTAGGTGATACAGACACCGATCCCTCAGGCAGCCCCCAGATGGGTTAGACCATTGCAAATTAGATCCACTCTGCTCTCTCTGGTTTAAAGTCAGGAACTGGGGATTAAGGTGTCATTTCTCTCAAACCATGCCATGCCACACTAGAGAGGCGGTAAGGAAAGAATGAGTAAAAACACCATGACATTTCCTTCCATCTGAATGTAGATTTTTCTTGATTCGGCATTTGCTTGGTTGTTGTAGATTTTTGTTCATTTCCAGAACTCCTATAAAGTTATTGTAGCCAATCTCTAATTGTTTAATGTTGCCATGTAAGAATAAGTGCCTGGAGGTTGCAAGTCTGCCATCTTGCCAATGTCATTCCTGAGCATACGTATTTTTAAGGTTCTTGATAAAATAAGAAGTTTTGAGGACTGTAAGAATCCTGTATCCTTTGAACTAGCATTTGCCAAAGTTTGGAACACAAATTTCTCAAGATGCTCTGGAAAAGAGGTGGGGAGGAGGAGGGTTTCCTAGTAAAACAAGCTTGGGATTTACAGTAGACTATGTTCCCCTCTGTGATACTGCCTGTGGACAGAGGCATATCGAAAGCTCTGGAAAGTCCTGCAATAAAGAAACCCATTCGATTCTATTAAAGCCAGTATTCTCAGACTTGATTGATCATAAAGTACTTTTGTTTTCCAAAGGATCAATCTCCTCCAGAACTTATGTTTCTGAATAAAATGTGGGAAATGCTGCTTAAAGCTTACTGAGAACTCATGAGGGCTCCTAATTTTCATGTAGCCAAGCTGAAACAAATTTCGTGATGTTTTCCCAAATAGTCAAGGGGCTAGAGCAAAGCCATAGTGAAACCCAGGTCTAAAATCCTCGTGAGTGCAGCTTGCAGCCCTGCTTCATTCATTTCACCTGTTTCTAGAAGCCCCTAACCCCCAGTTTCCAGGAAAGGAAGATGTTTCAGACAAGGCAGGATTAGACAACACCAGACTTATGACAATGACTTCTTCTGGAACGTGTAAAGAGATTGTCTCAAATATAACATCTGTGTTCTTAGAAAACATTACACTATTTTCTCATTGACTTTTGTGTTTTGATACCAAAAAAAGGATTCTCAGGCAATTGTTTTTGGTTTTTTGATATTGTGTGTGTTTGTGTGTGTGTGTTTTAGGCATTAGCTTGCTTCACGGTCTGCACAAATCAGATTCCATGGGTCAGTTTCAGTCCCCGGCATGGGCTTATCATCTTCAACACCTGCCACCAGATCTGTTTGTCTTCTACTTTGGACTCTCATGAGACTTGCTATATTGTATGAATTTCACTTTCTTAATTTTGATGAGAGCCAATGACATTTTCTTTCATTGTTTGGTGTATCTGTGTCTTTTCTCCTCAATTAAGGGAATAGAATGCTCAAAGACAGTTTACTTAGCCAGGAAAACAGAAGTCATTCTATGTACTCAAGGTATGGAGGCTTTAATGTTGGGATTCGAGGGATGCACAACGATTGGAAGAGCTGGGAGAATGAAAGTGAGATCCTCAGCCTGAAGCACTTAAGTGAGTGATTCTCCAACAGCTTGCTAGGAAGGCTGGGCAATTCTCAAGAAAGTCTGGGAAGCTCCTAACACCTCCTTCTACAGCACCAAAGTGAGTTATTCTCAAAGTTCTTCAGAAAGCTGCTGAAAACCTCCTGTCATCTTATGCACTTGGCTATAACTGCCTTCAAAGAAAAATGGCACCTTCTCTTTCACTTTCCCAATATCACACCTGTGCTTCTCATAGGCAAATTCTAACCTAGAGCCACATGGGGAAGAGGCTTCTGGGAAATGTAGCTCCTAGCTGCTCCCTGCTACAGGGAGAAGGAGACCCTTCTCTTGGAAGGAGAATGTGGTGATGGTGAGTTAACAACAGACAGCAATAGTGGAGCTAAAAACCACTCTTGGCACAATAATTGGCACTAACTAATTACCTGATGGAAATGAATGGGTGGAAGTCAAATCATTGTAGGTGTAGTTGGCCAGTTAGATCACTCTATCTAAACATCGCTGTCTTGATTGATGTCTTAACTTATATTTGAGCACTATATTATTATTTACTTAATTCTTTTAATCTAAATCTTTACTCTTTTATTTAAATAAATTATTTCAAGAAACTTTATGTCCATTCCACAAATGAAAAAGCAGTATTATTTTTGGCAGAGAAAAGATACCTGTTTTACAAAATGAAAACCAAACGATGCTGTAATTTCCCACTAAATACTGTTGCTCTCACCCAATCCTATCCCCTCACCATCACAATGCCCCACCAACTCCCATTTTGACTGGAGTAGGTTTGTTTTTATGTGATTTATAGCCTAGGGGTTTCCTCCTCAGCTAAAAATCATCCTGCTGTTGACCAGTAACTAAAAATATCAGAGACCCAATCACATTGATACATTTGAAGGTGCTTTAATGAGGTGAAAGCAATGAAACTTCTAGCTGGAGCTTCGTTTGACTGGAAGGCCACCATCTCACTTGAAGTAGATGAAGAAAGTGACTCCATGCTGTTCTGAAAAAGGAGATCTAGGGCGAGTGCGGTGGCTCGCGCTTGTAATCCCAGCACTTTGGGAGGCTGAGGTGGGCAGATCACCTGAGGTCAGGAGTTTGAGACCAGCCTGGCCAACATGGTGAAACCCTGTGTCTACTAAAAGTACAAAAATTAGCCAGGTGTGGTGGTGCACGCTGGTAGTCCCAGCTACTTGGGAGGCTGAGGCAGGAGAATCGCTTGAACCCAGGAGGTGGACATTGCAGCAAGCTGAGATTGCACCACTGTACTCCAGCCTGGGTGACAGAGTCTCTGTCTCAAACAAAAACAGAAAAACCAGGAGATCCACCTTGTGTAGCATCCTCCATGCACAGGTCTTGGGATCTTTTAGGGGAAAGATTTTACAAAAAAAACCACAACAATCTGTCAATGGGAATTTTCCATTTAAGTGAAGTCACAGCTGTTATGGCATTTCAGAATGGCCAATATGGCCAGCCCATTACTCTCATGATGGCTGTGGGTGGGCAGGGAGGGTGTGATACCCTACACTTGGGCTGGGGAACTTCCTTACCACCCTTGCTTCATACAAACTTGGAAAGGTAAAGCAATGTATCCAGTTTGTACAGGTAGCCAAGGGCAGAGCTGGGATGGGAACTCAGGCTGGTCTAACCACTGTACCACGTGGGCTCTTGTTGAAGGATTCCAGGAGGCAGCGACCATGCTTTGTGGGGTCAGCTCAACTGGAGTGAAGAACACGAAAGGCGAGAACTTCTGGAGCTCTGTGATACACTTCAGGGCATTGAGCAAAGCTGAAAGACTGTGACCTAGATTTGTCAGCCTCTGAAATTGTGCTTTATAAACTGGTTTTAGGAGATACTCTTTGCTCCTGGTGGAATTTAAGCTCCAAGACCTATTCGGCAACTTGTTTCTTCTCAAATAGCTCTAGTTCAGGAATCCTTGCTCCTCAGATAACTCCCAAGTCTGCATTTGTTGTGGTCACTCACTTCTTCTCAGGGAGTTCTCAGGAGAGAAGAGACCCAGGCCACAGACAGGGACAGAGGTGTAGTCTGTGAGTCACCTGGCATGGAGACGAACAGGCAGGTGATGGAGCTGGTGCTGGCTGACACACTGGAATCTGCCTTTGCGTACACAAAGGAGTCTTTGCTTCTAGAGCCCATGACTGGCTTCCAGTGTCCTTTCCCCTCAGTGATATTGTTATTTGAGCTGAAGCTTTAAGTAATGAAATTTACAAACATAGATGAGGAGGCTACTGTGTTCCAGGCACAAGAATAGGGGCATCAGTATGTATTTCTTTGGCCAATGATGATAATAGCCATAAGAGGATAACATACCCATTAACATGGTTATCATCCAAACAAAACAAAACACAACAGAAAATAAAAAGTGTTGGCAAGGATGTGGAGAAATGGGAACCCTTGTCCATTGCTAGTGGGAATGCAAAATGTGGTGGCCACTGTGGAAAACATTATGGCCATTACTCAAAAAATTAAACATAGAATTACCATGTGATCCAGCAATTCCACTTTTAGGTATATCCCTAGAAGAATCGAAAGTAAGGACTGAAACCTACATTTGTACGCCAGTGTTTATAGCAGCATTATTCACAATAGCCAATAGGTAGAAGCAACCCAAATGGCTATCAATGAATGAATAAACAATATGTGACATATACATATAATGAAATATGATTCAGCCTTAAAGGGAATGAAATTCTGATACATGCTACAACATGGATGAACCTTGGAAACCTTATGCTAAGTGAAACGAGCCAGACATAAAAGGACAAATACTATGATTCCACTTATACGAGGTACACAGGACAGTCAAATTCAGAGAGAAAGACAACAGCATGGTAGTCCCCATGGACTGGGGGTGGGGAAAAGGGGAGTTGTAGTTTGGTGGGTATACATTTTCAATACGGGAAAATAAAAGTTTTAGAGTTACTTTTGGAGACAGATCACGTTGCACAACAATGTGAATGTGTTTAATGCTACTGAATTGTACACTCAGAAACGATGAAAATGGTAAATTTTATGTTATGCATATTTTACCACTATTTTAAAAAAGTTATTTACTCTTTTTATAATTGACGAAACAGGCTCTGAGAAAGGGAGACAGCATAAAAGTTTAACCTTTTGAAGTCTGGGCATGTCTTCCTTGTCTCTTTGCTTAGTCCCTTATCTAAGAACTTCTTCAAAAAGCATTTATGGATTATCTTATAAATGCAAAACACACTCACCCACACTATGTGCTGGGGGCTGGGAGAGCCTGGAGGACTCACATTTAGCAGGGGATGTGTTAGAGAGTGGGGGAGAATGGGGAATGAAGACCTGGGTATGATGGTACCTCGGAAGGCAGAATGTCATCAGGGCTGAGGAAGGTGGAAAGAGGGGTTGGGAAAGGCAGGGAAGTGGAGAATAACTTCTAGGTGGGGAGGCAAGGAGATCCAGAAGCACTTTACAGAAAGAGTGGGCAGGATGTTCTAAGAGGAGTTAGGGATTCCAGGAGGAGGATACAGTGTTAACATGGCAACAAGAATGAGAATATGAACAGTGCTTACTCCATACCAAGTGGTGTTCTCAGCACTTGATACGCATTATCTCCTTTTATCCTCATAACCTCTCAGAGAGGCAGGAATTTTTATTATTCTCATTTTACAAAGGAGGAAAGAGAAGCCCAGAAAGGTTAAGACACCTGTCAAAGGTCACACAGCTAGTTTTAGCAAACATGCAGTTGGGTGGGTGGTGTTCAGGGATCTTTAAGTCATTGAGTTCAGCAGGAACATGGGATGATAGAAGGGAAGTGGTAGAAACAATACAGGAAGTTATTAGAGTCATATCCTCTTAAATCTTCAGTGCAGAATGATAGGGTGGACAGTGTTTTAATAATTGAATTAACCAGCCAGACGCAGTGGCTCATGCCTGTAATCCCAGCGCTTTGGGAGGCTGGGGCAGGAGGATCACTTGAGGCCAGGAGTTAGAGATCAGCCTGGGCAAAATACTGAGATGCCATCTCTACAAAAAAATTAAGAAAAAAATTAGCTGGGTGTGGTAGCACATGCCTGAGGCCCTAGCTATTCAGGAGGCTGAGGCAGGTTGGTTGCTTGAGCCTGGGAGCACAAGGCTGCAGTACGCAGTGATTGCGCCACTGCACTCCAGCCTGGGCAACAGAGCAAAACCCTGTCTCAAGAAAGGAACCTGTCAAAGGTCACACAACTGGCTTTAACAAACATGCTGCTGGGGTAGGGACTGACCTCCGTTTTCAGGGATCTTTAGATCACTGAGCTTAGAAGAACATAGGATGATGGAAGGGAAGTGGTAGAAACAAGACAAGAAGGTATTAGAGCCAGATTCTCTTGGATCTTCAATGCAGGATGATAGGTTAGATACTGTTTTAATAACTGAATGAACCAAATTACACTCTCTTCTGTTCCGAAAGGAGTTAGGGAAGGAGTAGCAAGTGAGAATCTTCATGGAACAGGTGAGGGAATGGGAGGCCAGTGGCTAGGAGAATGAGGGTTTAGAGTCAGGAATGGTGGTGTTCAGTGCTGCTGATTATGAATATTCACCACATAATATCAGGAGGTGGGGCTCACTGGGGCCATCTTGAAGGTAGTAGCCAGCTTTCAAGATGGCACCAGTGAGTGCCACCTCTTGATATTCATGCCTTTAAGGACATCCCTCTCATACTGAACAGAGATGATGTGTGTAGCCAATAGGATATGGGGCAAATGATGGCATACAACTTCCAAGGCCAGGGCATACAAGGCATTGTGGCTTCTGTCTCGCCTCCACTTGGATCACTTGCTCTGGAGGCAGCTGGCTGCCATGTTGTAAGGACACTCAAGCAGCCCTATGTAGAATTCCACCTGGAGAGGAATTGGGGCATCCTGCCCACAAACATGGAAGTTAGCCACCTTGGAAATGGATTCTCCATCCCCAGTTGAGCCTTCAGGTGACTGCAACCCCACTGACATCATGACTACAACCTCATGAGAAAGCCCGGGACTTACATCACTCCAAATTCCCGCTCTCAAATTCCTGACCTAGAGAAATAGTGTGAGATAGTTACATGTTGACTGTTTGTTTAAGCCACTGCATTTGGGGCTTAAAAATTACCCCAAGGTAATTTTTTATATAATTCAGATGAAATAAATAGCTACTGTAATAGCCAAAATGACTCCTTCTTTGGCCTCTGTCTAGACAATAATGTTTCTTTCAGAATGAAAAAAATGCATGGGTCATTAGTACCTGAACTTTAAGCTTAAGGAATATTTCATTCTAGCAAGGAGTAGAGGAAGCTCACAGAATAATTTCTACATGCTGACACTCCTGATACTGTACTCTACACTTCTTTAACTCATGGTTTCTCACCCTGGGCTGCCAACTGCCTCACACAGATGTGGCTGTGCTCTCTGGCTGAAGGAAACCTTCAAGGGCCAGAGGAAGGCATCCATGGAGAAAGGATAACATATAATGCTGGATAGAGATGGGATAGCAAAGAAATTCCTTTCTTTTCCAGAACTGCAGGTGCATTCCCACCAGGATCCGTTAGTCTGCCTGCCTGGCCGGCCCCTGTCACTGGCCGGCCCATGAGCTCCTTGGGGGTAGGGGCTGAGCCTCATTTTCTTTATGATTCCAGACCCTGCTGTGTTGTTTAATCTTGGGTGGTATATGACCGTGGACTCAACCAGACCCTGGTGATGGACCCTGGTTTCCAATTGTTTTGCTGTTATGAAGAATGCTGCTAAGAACGTCCACTGAAAAGTTTTGTGTAGTGTATCCATAGTGTAAAATCCTGTCAATAGACATCTACATAGGGTGCTCTAGTTCTTCACTTTCTGAATTTGAGGAGATACCCCTTAGGGCAGGAGACGCAGGAGTCGTAAGGGGAGGGCAGCAGGAAGATAGACCCCTCCTCCAGAGGAGGACAATCGTGCCCTGAGGCAGGGGGATGGCAGAGAGGCTTCCTGGAGTTCCTTCCTCATTGCCAGTGGGTCTCGTTTTAAGTAAACAAAGGCTGTTGGGAGAGGGTGGAGCCAGGTGGAGGGGCCCATGTGGCTTGGGCAAGACTGCCAGCCGCACGCCATTGCCAATCCTGGCTCTAGGGGGTGTGCGGTGGATGCCAGCCTTCAGCCCTCCTCTTGGTCCTCTGCTTCCGGCCTTTCCCTCTGCAGTGCCCCCGAGCGGCCTGATGGTGTCACCAGAGCGCACTTCTTCCTGGAAGGGGCCTGGGCCCTAGAGAAGCGGCCACGGAAGACCTGCGTGGACCGGGCGCCCATGGCACCTGGAAAGGAATCGGAGGCAAGGACACAACGGGGGTGTTCTGAGCCGAGAACACAGGAAGGAGTTCCGGCCCAGGGTCATGAGACGTCCTTGTCCCCTTTTTTCTCTGTTGGGTTTAGTTTTGAGAAGCCATTCATTGTCAGGAGGGAGTAACATGAGACTCTGAGGCCAAATGTGTAACAATTTGCGGCTGAGTGTTCTCTCTCCCCACTCCCTCCCTCCTACTCTGCCTGTGCTCACGCCCCTTTCAGAATGTGCCTTTGGCCCAGCGATCTGGCCTTCCCAGTCTTCTGGGTGCTGCTGGGCACTGCTGGAGGAATAGGAAGAGGACTTGGGCAGGCGCCAGCCCCATGCAGTATGCGCGAATGTGACTCTAAGGCACACAGCATGTGCCCCCGACAGCCCAGACGGGTGTGGGCAGCCCCGGGCCACACGGGCCATGGCGGAGAGTTGCTGCCCCTCCCTACCCAGCAATTAAGCCGAGGCTGTGACAGCGACGTGGGCCGGGTGCTGTCTGGGGTTTCCTTCCCGGGCCGGTTGTGTGTCCAGGCCCCCGGGGAATCTGGGATAAGACACTGGGGGCGCTGCCGTGGGAAAGGCCAAGGGACACCGTCTGGACGGGTTCCCCGAGACCACGTGCTCTAAGCCCCGAGTCTGATCCCAGGCAGGGTGCCCCGCCTCTCCCAGCTCCGTCTCTGCTCCCCACGGGACCTGCTGTCTCCAGCAGACCTGGAGGTGAGCCCAGCCCCTGGCCGCGGAACTGGGAGAGAAAGGCCTTCCTGGGGCCTGGGAGGAGCTTTGCGAGTCAAAGCCTCTGCACAGGCGCTGGCCTCCTTCCGCTGTCTTTGTGTGGCCCCCATGGGAATGGTGTCCTGGGAGAGCTGCGAGTGCCAGTGTGTTTTCAGACAGAATGACAAGGAGGAGAAGGAAGAATGGGAGAAGGAGGAGGGAGAAGAAGAGGGACCGGAAACAAAAGGGAGGAAGGGGCAGCTTTGGGCAGCGTGGGCGTAGGCATAGGAAATGCAGCCCCATGCAAGATGACCTTCTGGAAACCATACTACACAGTGTAAAAACGCCTCAGCGCAATGGCAATGGGAAGGAAAGAGCGATCCCTGGGGCAGGCCACAGGGAGGCCTGCTGGGGTCTCAGTGGCCAGAGCTCAGCTGGAGACACCCTGCCTGAGAAGCCAGGCCTCTCCGTCTGGCAAGGGAAGAAGAAAAGACTCTCCATCGGCCGGGCGCGGTGGCTCAAGCCTGTAATCCCAGCACTTTGGGAGGCCGAGGCGGGCAGATCACAAGGTCAGGAGATCGAGACCATCCTGGCTAACACGGTGAAACCCCGTCTCTACTAAAAATATAAAAATTAGCTGGACGTGGCTGCGTACACCTGTAGTCCCAGCTGCTGGGGAGGCTGAGGCAGGAGAATGGCGTGAACCTGGGAGGCGGAGCTTGCAGTGAGCCGAAATCGCGCCACTGCGCTCCAGACTGGGCGACAGAGCGAGACTCCGTCTCAAAAAAAAAAAAAAAAAAAAAAAAAAAAAAAAAAAAAAAAAAAAAAGAAAAGACTCTCCATGATGGTCGTGCGGGCAGAAACATTTGCAGCACGTGCAATCCCTAACCCGCACTGATCTGCCCTGTCTACACTAGGCTCCCCATCCACCCTTACAGCTCACCCAGAGATGTGGGACAGGCGAGAGGGCAGCCAGAGGGAGCGGTCCTTCTGTGTTTTTCAGCTGGAAAGGTCTCTCGCGCTGCTTGGAGTGCACTCAGAGAAGAGGATTTGTTCCCTTAATTGATAATGAATATCAGAAAGGTCATCTTTACATTATGAGCGGGGTGGGAATTGTGTGTGTGCAAAGGGTGGGGAAAAAAATCACAAAAATAAATGACATCCAGCACTCTGTGTTTGCATCTCCAGAAGGGGCAGGGAGATGATGAATCCAGGGGGACTGAGAAGCTCGAAGCGGCAGAAATAAAGGGGAGATAATAGAGGGGGAGCAAGAGAGGCAGAGCAAGAGGGGAAAGTGAGAAGAGAGGGAAGGAGGAAAGACAGGCCTAGGAGAGGAGGTCCAGAGAGGGAGGGAGGCAGGATGGAGGGGAGAGGTGGCCAGGTGGGCTGTTCCCATCACAGAAGCCCATCCCGCCTCCTGGGGCATGAGGGATCATTTCTCAAATACTGCAAGTGGCCAAAGTGAAGTGCACATAGGATCATGCCCCTCTGCCTTGTTCAATAGTTCCGTGGGTCCCCATTGACCTCAGGAGTCCAACAACACAGTTCCTCAACATGGTTCACTGGACCCTGGATGGTCCAGCCCACCTGGACCTACCCCTGCATTTCCTTGACTAGGCTCCTCCTCCAAAAAGTCTTACCAGATTCCTAAGAGCTTCCTCTATGTGCTGGCCTCCCTGTCTGAGACATCGCGCTGTGCTGTAAGTGCCTGTTAGGTGTCTGTGTCTGCCAGGAGACTCCATGCTGCCCGAGAGTGGGGACCCATCTTAGTCACCATCGCATGCATGCACAGAGTCACCTTTGCATGCATGTTAGTCCATTTTTCGTTGCTACAAAGGAACACCTGAGGCTGAGTAGTTTATAAAGAAAAGAGTTTTATTTTGCTCATGGTTCTGCAGGCTGTACAAGAAGCATGGTGTCTGCATCTACTTCTGGTGAGGGTCTCCGGGAGCTTTTACTCAAGGTGGAAGGTAAAGGGGGAGCAGGTGTGTCTCCTGGAGAGAGAGAAAGGAGGTCCTAATTTCTTTAACAACCAGATCTCATGTGAACTAACAGAGTGAGTGAGAACTCACTCATCACTAAGGGGATGGCACCAAGCCATATGTGAAGGATCCACTCCCATGACCAAAACACCTCCCACTACAACCTACTCCAACATTGGGGATCGCATTTCAACAGGAGATTTGGAGGGGACAAACATCCAAACCATATCAGTGTGTATCTGGGCTGTGCATGTAGGACATAATTGTTGAATTGTGTGGAACCATTTAACCTCTTCTAGTAGAATCCCCACAAAAGGGTGTTCTTCCTTTTTCTTATATTTGGGGAAAAGGCCTTAAGGAACAGAGCATCTAGTTCCTGCTGGAGGTTCAATGTGGGGAGCGGATAAACCAGCTGAGCCTCAGTTTCCCTGAGAGTCATATTTTGGATGGAAAATAAAACATCCACAGGAGAGGTTCCTTGTGCCCCAGGGCATTGGCAATGGGAGAGTCCAAGGGCCTCCCTCTTCTCTCCCACTGACCTCACTCCTGACCCTGGGCAGGACAGGAGGGCAGGTAGCTGCACATGGGGATGAGCCTGTCATGCGACCATCACAGAGAGGGCCCTCCACTGAGGCTGACACATGCCACCTCAAACAATTTGGTGCTTCTTGATGTCTTTGATGACAAAAGTCAAGAGCTGGTGACTTGGGAACACTGCTTCCAGCTGGCCCCCTGACTGGGAAGCCTGGCATGGCATCAGTGGGTAGAGGACTGATGAACATCAGGGATAACCCAGTTTTCCTCAATATAAAAAGGTGGGAAATTATCAGTGTAGGAAGAGAGCTGTGTATGTGCAGGTGTGGGTGTGTGTATGTAGATCTATGTAAGTTGAGTGTGTGTAAGAGTGTGTGGTGTGTGTATGCACATATGTATGTGTATGCATGGGTGTATAAGTGTGTGTATGTATATTTGTATATGTGTGTACGCATGTGTGTATGTGTATGCGAATGTGTGTGAGTGTGTGTGTGTGTGTGTGTGAGACAAATGAACACCTGGGGATGGTGATGGAGGAATATGGGGTTCTCAGACTTTATTGCTCTCCAGACAGAAGAGGGGAATTATTTTTTTTATTTCTATGAATGCTTTTATCACTTTTCTTACAAAAAATATAATCTAAAAATTATTTTTGTGTGTATTCCTTTCCATAAGTGGTATCATATGACAGCCATTTGTTCCTGTCAAAATAGATTTGGCAGCGGGTGAGGGAGAGAGAGCCACCCCTCTGGCCATGCCGATTAAGTGGGCCAGTTGAGGGCACGGGGGCGCCCAGCCTGCTCTGCAGGACGGCTTGGGAGGCAGAGGCTCTTCCAAGAGCCCAGACAGGGTGGTGGAGTGGAGGATGTGGGAGATTTGAACCTCCATGTAAGTGACCATGTTTATTCTATGTTTTCATTGCAGAGTCAGGTGGGGAAGGCACAGTGTTCAGAACATTCACTGTGCCATTCTCTGTGCCCATCATAGCAATTCCTTCTCCATGTTCATGGAACACCTCCTATGGGCAGCACAGTTCCAGGCACTGGGGACACAGTGATGTATAGAGGAGACAGTCTGCTTATTATAGTTTATAACAATATTCTAAAATTATAAACATATATGAATACAATTTGGCTCTGTGTCCCCACCCAAATCTCACCTTGAATTGCAATAATCCCCACAGGTAGTGGGAGGGACGCAGTGGAAGGTAATTGAATCATAGGAGCAGGTTTTTCCCATGCTGATCTCATGATAGTGAATAAGTCTCATCAGATCTGATGGTTTTATAATGGGGATTTCCCCTGTACAAGCTCTCTTGCCTGCCACCATGTAAGACGTCCCATTGCTCTTCCTTTGTCTTCCACCATGATTGTGAGGCCTCCCCAGCCATGTGGAATTGTGAGTCCATTAAACTTCTTTCCTTTATAAATTACCCAGTCTTGGGTATGTCTTTATTAGCCACATGAGAAGTGACTAATACATGTATTGAGTAGTATATTTTATAATAAAATACGATATTGTCTATCATAAGCATTTGTTTATTGTTTTATTTAATGGTAATAATAATAATGGCTTTCATTAATGAACCTCTCATTATGTTCAAGGCTTTACCTCCATCATTTGCTTTAATCCCCACAGTAGCCTTTTATGGGATATTCAATATCTTCATTTTACACACATGAAAACTGAGGCTCCTGGAAATTAAGTGGCCCAGGCTGAGACTGAGTGTAGGACCAGACTTTCAATCTCAAGAAGTCTAACCACCATGTTTATTATGCATCAGAGTGTCTCAGAGTGTAAACTCTAGGCCCTCCTCTGAGCGTGCTGGCATTCAGGGGCTGACTGCTCTGAAATACCTGAGTCCCAGGGAGGATCACCGCACACATCAGGGAAGCCCGGTTTCATGCAAGACGCCCTGCAATTAGTCAGTCCCTGCTTTTTGATTTAATTCTTCCCCTAATGTGTGTTCATCATGTAACTCAGGAAAGATTGGTATTCAGGGAAGGAGCATCAAAGATGGTAATTAAACTGTCTCTGCTGATGCGCTCAGTCTCTGGGAACAGACCTGTTTGATTCCGCAAAGGAAATCATTGGTATTTTAACAGGAGGCAGGAAACTTTTGATTAGCGAGTGATAGATAAACAGATCGATGCCTTTTCTGGCGACATTTTCAGCTTCATTATTGTCACTGGAAAAGAGATGGGGGTGGAGGGAAGATGAGAAAAGTCCTGGTGGGTCCTCCAGGGTCTGAAGGCGGGGAGGGGCGTGCAGGGGAGGGGGCAGTGCCAGGCTGGGCACGGGGCCTGGGGCTGGCAGGCTTGGGGCCTTAGGAAATCAAGGCTGGGCCCCTGTCCCTGAATCGGGGGTGGTGGGAGGGGAAGACTGCAAAGGACACTGCTGCGCGGCTTTAGAGCTGCCCCAGACAGGGGCCTGATGAGATTCTGCTGGCAGCGGAGCTTTTCCGTGATCGTCTAAACCTGTGTTCCCAGCCTCTGCAGCACCCCCCACTTGATTGCTGCTCTCTCAAGGTCAGGGGGAGTTAAGACCAGAGATTATGCAGTGTCAGTCGCGCCTTTTTGAAATATGACTCAGTGTAATCTCTTTCCACACCAGAGGAGAGATGCCAAAATCGCACTTCAATCTCTAGCTCGCAATGGGCTTATTGGGATTTTAGCGGGGCTCTGGCTAGATAAGATCGTTTCTTCTCCCAGGGTGCCCTTTTACAAACTTTGGATAAGGAGACCATAACTTAGCGAGGGCAGATTTCCAGGTGTCGGGGACCCTGTGCCCAGCTGACAGAGCAGGGGCCGGGCCACCCAGTACCATTGGTCCCGACACCAGGGCAGGAGGGACAAGTGGGCTCTTGCAGTATGTGTCTCCCCCTGACAGCCACACACGTGCAAAAATCCCAGCTCATCTTCATCTTTCTGACCCTCATTGTCCTCGTGTGCAACATAGAAATCAGCAGGCTCCCCTCTCAAGGTCATTCTGACGTTTAGCAATGACATAGGAAAAGCCTCTGGTTCCTTTATAGGTGCTAATCAATGGGAAGTCCATTCTGTTTTCCCTGGTTTTGACCTTTGTATTTTTAGATACCTTGTGGAGGGTGGGGGAAAAGTAAAAGGCAGCCAGAAAGTTTCATGATGGTACCTGGGACACATAGGTAGCTGGCAATTTGCCAACCCCTACCTTCCCCAAGCACATTAGAGACATCCACCTGCAATGCAATCCTCCCCAGAGATATCGAGTCTCTGTGGTGCAGTCACTATATGGCCCATGTGTCTGCTACCTTGACTGATTGGCTAAGCTTGACTCGCTGCCCAACTTCTTGGCCAGGAGAGACAGCGTTCAAACAATTGGAGGATCTCATTGGCTAAGCTTGACTCACTGCCCTACTCATTGGCCAGGAGAGACAGTATTCAAACAATTAGAGAATCTCATTGGCTAAGCTTGACTCACTGCCCTACATTGGCAGAGCACTTGATTGGTAAAAGGAAAGGGGTTGGGGGGAGCCAGATGGTGAGGAGGTGCTTGCTGGCAGCAAAAGAGACAATGTGTATGTTGTTCTGGTGCCAAGATTCCAGGCTTTGGGTTCCTGCTTCATCATGTTGGTGCCTTGAGTTTTCCCCTAAACTCTCTCCTTCTCTTTTCTCCCTCCTCCCGTGTGTGCTCCCACTCTGCCTTGAGAATCCATGTTGTGGAGAGTTTGACTGCACAGGCCTTGGAGACCAACAGCTCTGCAGTCACATCCTGGCTCTGGGAGTGGTGAGCTCAGTGCAGATCCCTTAGCTGAGCCCCACCTACAAAGTCCATTGCCTTGTATGGCTGTTGGGAGGTTGAAATAAGATCATGGGTACAACATGCTTAGTTCACTGCCCAGCACAAGGTGAGGGCTCCATAAATGTAGGTATAGCAGCAGCTGTTCCTACTGACCCATTTCCCTCCTTAGGGCTTGGAGAGATACTTTCTAGTCATTTGATAGGGCATAAGTAGATACAGAGTAAAGTGGGATTCTTAGGAAAATCATCTTTCTTGACCTCGTTGATGACCCTTGTCGTGGCCAGTTATTGTTTGTCCATCCCTCCTGCCTCCCCACTCCATTTATGGTAAGAACAATGAATGGCCTTTCCACAGTCCTCCTGTTGGTAGGGCTGTCAATCAAGTGCTCTGCCAATGGGCGGGGCAGGGAGTTAAGCTTAGCCAATGGGATTCTCCTATTGTTTGAATGCTGTCTCTTTTGGCCAGTGGGTGGGACCGTGAGTTAATCTTAGCCAGTGAGATTCTTCTATTGTTTGAACCTTTCTCTCTTGGCCAATGGGTGGGGCAGTGAGTCAAGCTTAGCCAATGAGATTCTCCTATTCTTTGAACCTCTCTCTCCTGGCCAGTGGGTGGGGCAGTGAGTCAAGCTCAGCCAATGAGATTCTCTATTGTTTGAGCCTCTGTCTCCTGGCCAATGGGTGGGTACCTGATAAGAGCTCAGCCATTATGATCCACTGTCTCAGCCAGGCGCTGTGGCACATGCCTGTAATCCGAGCACTTTGGGAGACCAAGGCAGGCAGATTGCCTGAGGTCAGGAGTTTGAGCCCAGCCTGGCCAACATGGTGAAACCCCGTCTCTACTAAAAATACAAAAATTAGCCAGGCATGGTGGTGGGCACCTATAATCCCAGCTACTCGGGAGGCTAAGGCAGGAGAATCACTTGAACCTAGGAGGTGGAGGTTGCAGTGAGCCGAGATCGTGCCACTGCACTCCAGCCTGGGCAACAGAGCAAGGCTCTATCTCATAAAAAAAAAAAAAAAAAAAATTCACTGTCTCAAGATGAAAAATGAATGGTTGGAGCTTGGTTCCAATCTTAGCAGACTTTGTACAGGCTCTTGCTCCCCAGGTCCCTCACACCTGCCCTTTTTGAGCCTAGCACTTTGGCTGATTCTGAGAGCTACCCCACACCTTTCAAGAGAGGTCCCCTCTGTGCCTAGGCCAGCCAGGGTTGGTTTCTGTTGCTTGTCTCCAAAAAGCCCTGACAGGCCCAGCCTGTCTCCCTCAGGTGTTAAAAAAGGGCGGTGGAACCAAGGGCGAGGGAGCACTCCTTGGGTTATCCATGATGAAGAGAGGAAAAACAATCCCCTGACTTTCTCTCCCTCCCCTCAGTCACCCTCTTCTCTCTCATCCTACAGTGATGGGCTGACCCACAGGAAGTCATCATGGGAAGGGGGTCAGGAACGTTGTGTGAGCAACCTCAGACCCCTGAAAAGCTCTTCTAAGAGGGTCCTTAGCTTTGCCCTCTTAACGAATCCCCAATCCGTTACTCAAGCCCTGGTGCTAAGATTCATCTTGGATCTCCTCCTGCCTTCACTTATATTTTGTTATTGTTCTGTTCTCTGTCTTACCTCCCAGTAGCTATTTCCCAAGATTCACTGAATTCAGACATTGGCAACTTCCTGGCAGGAGCTGCCTCTGGTAGGAGGAGGGAAGCTGCCACGGCCAAGCAGACTTGCTGCGACTTTCCTCTTCTCCCAAAGTTCTCCCAAACCCTCAGGGGCAAGCAGAGTGTATGTAGGTGGGCGGGGCCTCCCACTCCTTTTCCCTTTGGTCTCTGAAGGCTTCCAGATCCTCATGGCACCCAGATCTACTTGGGTCAGCTGCACTAGCCCTGACCCTGGGTCAGAGTGAGGCTTGGGGGCGAGAGGGGGCTGGTCTCCCTTCTGATTGCCTATTGACCCCTGAATCATTAGCTGCTTGGAATCAAATGTTCCTGACCGGCCGGCTCTGGTGGGCACACAGCCATGAGATCAGTCAGGCCTGCCTGATATATCTGTGGCCCAGCTCATTCAAAATCAATGCCATGATCCTCTCAAATGGAGGCTCCCTGGGAGGATGCATTGATTTCTGGGCCACAAAGAATCACGTGCCTCCAAACTGCAATGCTGAAATTCCCATTGTCTTTTTGGCTCCTGCTGGGGGCCAGATGCAATATTTCTCCCCACTTCTTTGGGGAGTGCTCCACTGTTTTTAGAATACGGTTCTGGCTAACACTAGACCACCCCATGAAGGAGAGGGAGAAGGCCATGACTCTGTCATCCCCTGCTAATCTTAGCACCAGGGCTTGAGTAACAGATTGGGGATTCATTAAGAGGGCAAATCTAAGGACCCTCTTAGAATGGGACATGGGACAGGCTGGGCTCCTAAACATCCTCCAACCCTATTTCAGAATTGCTATTATAATGTTTTTTCTCCTTCTCTCTGTTGTAAAAAGCATTTTCAAGTCACCAAACCCAAATCAAGTAGCAAGGAAGGAAATATTTTGGCTTGGGTAACTTGGAATTCTGGCTTTAGGAGCAGCTACATTCAGGAGCTAACACAATGTTGTTCGTCAATGGGTGGGGCAGCGAGTCAATCTTAGCCAATGAGATGCTCCTATTGTTTAGACCTCTCTCTACTGGCCAATGGGCGGGCACCTGATCAGAGTTCAGCCATTAAGATCTGCTGACCCCTGTCTCTCTCTCAGCCTCTCAGCTCTGCTCTCTGTTGCTTGGTGCCATTCTTATAGTAGCAAGATGGTGGCCAGCTGCCCCAGGCTGATCTGTACCCTCAGGTTTAAGTTCAGTGAAGAGAATGTCTCTTCCCTGATCATGCTAATGATAATCCTGGAACAGACTCTGTTTTTCTCTGATTTGCCACGATTTGGACTCGTACCCATCCTTAAATCAACTATAATATCTGGAAAGATGTGATGCTCAGATTGGTCAGACCAAAGTCATATGATTGTTGAGAGTTAGCACCACCCAAACCATGTGGACCGAGTGTGTGGGGGGTGGTTCCTTAAAGCAACACCTGTTGCTTTTCCAGAAAAATGGGATGGGTGCCGGGCAGGCAGAGATGTCTGCTGCACACCTTAACTCCAAAGCCTAGCTGTGGGGCAGAGGGGGTTCCCAGCGCTTTCTGATACCATTAGCGCTAGAAGAACCTCATTCAACTCTTCAGGGGACAGGTGGAGCCCCACTGACAAGGAGCAGTGGCTGTATCTGAGTCCAGCTGGGCTGTGCGCTTTCCTTTTTCCTCATCTGACTCTGTCCTGGCCTCACCTTGCAAGCAGCCAATAATGACAGTTTCTCTCATGCCTGGGGTCGGGGGGTGGCCATTGGTCAAAGAGTGCTCGGGGCGCTTGGCAGAAAATGGAAAATGCCTTTGATCTGGTGGGAAGAGTCGAGCATTTAGCATCAAGTTACAGCCAAGGGCTTTGAAGTTAGGCTAGTCCTGAGTTCAGATCTCACCTCTGCCACTTCCGTGGGCAAGTGTTGTAGCTTCTCTGTGGCTCAACATTCTCACGTGCAAGGGGGTAATGATGGTGATAATGATGGATAACACAGAATATGCTGTGTGCCTTCAATACTGTGTGTGTGTGTGACCTTATTGAAACTTCATAGTAATCCTATGATATAAGGTACTGTTATTTGCATTTTACAGATAAGTTACAGGAATTTGAGGCCCAGGAAGTCTAAGTCACTTGCCCAAGGCCACACAGCTTGAAAGTGGCAGAGCTGAGATTTGAAACCAGGCAGTCTAGCTCTAGAATTCAAGCTCCTACTACTAAACTATACCCACCTGACCAGCCTAGTGTGCAGAATAAATGAGGCACCATACGCAAACAGCTTATCATGGTGCCTGGTGTTTGAAAGTGCTCAGGGGATGACTGCAGTCCCTCCCTCTCTCTGCTGACCTGCAACCTCACAGGCAGGGCTGGCCATCACGCGCCAAGTCCACGTGAGCTGGATTTGCTGCATTGTAGGGTTTCCATGGCAGGCTGGGCAGAGCGGGCAGCACACTGCCCTGCAGCTCCCAGCTCCTGGCCACACACACCAAAGACTCATTGTTGGAAGCTCCTGTTTGCCCATCTCACCCATCACCAAGCAACAGGGGTGCTGGGGGGAGGCTGAATAAGTGAACGGAAAATGGAAATGGCTTTGGAAACAAAGAGCCGACTTGAGAGAGGTGTTTATCTACAGGATCTTGTGATTTATAGGTACCTGACAGGGTGGGGATAGTTGGCTGTCCGCAGCTCTAGTGGGGAGTTAGCATCAGGCAGGTTATGGAGGCCTCAGGAGGCAATGTCAGGGGTCCGGAAGCTGATGACTGCCCCACCGGCTTGCAGTGGCTGCAACCGTAATGGGGCTGAAGACCATGAAGCCGGTCTTTAAGCACATTCAGATCATGAACTCTCAAAAGGGACAGTCCGATTTCTGAGACCATCTTCTATGACCTGGGGAGGCTCTGAGCTGGAGAGAGACCCTTTTAAGCCCCCACTCTCTTTTTCCAAGGTGACCCTGGCCTTGAATGGAAGCTCTGTCTCCTTCTACCCATGATGGAAGGTGGTTATTAACAAAAGTGGGACTCACTGCTGATTACCTTCCCCACCCCATTAATTTTCATTTTTCCTGAATCCTTTGAGGCAGGCTGTGGGCCGAGGCAGTGGGGACTAGATTGTGCACGTTACACTGAAATGCACCGTGGTGACTTGCTTCTGATTTCTAAGTTAGAACATCTTACCCTTTGGCCAGGGATTTTTCTGCTCAGTGTTCTGGCCACAAACCCACCCTCATTTCTCATCAGCTAATTTTCCTCTTTCCTCCATATAACCAGAGCCCTTAGCTCCAGCCCCTCTGACAGGGGCATTGAGAAACCACAGGTTAGAGTACCTTCTCAAACCTGGCAGAGAGAGCTCAGCCATGGGAGAAACCAGCACAGCCCCCAGTCTGAACAGCAGCTGCCTTCTCCTTTGGGCAGTTTGCTCTGGGGGACTGAGCAGCAGGGTGTCTCCTGGAATAATATTTCAGCAGGTAAAGTTGTATCCATGGAAATTCTCAGCACTCACATCGCATCGGAGAGCATTTACTGACTTCAGGTCCCTGGGTCCAGTCTTCAGAGGCTAGTTTCCATTATTCCAGACTCTAGAATCTAGAATATGGTCCAGGTATTGGGTATCTTCTAGAAGTATCTCAGATGATTCTAATATGCAGCCAGGGTTGAGAACTCTTTGTCCGTAGCCTCTTCTCCTTTAAGTGGGTGAATGCATGACTTAAATCATTTAATCATTAAATCATTAAAAGCATCCAGGGAAGCTTTTAATACTGTACCTGGACATCACAAAGGAATAAATCCCTAATGGTGAAATACAGGGAAAGTCAAAGTGGTATATTGGACAGAGTGGTGATGGTTTGCTTATCTCTTGAGTGGCATAAGTTCCCCTGCAACTCACGAGGCAAGCCCTCGTTGCCATAATTTGCGTTCCTGCCTGTCTTTAGAAGGCATGTGCCCTGATAGGGAGGGATTAGACTGTGTTTTTTCCTTTTCTTCACTGGGAAGAGTTCTCAGGTACATGGACAGACAGTCCCCTTGAATTAGTTGAGAGTAGCCTTCACCCTATCTTTCCAAAAGATGCCTAGAATAGAGTCTAGAAAAGAAAAAATTAAGCCAGAGTTGGGTAGTCAGCATGGGGGAAGGAGGAGGACAGTGGGTCTGTGAGGGTAGTTGAGGGAACTGCCCCAGCCTGGGGATCATGGAGCCACATTCCAATTCTGAAGAAGCCAAGTGCTCAGATGGCTGGGTGGACACATGGGAACTTGAGCATCTCTTGATAGGCCTAAGATGGGTGCTTCTCCTGCTTTGCTCTCTTCTGCATGGAGGCTGAGAAAAGATCTCTGATCCTGTTTTGAGCCCCTCATCTTTGAGGCCTTATTCTCAATATCTGGTGGCTGTGAATCTTTGCTTCTGTTTCCTGAGCTTGTTGAGGGCACTCTTTCACGCGTTCTCTCTCTTCTCCCCGCCCCCCGACCTGTGATTGGAAATCAGGACCATGCCTCACCTCCTGGGGCCTGCAGAGGGTCTGCATTGAGCTGCGAGGAAGATTTAGGGACCTGGGCATGCCTGGATTTCAGGGGATAGTCCTTGGGCTGATGGGCCCCAGAAGACATACTTGCTCCTTTGTCCTTTCAGCAAGCTGGGTGCTAGAGAATGTCCAGAAGCAAGAAGACATGGTCCCCATGCTTATGACCCTGTGGTCCAGTTTCTTTCCCCATGGGGGCTCTTCCCAGTTCCTCGGGTACCCTTGGTTCCCGTTGGGGTGTTCTCACTGTGATTCCCTCCGCTGGAACACTTTTTCCTCTGCCTTTCTCTTGGCTGAGATTCTTTCATTCCCTTCTTGCTTTGACACAGCCCCACCTGGGGACCCGCCCTGAAGGCTCTGGCTAAGCACCGACCCCCTCCTGACCTGGTGCCTCAGTTTCCTTTGTCTCTGTACCCTGCATGCCTCCTTCATGACACACATTCCATTTGTTATCTATTTACTTGTGTGTTTCCTTCTCTCGGGTCTCTTTCCCCCACTAGACTGGAAGCTCCAAGACGGCAGGACCCACATCTGACCCATACCCCATTGTGTCCTTAGTATCTAACACAGGGCCCACATAAAACAGACCCTTGGGAGATAATTATGATATTAAATAAACAGACGAATAGTTAGAATCACTCAAGAAAAATTCAAAGATTAAAATACTGTAATGCTGAAAGATTGAGAATTTGTAGCTGTGGGGAAGCCGAAGAGTTCTGCTTACACGGGGGCACCAAATATCACAAATCAATGCTAACAGGAGAAAATAACAGAAATCTAGTGTGTGTGTGTGTGTGTGTGCGCGCGCACGCGCGCGCGCGCGTAAGTGTGTGAGTGTGAATGTGTGTGTGTGTCTTCCTTTATACTGAGCAGTATGTTGGGTCATTATTTTACAAATACCATGAAAACGACCTTCGTTTAAGTGTTAATTATCCCCATTTTAGAGATGGAGAAGTTGAGGCTCAGAATGGTTAAGTAACTTGACCCAGGTCACATGACTAGTAAGTGGGAGCGTTACCTGGGTAGTCCTGGAGAAATAGCTGAGACAGCAGAACAGCTGCAAGAGCTCATTATTTTCTTAAGCAGAAGATAGCTGAGAAAGCTTAATATTGTTTGAGAAACAGTTTCTTTTAGCGTCTTTATCTCTGGATGTGCTAGCTTACAAGGACTGCAGATGGCCCGGGAACCTCAGGACCCCTTGCCAATTATCAGAGGAAGATAAGTCCTGCTCAAAACCAGAGCTAACAGGAACCAGTGACCCCTCATTACCTTTAGATCATTAACATATCATCATAATCCAAAAATCCCCGCCCATAGAAGAAAATCGCTGTTGTTTTCTGAACATGAATCATAAGAAGGGACATGCTAATGATCTGTGCCAGCACATCTAAAGTTCTTTCTTGCACAAACTTACAAACCTCCCCGCCCCATATCTAACGCCTTAAAATCCTCCAGCTTCCTGCGGTGTGGGGAGGAGGAGGTGTCTTGGGAGCAAGAGCTCACTCTCTTTCTCTGGCCAAAGAGTAAATCTTGCTTGCCTTTCCCTGCCACCAACTGGGTGTTCTTTCTTTCTGGCTGATACAAAAGTAGGGAAAGAAAGGAGTCTACCAGTGACAGAAGGGCTGTGATTTGAATTCTGCTTGTTCTCTGATTCCGGAGTCCATGCTCTTAACTGTCATACAATTTAGAAATCAAACACAGAATAACTGATGCTAGAGAAGTGGCTCTCATCCATTGGGGCCATTTTTGGTTGTTTTGTTATCAGCAGTGGGGACCAGAGATGCCACGTGTGCAGGATGGCCAAAGAGAGCTGAGGATGCCAGAGAGGCTCGCACGCACTGGGGCAGTGGGCAGTAGACTCTCTATGCAGTGATGACTATGTAAGTAAAGGCAGTGTAAGGGCTATACACTACCGTGGAAGCTTTGGGGCCAGGCCTTCTGTAATAGACCAGACACCTTGGTGGTGCAAGTGATATAGGAGGCTGCATAGGTCTCAAGTTCGCCTCCAAAGAGCATCAGATTGAAGCCAGCAGAATAGAGGTGCGAGCAGGCCGAGCAGGACAGAGCAGAAGCGCAGGCCTGGAGGTGAGTGTTCAATACCACCGACATCTCTGCTCAGGGTCGAGGTGCACAGCTCGGGGGTTCCGTAGTAGGACTGACAGTCCAGTGGATAGAGTCAGGACCTAGACAGAGCAGATGGGTGCCCAGCCACAGAGCATCCGTCTTGGAGCTCATTCATTCATTCATTCACCACATACTTCTTGAGCATGTACTGCATGCCTTGCGCTGCTCTAGATGTGTGGGTAGAGCGCTGAGCAAGGGAGATGCTCCCTGCCCTCATGGAGCCAACGTTCTGGTGGGAAGGGGACAATAGCATGAACACAAATGAGATCATGCTATGAAGAAATAAGTCACGGTGATGTGGTAGAGAAGGACTGGGGTGAGATGGAGAGAGAGGCTGGGAAGCAACTTTGGTGGGAAGTCAGGAAAGGATTCTCTGGCGAGGTGACATTTGAGCTAAGGCAGGCATAAGATAAGATATCTTTAGCTATAGTTATAAATATAGATAGAGATAGAGATATACTTAGTCAGCAGTGCAACCGTACATGGGGCTCACAAAGAGCAGTCCAGGCAGAGGAACAGACTTGGTAAACTCCCTGAGGTTAAAATAAGCTTGGCGTGCAGGGAACAAAAAGAACACCCTCTCTAGAGCACATGTGGGTGTGAGAACAGCCTAGGGGACCACGTCCTGCAGAGGCTTGCAATTCCAAGTTCAACGGGAGGGTTTTAAACACAGGTGTAAGAAGACCTGATTTATCACTCGTTTTCTTTTTTTGTAGAGACAGGGGTCTCACTATGTTGCCCAGGTTGGTCTTGAACTCTTGGGCTCAAGTAATCCTCCCACCTGGGCCTCCCAAAGTGCTGAGATTACAGGCGTAAGCCACCGTGTCCAGCCTGATTTATAATTTTTAAAAATCACTCGGGGCTGGGCATGGTGGCTCACACCTGTAATCCCAGCACTTTGGGAGGCTGAGGCGGGTGGATCACTTGAGGTCAAGAGTTCGAGACCAGCCTGGCCAATATGGTGAAAACCCCACCTCTATTAAAAATACAAAAATTAGCTGAGCGTGGTGGCACATGCCTGTAGTCCCAGCTACTCATGAGGCTGAGGCACAAGAATCGCTTGAAACTGGGAGGTGGAGGTTGCAGTGAGCTGCTATCGCAGCATTGTGCTCTAGCCTGAATGACAGAGTAAGACTCCGTCTCAAAAAAAAAAAAAAAAAAATCACTTGATTGCCTTGTGGAGAATGGACTGAGGTGGGTGAAAGTAGAAGCAGGGAGACTGACCAGGAGGCTCTCGGGAGGATCTCCCGCATGTCCAGGCTGAGTGCTGCTGGCTTGGTGCGGCAGTGGTCTTCAGAAGTGAGCCAATTCAGGATGCGTTATTGGTGGAGCTGCTGGCTGTTCTGGGATCCTTCACCTCTAGGGAGGCTCTTATTAGCAGGAGCAACTCCAAAAGGGTCCCTAAAGGTAACAGCCTCCCCTTCCATGCCAGCCTCCCTGCAGGCCCTGGCAGCATCCGGAGTTAGCAGCGCCGCCTTTGTCTTCGGTCTGCTCTGGTGTTAGTGATTAAATCGATCTGCACATAATTGATGTTGCTTCTCGCCAACCTGCAAACTGGACCCATATCACTGAGGCTGCGCTGCTCCCCACAGCACGACTGCTCAACAGAATCCTCCCGCTTTCTCTCTCCCAGACCAAGAGGGGGGAAAATACAGCACCCTGTAACAACAACAAAACTCTTGGCCCCTATAATTTTTATGATTTCGAAAGAGTGTCAGCCAGGGTTTCAAGACAGCACATGTTCCCAGAACATAGCCCTGGCTTTCAGATGGTGCAGGCGTTATCTTATTCAAATCACAAACAAATAAATCATCACTCCTCACCATCTCCAGTTAGTCGCAATGGAAATTAGAAGAGCTTGCATATTCACTGTAGTCAGGTTCTGTCAAATTAGAAATGCTTATGATAATCGCGACGCAGCATAGATGCAAAGTTGTGGCATGTTAAATAACCAATTATGAGGTTTTTAAAGGAGAAGCTTGTTTAGTTCTGAGAGAGAGATTCTCGCCAGTGGAACTTGCTTTTGCCTTTGCATAATATGGATGTAATTTAAAGTATCCCTGGGTGCTCTCCTTGTGCTATTTATTTGAGGTATTTATACAAGAATAAACTCTATCGAGATGAGGCAGCGTAGCTTGAGGAGGGCTCCGATAAAGCCAGAGTGATATTGATTACAATTGCAGAAGATTGTGGTGTCAGGTCACCTTCCCACCATTGATTGTTGATTGCTCTGTAACGCACGCCCCCTCCCTGCTGCTAGTCACAGACACATTAATTGTGGGGACAAATTTAATCATTGCTCACTTGGAGTACTGTTGCAATTCCAAGCCATTTTTCACACACAGTAAACTTGTGGTCAGGATGTAGAAAGAGAATTGTGAGAGCAGCATGCTACTGCAGAGAGACACAACAGATTTCCATCCTTTAATGAATAGAGTTGGAAGGATAGTTAATTCTCTCTGATTAAGCTATGGCTGTGTCTGAGTGTTGGGCTAGGCAGAAAAATGCAAGATTGACTCTTTTTCACTGCTAGGAAAATTCTCCTGTCTTTGTCAAGTTCAGCTGCCTTCTACCCTCTGGGTGATGATAGCAGAAAATAAGACAGCCTTGCAGGTGATCTACCTGCTTCCTTGACCATGATTATTAACAGCAGGAGCCAGGCCAGCAATTACCACTGTGGTCACTGTTAATTTGTTGGGGAAAACACACACACACACACACACACACACACACACACACACAAACACTTTTGGACTGCAAAGATTTTAATCTTGCCAATATAGATAGCTAACTGAATTCTTAACTAACTTTGCAATGTAGGATTTAAATCCTGACCAGTCCAAGTTTTCTTAGTGTAATGAAAACAGCACCAACATCATGTTGTAAGCAGTCATTCATTTTTGTATAAGTATTTTGGTGCTAGGTCCTGGAAATTTAGGAGTGAACAAGATGTTTAAGATCCCTGCCTTCACAGAGTTTATGTTCTAGAAAGAGGAGTGGTTTTCAAGTTTTAGCCTGTTTCAGAATTACCTGCAGGGCTTGTTAAACACCCCAGTTTCTCAGGTACAATCCTTGAGTTTCTGATTCAATAGGTCTATAGTAGGATCAGGACTTTGAGTTTCTAACACGTTTCTAGTTGCTACTGATGCTGCTGGCCCAGGGAACCCCACTTTGAGAACAACCACTCTAGTTTGGACAGTGGATTTCAAGTCTGGTTGCACATTAGAATCCCCTTTGGAAAGCTTTTGAAAAATACCAATTTCTGAAGGCATTTACTTGGTCTGAGCTGGGGTCTGGGCATTGGTGTCTTTTTCAAAAGAGCACCTCAGGTGGTTCTATTGAGCAACTGGGTTCAAGAGCACATTTCTTAATCTAAAAATAAGGAATAGAGGACGGAGGGATTTAACATAGGAGCTAAGAGTATGACAGCTGTCGTTCGGCACTCCAGTTCCATTCCTAGCCCTGGCAATTTTCTTGTTCTTCCTGCACCTCCATGTCCTCATCTATAACAGAAAGAATGTCCAATTCATAAACTATTGTAAGGATCAAGTGCAGTAATATATATATCTGGCATAGAGCAAGCCCTCCGTACGTGCTAGCTTTTAGTATTATTTTTAGAGTGGTGCACACAGCAGGGCTTTGCCAATTTCAATTTAATTGCTTGGTATATTTCCAGCTAAATATACCTGTTAAGGTACCAGCAGAGGTTTTTCTCTATTTGTCTTTCTTAGACCTGCCATTTGCCCTGATGAGGAATCCTGCCTGGAGGAATCCCTGCCACCTTCCTTCTCTTTCATTATTCAAACACCATATATAATCAGGTCAGCAGCCTTCTCCAACAGCCCTAACTTCTTCGCAAAAGTGCCTTGTTTGCAGCTGTGGAAACATTCGTCATCCAGTGTAACTAAGCAAAACACCCCGCCCTGGGACGTATCTGATACACACGCTGGCGGTGCAGTGCCAGGAGTGAAAATGGTACCCGAGAATAATTCCCTAAATGAGCCACGGGCACGTAGTGAAAGCCATTGGATGCCAGAGGACCCATTTTCAAAACTGTGACTGGCAGTGAAGTTCACTCCTCTCTCCATAGCTTTCTCATGACCCGCTGTGGTTTGTGCTGTGTGAGATTTTAAAAAGTCATTCATTTGGGGGTTGTTAGGGAGTGGGGGTGAGAGTAGCTGGGTATTGGGATTGACAGGACCCTGGGGAAAGGGGCTGTGTGTCTGTGCCCATGAGGGTGGCATGCAAGACAAGGCAGCAACCCTGGCTGGTGCGGGAAGGTGATTTGGGGCAAGTTCAGGGTTCAAGAGGGAGGGGCAGGGAAGAGAATGTGCTCTCTTGAATTAGCCTCATTGGATCTCACATAAGCTAAATATATACATGGCAACAGCCCGGACCAGGAATCCAGGAGAGTCTGGGGGTGGGGAAGGCAAGGAAGTTCTTACAAAGACCAGTTGCCCAGAAGCTCTCATAACACAGATCAACTTGCCTTTGCCTCTGGTTAGCTCGGGGACAGGACACCCTCCTGGTGGGTTATCCACTCGTTTAGCCTAGTGGTGGAGAATGCCGGCTCCAGGGTCAGAAATGACTCTGGGCTTGAGTCACTGCCTCCTCTGGATAGGTTGTGTGCCCTTGGGTAAGCGCTTTACCTAGTTAAGTTTGTTTCATTTGTAAAATGGGTACACTGTAATAATTGGACAGGGTTGTCACAAGGAGTCAGTAAGATTATGTCTGTAAAGTACTTCATGTCCTGCCTGGTGCTTAGTAACTACTATGCTTCATCCAATCTGCAACAATTTATTTGTTGAGTATAGCTCAACAAATATGTGCCTATCCCTGCTCTGGGAATTGGACACACAGTTGTGAACAAAGGCAGGCAAGACTTCTGCCTCAAAAAACTTACATTCTGGTACGGAGAAGCTGCATAAACAACAACATAAATAAATAAGGGAAAAAGATAGCACTAAATGCTCTGCTGATCATCACAATCGGGTGCTGTCAAAGGGAATGATGAGGCCCACTTTCCATTGGGTGGCAAGATAAGGTTTCTAAGGGGAGGGGACATGGAAGCTGAGCTTCACATCATAAAGAGGCGGCCATGCAAGTAACTGGAGCAATGGCATTCTAGGCAGGGGGACCACAGTGTGGAAAGGCTGGAGTCTGGAGTGTGGAGGGACAGAAGGGGGCCAGAGTAGCTGCCACAGAGGGACCTAGGGGAAGAGTGGAGGGATGTGACATGATGGGAAGAGGCAGGAACCTGCTGGTGTAGGGCCCCGTGGGCTCTGGGATGGGCGTTGGATGCTCTTTTGAGTGCAGTGGGAAGCCATGGGAGAGTTTGAACAGGGAACAAAGGAGAGAGTGACTTGGTTTGATTTCTATTTTTTTAATTCAAGTTTTAATTTTGGGTAGTTTTAGATTCACATGCAGTTGTGAAGAATAATACAGAGAGATTTTTGTACCCCTTACCCAGTTTCCCCCAATGGAAATATCTTGCAACTAAGTATAACAACTATACTTGCAATTATAGTATAACATTGGGACTAAGATATTGACATTGATACAGTTGAGACCCAGAACATTTCTATCACAACCAGCATCCCTCATGTTGTCTCTTATTCCCACACCTGATTCCCTTCTCCCTTCCTCCTCCCTAACCTCTGACAATGAATCTGTTCTCTATTTTTATAGTGTTATCATTTAAAAATTATTTATTTATTTTTATTTCAATAGGTTTTTAGTTTTATCATTTTAAGATGATCCCTGAGGCTACTGTGGGACAATGAATGGCAGGGGGCGGGAGTGGAACACGGACTCCAGGGAGAGGGATCCTGCTACCTTCAGAGTAAGGACCTGCTGGCAGCTTGGGCTGCCCCTGTTGACTTCTCCTTCCAGCCCACCCTCACTTAAGGTGAGAAGCAGAGAGCAAAGCACCCCGTTCAATCTCCCCACCATGGGAGTCCTTCTCACTGTGCCTCCTCCTGCTTCAGTGAAGCCAGCTGAGATACAGCTGGAGGGAAGACCCTCCTGTTCACAGGTGCTCAAAGCCCCCGCTTTCCTTCAGGGAAGCAGGACCCCAGCCTTGAACTGCCCAGCCTGGAAAGCAGCTTCCTGAACAAGCAGGTTTGCCTGGGGATGGTGCTGGGGCCAGTTTCCAGGGGTTTTCTGGATCACTTCTGCTCTTGGAAGCAAGCACATCGCCAACATGTGTAGGAAACATGCACGCTTTGCCCGATGCCCAGACCCCTGGCCAACTGTTAGGAAGTTGCTAGGAATGTTTCTCCCATCTTGCTAGGTCCATCTGCTTTGGATACTAGAGGAGCTCAAGCCCAAATGTCTGACTGGCTCTGTCCTCAGCCCTCTGGCTCTCCTGCCGGCTAAGGTCTCTTTGAAGACCAGATCATGGGCCTTTGGGATAGACAGGATTTAGGAAGACATGAGGAGGAATGTGGCCATTGGGAAAGCGTCTCTTGTCCAAGCCGGGTGGCACAAAATTCCCTTGGCAGGTTGTCAGGCTTGGGTTTATCAAACCAGGCTTCTGGGAGCTCCCACTCCCTGGCCTGGCTCATGTAACCAGAGAATTTGATCTTCCATTAAAATAAATTTCTGCTCCTCATCTGGTCTCCTACATGAGCGCCCCCTCCTGCAGCTTGAAAAATATCCCTCCCCACTCTGTGCTTTTTTGAGCCAATCTTTGTATTTCTTCAATTTTTATAGCTGACCATTTTGTACGTGAACTAAGTACTAAACAAGCATTATTATCGCTTTGTGCACAGTGCACCAGAGGCATAAATCCCACATTAACCTCATCCTAAAGAGCGGCTGAATGCATTTTAATAAATGTCCCAAATGGTTTCAATGTCTAGTAGCCAAACGAAATAAAAAATGCACACACATTATAGGATGTTATGAACCTTTCTATCAAAAGTAATAATAAACAGACTGCTTGTTGGGCTGGGCGATTGGGTTACATTTTTAAACAGTATATTGAGAGACAAATCAAAGTAGAGCTGAGATGATTATGTGATATGATCCAGGGAGGCCCAGCAATTTCCAGGGGTTTGCTGTGAGCAGGTAGACATCTCTCTTGCCTCTTGATACGATTTCATTCTAAGCCCTCATTCTACATGGTGCCGAGAGAAACGAGCAAATTAAGAAATCTTTGCTGCACTCAGATATTTAATATAAGCAGCCAGATAAAGGCAGAGATGCACGTCATTTGTCAGCTGAATAAAAATTCAGATGAGGTATTTTCCTGACGCTGTGCCAGGCACCATTAGGAAAGCATTTTATTTTCATGTGTTAGTGACGGCATGCTGCTGAGGCCAAACTTCATCAGCCTACAAGGTGTTACTTGAAGTCAAGCACAGCATGGCCTCCTATTTTGGACAGCACGTCCGGAAGACTGCCACCGGCATGGCTTTTCCTCCCCTAGATGGGATTTCCACTCTGAGAGTTTCAGAAGTTAATTAGCCATTTCAGTTATCAACCCGGAGTAGATAAAAAATAAAAAATAAAAATAAAAAAAATACCATGCCAGTGGCCTTTTTGGATGTGCAGATGTTTTGGTTTGGGCACATCTGTAGGCAATCACTCTGTGTTCTGGGCAGGCACGGTGTTTTATTATGGGATTATATGTGTAATCTTGGATAAATAGTAGAAATTGGAGTTCAGTTGGAAGACTTGTTTTCTCTCCCAGAGAGCAGTGTAAATAGCAAACCAGAAACCATTTGCTCATTATTGAAGCAATAATCTAACTTGCCAGCCTTTTCCCTTATGGCTGGACATCCGAGGTCAGTGTAAAACTCTTGGCAAGTGAGAGGCTGTGGGGTGTCAAGCCAGGAACAGGGGCCAATGACTGGGGCTTCTGCTGGGTTCTAGCAACAGCCGTTGACGCAGTTGCCCACCCTGCCACCCCTCATTGTGGTGGAAGCGGTTGCTGGTATTTGGTACCTGGCCACCAGGGAATCCGGACTGTGACTCAGTACCTCTTTGCATTGGTGGAGGGCAGCTGTCTCCCCAGGCCCGGCCAAATGTCTTCCCCACCAAGTGTGAGGAATGCTGAAAAGTGGAGGTAGCGTGGAGGCAGCCCGGGGTAATACTGATACTTTACCCCAATTCTGGTAATACATATAATGATGTTACTCAGTTTTGTTTTTCATTTCCAAAACAGATGTACCAAATCCCTGTAAACTGATCTACAGTAATGCACTTAATTTTAATCTTCAACGTTAAAAGTAAAAACTGATCACTTAAAGCAGAAACATGTGTCACTTCACCCTCAGTTGGCAGAGGATGCAGCCTACCCCCTGTGCCTACAGCCTACCCCCTGCGCCACTGAAGGCTCTGGCTCTGCTGCTGGCCTTCTCTTGATTTTGTCCTCCTTATGACTTCTGCCCCTTCTCCTCCACCTTCAGGCTCTTCTCTCTAGGAGTCTCTCAGCCACCCAGTGTCCTCTCTGATGCCCATTACTTGCCTTGGATATTTCCCAGTACTGCTTAGCTTGTGGCTTTGGGCTACAATGAGTGAACTCTGCAAAGCATATATCCAGTGTGGTTTGGAAAGTTAGAAAGACATGTCATCGTAGTGCTGGATTGTGGAGAGCCATTGTACGAGGCTCCCTGACCAAGACATTGGCTAAATATTAAACCAAACGGTGTGATAATGACCACACATCTTTATTCATAAATAAGGACTGGGGTACAACTTCTGAATTTTTATTTCTAGAACATGCATTGTAGCTTTTTTTTTTTTTTGAGATGAAGTCTTACTCTGTCACTCAGGCTGAAGTGCAATGGCATGATCTCGGCTCGTTGCCACCTCAGCCTCCTGGGTTCAAGTGATTCTGTCTCAGCCTCCAAAGTAACTGGGATTACAGGTGTCTGCCACCACACCTGGCTAATTTTTTGTATTTTTAGTAGAGACAGGGTTTCACCATTTTGGCCAGACTGGTCTCGAACTCCTGACCTCAGGTGATCCGCCCACCTCGGCCTCCCAAAGTGCTGGGATTACAGGCGTGAGCTACCATGCCCAGCCGCATTGTAGCTTTTTGATAATGAGGTCAGTGCTACTCAGAGGCTCAACATTGGTGGCAATTAAGAAAGTCAGCCTGGACACAATGAGGGTTTTGTTGGGGTATAAAAATAGAGGCAAACACTAGTGATATATCACAGCGGCTTGAAATGGTAAGATGCAGGGTAATCATTTTTCTTCTGGTGTAGACCTCAGACCTCCAGACTTTGCTCATTATCTGCTGAGAGTGCCACACGGTGCCAGGTTTTTTTCTGAATAGCCCCTGGTGGCAGTCACTGAATGGCATGGAATTGCTGAAACTTTCATTCTTTGACCTTGAGGTTAGGAAGACTCAAAGGCAGATGGACATCTTTTGCACTAGAGTTGGTTGGGGGGTGGGGTGGATGGAACAGACTGCCGTTGACCCTTGGGGTTGACCTCTTGGGAACAGGTGCCTGGAGACATCCCTGTAGGTGAATAAGCCCAGGCAGTAGGAAGGGCTTATTAACATGGACAAGACCAAATGTGGAGATCAGAGACAGCAGGTGCAGTGGGGGAACTGGACATTGCCGGTAGTCTTGGGGTGCTCAGCGTTAGGTGGGCGGGGGAGGAGGCTGGGGAAATAGCAGGGGCCAGGTCATGAAGAGTCTGTGCTAGGCAGTCTTAGACTTTAGCCTGAGGTCAGTGGGGAGCCTCTGAAGGGACTGGTGTAAGTGACCTGTGACTTAGATCTCTTTGACAGCTTTGCAGGCAGAATTGAAGGATCAGAGACTGAGGAAGAGATGTTGGCTGGTTCCTTTCAGTTCTGACATTCTGCCTTTTGCTCACCTGTGGGGATTTATGGTACTGCCTGGTCATCACATTCTGACTCAGTTTCCCTTTTTGCTCCTTGTTCTTCCCATTCCATCCCTACCTTTCTACCTGATTTTCCATCCAAGATCCGGACAACTCCCTTCCCCTTCTTGGATCCCGAACTCCTCATTTGGCCAAAATCAGGGTGCACTCTTTCCTTCAAGAATTGAATTCCATCAAGGGAAACTGCAAAGGCTGGTGCTGGACAAGGCTGGTGACAGCAGGGTCTCCTGGAGGGCTAGAGAAAACACAGATTTCTGGGCTCCACCCCCAGAATTTTGGATTCAGTGGTCTGGGGGTGAGCCTGAGGATGGAAATTTCTAACAAGCCCTCAGGTGTTTTTGATGTTGCTGGTGCAGGACCACACACTGAGTAGCAGTGACCAGACTCTTGGTGTCTTCAGTTCCTCTTTGTCTTCACCGGTGGGTTTGGGAACCTGCAGAGGGGTGGCCAAATGTCCCTGGATGGCACAAGTGGAGACATTTTCCCAAGGGAGCTTCAGAAATTAAATGTAGAGGTCGTGTCCTGTGTGTGAGCTGGGCTCCAGAAAGCCCGTGTACCACTCTTGGGGACAGACTTATCTCTGCTCTAACCTTACATGGAGGGCCCACTTATTCATCCAAGAACAATACGGCGAACAAGAAATTCAATTTGGCAGGGGCACTGTCTGTTTCAGCATACTTTCTCTTAATTTAATCACCCATGCAAGAGCTTTCCAGACATTTGAATGTACGTTTTTAGAAATTTGGCTTATTTTCTCAGATATTTTCATTCTTGAACATCTGGTGGGGGATGGAGGGCAAGAGGTGGAGAGAGATGCAGTGAGATGGAGATTATTCAAATAGGGTTAGGAATGCAGATGGAAGGATTTTTGCAACATAAAGTTGTGGAGAAGACACATGTTCTGGAGCCAGGCCCAACCGGTTGGAATTCCAGCTCTGCTGCTCATTGCTGTGTGGCCCTGAGCAAGTCACCTGACCACCCTGACCCTCAGTTTCTCATCTGGAAAATTTTGTTCTCTCATTCCATTGCTCATGGGTTCTTTCATTCCATCAACACTCTTGGTGAGTCTACTTGGACCAGGCACTGTTCTAGGCATTAGGGACAGACCATGAGTGAAATGAAAGGAGTCCCAGACCCAGCCTGGTGGAGGTGACAGTGATCAAGGAGTCATATGCCGGTGACAACTGCTGTGAACCAGCAACCGGCACCAGAGGAGGAATTGATGGGCAGCCATGCCTGACCTGAATTTGGGGAGTTGTAAAGAAGGCCGCTGGGACGGAGGGACAGTCCAGCTTATCCTGGGTAGAGCCCATTCTTGGGAACAGCAAAATAAAATGGAAAATGTCACATAGCCTGGAGAAAAGTGGACTCTCTCTCCTCCTCTCCCAATGATGGTCTGATCCAATCCATACCCTCTGCAACTGCGTTTCTGTCTGCTGGGAAGAAAAGGGATGAAAAGGACTTTTTTGCAGTCAGGCAGACCCGCGTCAACTGCGGAGTGATCTTGGGTAGATTGCATGACTTCTCTGTCTTGGTTTTCTTGTCGGGCAGGGAGACGGATGAGATGAATGCAGTAATTATAATCATGGCTCACCTTTGGGCACTTGCTATGTGCCTGTCACTGATTTACATGCGTCACCTCATTTAATCTTTGAAACAGGCCGGGCGCGGTGGCTCACGCCTGTAATTCCAGCACTTTGGGAGGCCGAGGCAGGTGGATCACCTGAGGTCAGGAGTTGAAGACCAGCCTGGTCAACATGGTGAAAGTCCATGTACTAAAAATACAAAAATTAGCTGGGTGTGATGGTGGGCACCTGTAATCCCAGCTACTGAAGAGGCTGAGGCAAGAGAATTGCTTGAACCTTTGAAGCCAGGAGGCGGAGGTTGCAGTGAGCTGATATGGCACTGCTGCACTCCAGCCTGGGCAACAGAGTGAGACTCTATCTTAAAAATATATATATATATATTTGAAACAATCCCCATGAGATTGGCACTATTTTCTAGGGCTGAGACTGGAGCGAGGTAAGGGAAACATTTGCCCCAAGCCCCAAATCTAAAGAGGCACCCCAAAACTCAATAATGAGGACAGTATTTCATTGTAATTTAAAAAAATCAAAGTTAATGCAAAAAAATTCATGTTGAACAGATTATCAACGTTTAAAATAAAGACACCATCCTTCCCTGTACTTGCAGGATCTGACCTCACTCATCTCACCTTAATCCTGGCCCAGCATCACCCCCGATTTGCAGAAATTGAGGCTTGGGAGGCTTCCTTTGCTCTACCTTGTACTTCAGGGCCTTCTAACTGCCTTCCTCCTACTCTGGATGTCGCTCTGAGGGCCTCTGTTCATCCATCCCTCACAGGAAGGACAAGAAAAGGGACAGTAAAGGGCAAGAAAACAGGGGCAGCTGGCCATTTCTGCTGTGACCTTCGTTACTGTTTAACATGCATTAAGAACCTGCAGTGTATTTTGAAATCGAAAAGTACCAGGAAGCGTCTTGTAAAGTTAGCTCTGTAGTCTTTTGGGGGTACCTGGCTGTACTTCAGAGAGAAATCAGACAAAGCAAAGACAAGACCATTGTCCATGACCCTAGATGGGAAGAAAAGAGAGAACTGGATACCAGAAAAGAACACGTGGGTGCTTGAAAGAGATCGCCGGGCAGACGGAAGGAGTGGCACATCATGTTTTTTCCTTTTTTAAAAATGACTTTCACAAACTTTAGTTCATTGTCTGTTCATGACAAGATAGATATGATGGCTTCCATCTTACTACTGAGAAAACTAAAGCAGAGAGAAGATGTGGAATTAACTTACAGTAACATGGCTGGTTTCTCTTTGGGGGATGGAGAAGACCAGAGTACAGGGCCTCTGCTTTCATTCCTGCCCCGTTTCTGGTATTTCCATTTCATCTGCTACACAGACAATTAAACTCATTACACAGGACTTGTTTGTATTAAACTCACAAACACAGCACTAAACTCATTACGTCTTTCAGTTGGAAGGAAGCAGTGGTTCTCTCACCCAAAATCTATGGGCCCCAAGCACACTCACTGTCCCCTTCCTATGCAAGTTATTCTTTGAGTCAGTGTTCTGGACTTGGTACTCAAAACCAGTTAAATTTCACTGTACTTCTGCCAAGGTCTTTTTGGACGTCCCTGTTGTCATTTGGTTCTGTAGTACATCTGGATTATAAAATGGCCTCCAGTGAATCAGGTCTTCCTGCGTCCTTGTCCCTTAAAATGTGATGTTGCTGCTCCTCTCATCAATTGATGGAGTCTGTATCACTGACCTCTTGAGTCTGAGCTGGCCTTGGGGCTTGCTTTATCCCATAGCACATGGCAGAAAATGAGGCTGGATTAAAGAACTCAAGTGCCCATCAACAGATGAATGGATAAACAAAATGGGCAGTATGCTTACCGTGGAATATTATCCAGCCATAAAAAGAAAGGGCATTCTGACACATGCTACAATATGGATGAACCTCAAAGACATTATGTCAAGAGAAATAAGTAAGTCACAAAATGACACATACTGGATTATTCCATTTTTATGAGGTATCTAAGAGTCATCAAATCCATAGACGGAAATTACAGTGGTGGGTGTGAGGGGCTGGGGAAATGGGGCATGGGGAGCTAGTGTTTGATGGGAACAGAGGTTCGGTCTGGGAAGATGAACAAGTCTTGGATGTGGATGCTGGTGATGGTTGCACAACAATGTGAATGAAGTTAATGCCACTGAGCTGCACACTTAAAAATGGTTAAAATGGGCCAGGCATGGTGGTTCATGCCTGTAATGTCAGCGTTTTCAGAGGCCGAGGCAGAAAGATTGCTTGAGCCTAGGAGTTCAAGACCAGCCTGGGCAACATAGGGAGACCCTGTCTCTACAAAAAATAAACAAAATTAGCCTGTGTGGTGGCACACACCTGTAGTTCCAGTTACTCAGGAGGCTGAGGTGGGAGGATGGCTCAAGCCCGAGGAAGTTGAGGCTGCAGTGAGCTGTGATCATGCCATGGCACTCCAGCCTGAGCCACAAAGCGAGACCCTATCTCTAAAACAAAGAAACACACAAAAATGGTTAACATGGTAAATTTTATGTTCTACATATTTTACCACCATACAAGTAAATTTATAGAAAAAAGTGAGGACGGGCGAGTTTGGAGTGTAGGTTTTGAGGCCTTGCAACTTCTGCCTGGGCCCTTGTGAAAGGCTGCCCTAAGACCAGCAGGTAAAGAAGCCCACCCAGACTTCTAGAGGCTGCGGGACCACATGGAAGGCCTGTGTGAGTGGGGCCATCTGGGACTTCCCAGCCCAGCTGATCCTCCAGCTGACTTCAGTGGCAGGACTGAGTCCAGGCAGAAGCCACAGGAGAATTGCCCAGCCAACCCACAGAACTGGGAGAAATCATGAACTATTGTTGTTTTCAGCCAGTCAAGATGGCTTTCCTTCCAGTTACCCAGACACTCCTCTTCTCCAGTTCTCTCCTGTTGCGTTCATGGATTTCAGGAGGATGTATATTATGTTATTCCAACCAATTCCTTCTATTTGATATTTTTTTCTTCTAAACACAAAACAGTATCTTCCCTTTCATTGTCAGATCTCAGCCAGGAGTTTGCGTCCTACCAAATTTTAGTGATTCCCGGAGGATCAGAAAGTAAAACCTAGGCTGGGTGTGGTGGTTCACGCCTGTAATCCCAGCACTTTGGGAGGCCGAAACACGTGTATCACTTGAGGCCAGGAGTTCAAGACCAGCCTGGCCAACATGGTGAAGCCCTGTCTTTACTAAAAATACAAAGACCATTAGCCAGGCATGGTGGTGTGGGCCTGTAGTCCCAGCTGTTTGGGAGGCCGAGGCAGGAGAATCACTTGAACCTGGGAGGCAGAGATTGCAGTGAGCCGAGATCACACCACTGCACTCCAGCCTGGGCAACAGAGTGAAACTCCATCTCAAAAAATAAATAAATAAAAATAAAATAAATAAATGAAACCTAAAGATACTAAGGTAGGCCTAATATCACCCAAAAGGCTTACAGGTGTCACATGAATATCTCTTTATGAGCTATGGACTCTCTCCCCCATGAACTCTCCCCAGTTCCTCCATTAACTAAAGGTGCTTTTTTTCCTATTGCCCCAGAAGGGCCCAACCTCCCAGTAAATCCATTGTCTACATTTCTCCTAGACTGAGCAGCAACTAACTTATCAGAGGCTTTTTTCTTTCTTTCTTTTATTTTTCTGATCAAACTTACAGCAAATGAGGTTTTTCCTTAACCAATTAAGTTAGGGCTCAGGTCAGTGAAACATGGAATCTCACACACTGATGATGGGGAGAGGAAGTGGTGCACTCTTTCTAGAGAAAATCTGGCAATATTGACCAAAATATTACAAATATTTATATCTCATGACCCCTACATTTCACTTTTTAGGGATTGCCCTAAGTAAGTAATTGTGAATAGGAGCAGCTACACAGATGCACCTCGCAACATTAATTATATTAGTGAAAAATTCAGAACAACCTAAATGTCCAACAAGAGGGGATTGGAAAGTATTTTAAAGTACAGCCAAAGACAGGAATACTATGCAGATGTTAAAATTATGTTATAGAAGACTCTGACATAAAAAGACGCTCATAATCTGTTGTGAACTAATATATCAATGTATTAGTCCGTTCTCACATGGCTATGAAGAAATATACCTGAGACTGGGTAACTCATAAACAGAAGAGGTTTAATTGACTCAAAGTTCTGCATGGCTGGGGAGGCCTCAGAAACTTACAATCATGGCAGAAGGTACTGCTTCACAGGGCAGCAGGAGAGAGAATGAGTGCAAGAAGGGGAAATGCCAGACACTTATAAACCCATCAGATCTCGGGAGACTCATTCATTCTCACGAGAACAGCATGGGGGAAACTGCCCCCATCATCCAATCACTTCCCACTGGGTCCCTCCCTTGACACGTGAGGACTGTGGGGATTATTGGGATTACAATTCAAGATGAGATTTTGGGTGGGGACACAGCGAAACCATATCATCAATCAATAAAATAATTGAGTATGCTTTCACTTTTATAAAAACATATACAAAACATGTTATACATATGATAGTTATATGTACAAACAATGCAGAGGGGTTTATGCCAAAACAGTATGAAGAGAACCATTAAGAATGGTTACCTCTGTGGGGTGAAATCAAGGTTGATTTTAATTTTCTCTTTTTTTTTCAGCTCGTCCATTGTTCCCAAATATTCTACACTCAACTGTTATTACTTTTGTATCTAGACGAAAACACAATAAAGGAGGTGGTGGCACATCCAGTTAAATATACCTATCTATTAATCCCAGTGCTTTGCCTGGCTTGAGCCCAGGAGTTCGAGGCTGCAGTGAGCTGTGATTATGCCACTGCACTCCAGCTTGGGTGATTGAGTGAGACTGTGAAAAAAAAAAAAAAAAAAAAAAAGGCCGTGCTTGATGGCTTATGCCTGTAATCCCAGCATTTTGGGAGGCTGAGGCAGGCGGGTCACTTGAGGTCAGGAGTTTGAGACCAGCCTGGCCAATATAGTGAAACCCTGTCTCTACTAAAAATACAAAAATTAGCAGGGCGTGGTGGCGGGTGCCTGTAATCCCAGCTACCTGAGAGGCTGAGGCAGGAGAATTACTTGAACCCAGGAGGTGGAGGTTGCAGTGAGCTGAGATCACGCCACTGCACTTCAGCCTGGGCAACTGAGCGAGACTCTGTCTGAAAAAAAAAAATCATCCAAGAAAACACTTTTTTTTTGTAATCACAGGAGAGAAGTTTTCAACATGTATAATTTGGAAGCAGTAAGACCAGGCATCTGAGTCTCTGCTGTGGGGCAAAAGAGTGAACTAAAGACCTGGTCAGAATCACTGAGGGACTTTCATTCACTCAGATTCCTGGATATCCTTGTTTAGAGAGTATGGCTCATGAATTCTAAATGTAGTCTCTACCTGGGTGGCCCAAGGCAACTGGATTAACACTGTGGCTCGTGGAAGCAAATCTGCTGGATTGGAATCCTGCATTTGCCTGCCAGCAGCTTTGGACCCTGGACAAGAAAGGAGACCCCAGTCTTTTGTTTACAGGGAGCCAGGCTCAGTCACCCTGCTTGCACTGGTCCTTCCATCAGTAGAGCGTCCTGGGCAGCTACGGTTGATGAATATTTGAGGAGAAAGCACTGGAAGTAATTTAAAAATATCCAGGATCAAAGATTGCTTTCTGGATGAGTTAATGCTTCACTCCTTCCTGCTCTTACTGGAGCCTACTGGAGTTGGCTGTCTGAGATTTCCAGGGTGAAGATGGACAGTGCCCTTGGAACACACCCATTCAGCCTGAGCTCTGTTCTTTAGTCTGTGTCAGATGCTGAAACCTCAAATGGCTTCCCCAGGCGGGGAGGCACTAAGAAATAGCCTATCCACATGGAGAGGCCAGAAGGAAAGACAAATGTTTCCTTCTCAACCACCCAGCCTCCTGTTCTTGATGTTTCCCTAACATAGGCTAACATATGCTTTCCTCAAGAACTTCAAAAACATGCTTTTAGCGGCAATGAAAATAGGACCATGCGTCCAATTCAACTGTAAGCTCCATCGTTTCCCTCTAATACCATTACCTCATGTACAGAGGAAAATGTAAATCTGAAATATGCTGGTGATTATAACCTTTCTTCCTGACAGACATTGTAATATAAATGCACATAAATTGAATTTCTTCTTTAAAGAAATTTGAATACCTTTGGAGCATTTTAGCGAATCATCTGCAGCCCTTATGGCACCACATTAATGCTCTGTGGAAAAGTGATCTCTCTGTAGCATGACTTCTGCAATAGAAGGACGGAGTGGGGCTGGGACATGCCAAGAAAAATAGAACGCACTTTATTGATATTCAGAATTTATTTTATTAACCTTGCACAAAAGACAGAGACGTGGGGAGCTGGTGCTATCAGGGAAGGAGCTTCACGTATTAACTCCCTACGTCCTGCTCATGTCATCCATTTGCCAGAATGGGGGAAAAGGAAGAAAGAAGGGTGATTGTAGATTTGTAGTTTTGCTTCGTTTTGACTTTGCTTGCTGAGGCTGCATGTGGAGGCCTTGTGTTAACTATCGAATCAGAAATGGGAATAGCACTGAGTGTTACTGGGAGGCTGCAATGCATCAGATAAGAGTGCTTGGGCCCAGATGTCCCTTGAGGGCCAGGGAAAGAATGTTGGAGCAATCTTGTGCTCATCAGCTTGCATTTGGATGAACATGAGAATGTGGGAGCTAAGACGTTGTATTAGTTAGAGTTCTTCAGGGAGACAGAATTAATAGTATATAAATATATATAGTATATACATATATACTGTATATATATAATGGTGTATATATTGTGTCTATGTACACAGTATATATATAATAGTGTATATGTACACACTGTATATAATAGTGTATATTTAGTGTATAGGTATACTGTATATATGTAATAGTGTATATATGTATACACTATTAGTATATATGCTATTGGTATACATATAGAGTATTGTATATATGTATATTATATATACATATACAGTACACATATAGTATATAGTATATACATATATTATGTAATATGTGTATATATAACATACACATATATTATATTATATATTATATACATATATTATATAATATACGTATATACTATATATGTATATATAATATACATATATACAATATATACTATATATGTATACTAATAGTATAGATAGTATATGTATATAGTATGCATATACTATATACATACAGTATATATACTATATACTATATATACACTATACTATATACTATATATAGTATATATATACTATATATACTATATACAGTATATGCATATACTATATACATATAGTATACAGGTATATACTATATATGTATACTGTATATGTATACTACTAGTATATATACTTAATTATTAGTATATATACTAGTAGTATACATATATGTATATATTATGTATGCTATATATGTATGCTAATAGTATATATACTAATAGTGTATTTGTGTGTATTATGTACATAGTATATAATATGTAGTATAGAATATATATGTATTGACACACATATGCTCTTCATTTTATTTATATATATATATATATATATTTAATTATCATAAGATATTGGCTTCTGCAATCATGGAAGCTGAAAAGTCCCATAATCTGCTAGTACAAGTGGGAGACCTAGGAAAGCTGATGTCTAGTTCAAAGGCCTGAGAACCAGGGGAACCAATGATGTTGATGCCAGTCCAGGAGTCTGAAGGCTTGAGAACCAGGAACACTGAAAGTAGAAGAAGCAGATGTCTCAGCTCAAGCTGTCAAGCAGAGAGTGAATTCAACCTTCCCCCACTGTTGTGTTCTATGTAGGCCTTCGGTGAATTGGAGGATGCCGACCCACATTGGAGAGGGCAATCTGCCTTACTCAGTCCACCAATTCAAATACTAATCTCTTTCAGCAACACCCTTGCAGATATACTTAGAAATGCTGTTTAGCCAGCTATCTGGGCACCCCATGGCCCAGTCAAGTTGACACATAAAACTGACCATCACGGACATCTTCTGCATCTCAGAGGCTGAGTGCAGGGCTCCTTGGGGATTGATTGGTGATTGTCATGGCTAAGCTGATAGAGTTAAAAATCAAAATAAAAAGAGCATCCTAACTCTTAAAGCCCTGACTTGACCACCACACAACCTATGCATGTAACAAAATTGCATGTGTACCCCATAAATTCATACAAATAAATAAATTTTTAAAAGAGCATCTGGACCTCAAACTTCCAAGCTTCTACAACCACTGGTCAAGCCCTGGTCCTGTGCCTGGGTTCCTCGCTCACTTCTGGGTGGGCATCTTTGCCAGTGGCGAGTGCACCACGAGTGCACCAGTCCTAGTGCTTCTTTGGTTCTGTGCCCAGTGGGCATCCAAGGACTCTATTGCTGTGGTTTGGTGGCTTAACCTTGGCCTGGAGTTACCCACTGTCTAGTAATCTCTGGGGTGTTAGGAAAGAATCTGGCAAATTTCAGCCAGTGGTGACTTTTTTTTTTTTTTTTTTTTTTTTTTGAGACAGAGTCTTGCTCTGTCGCCCAGGCTGGAGTGAGGTGGTGCAATTTTGACTCACTGCAGCCTGGACCTCAAGCAATCCTCCCACCTCAGCCTCCAAAGTAGATGGGACCACAGGTGCATGCCTCCATGCCCAGCTAATTTTGTTCATCTTTTGTAAAGATGAGATCTCACTATGTTGCTCAGGTTGGTCTCAAACTCCCAGACCCAACAGATCCTTCTGCCTAGGCCTCCCAAAGTGCTGGGGTTATAGGCGTGTGCCACAATGCTTGGCCAGAAAGTTTAAGCTTGGGTGTCCCTCATCTACAAATGTTGGGAGAACCAGAGAACTACAGAACCCTGCTGTCCTCCAGAAGCAAATGTGGTCCATGCTCCCTTTGGCCACCTGTCCTGAGTGTGCCACCACATAGATAGTGGGTGTATCCACTTCCACCATCACCTCCTGACTATAATAAATAATTTATTATAAACAAATACATATATTTATATAAAAATTATGATATAATTTATATTATAATGTATAATATAAAAACACAGAAAGCACTTATAATAGTGCAAAGCACATGTACGAGCTCACTAAATGTTAGCTGTCTGATGTGTATTCCTACCTGTCCCTTTCTTGCTTGATGGAGAAATAATCCCTAGAGGGGCTAATTTTTCTGGGGGTTTTCTGGACTCACGGTGAAGAGAGAGGACACAGTTGACACCCCTGTACTCCTAGCTGCTCCCATTTTTCTCACCTGCACTTAACACCAACACCTAACATGGCAGCACTCTGCACTTGTCTAAGGTTTGGTCATCTTGCCACAAATGCACGCATTCATCCAGCCAGGGCTGAGATCAGGGTAGACAAACAAGACCAAATTTAAATAGGCACCAAAAATCCTCAGTCATCAGACTAAATAAAATTTTAATGCAATCTTTCAAAATATCAAAATTAATACTAAAAATCCACACCGATAAAAATATCAACATTTTAGAAAAGACAGCACCCAATATGGTGGGGATTGGTGAGGAGGGGAGTGGGTGAGTGCAGAGTGGGGAAGCAGTAGTCAGCCACGTGGGCTGGGGGAAGGGCATCTGCTGCTGGGGGAAGGGCGGCCTCCTCCCATTTCCTCTTGAGCCAATCATTATTGCTATGCCTTGTTTTCCATCTGTTACATTCAGTTGGAGCTTTATGTTATTTTATTTTTCATGAATTTTGATGATTTATTTTTGTTTGAAAAACAACGACGACAAATCTAATGAAAAACAACAACAACAAATCTAAACCATCTGATGTGCTGGGTGAGCAGAACAGCCACAGACCCTGGTCTCCCCCTCAGACAGTACTGGTTGCGATCACATAATTACTTGTTAGACTGATCTGTACTGATTTACAGGGGGTCAATCTTTCTGCTGGTCTCAGTTCCGCAGGGTCCCATGCCAGGAGCTTGTCAAAGAAGCTCATTTTACTAGAATACAGAAGACAAAGATGGAGAGCAAGCACACTTGCAGATGTGGAGGCCAAAGAACATTCCACTTCCTATACCTGTAATTATTCAAAAGCCACAGAGCCAGCTGGGTGTGGTGGCGCACCCCTGTAATCCCAGCACTTTGGGAGGCCCAGGTGGGTGGATTGCTTGAGCCCAGGAGTTCCAGAACAGCCTGGGCAACTGGAGGAACCCCATCTCTAATACCAAAAAAAAAAAAAAAAAAAAAAATTAGCTAGGTGTGGGGCATGTGCCTGCCATTTCAGCTACCCCAGAGGCTGAGATGGGAGGATCACTTGAGCCCGGGGAGGTCAAGGCTGCAGTGAACCCATGATTGTGCCACTGCACTCCAACCTGGGTGACAGAGGGAGACTCTGTTTCTAAAAAATAAATAAATAAAAATAAAAGCCACATAGTCACAAGCGAGGATGGGGGATCTTCTGAACAAGTCCAGACTCTTTCCCAGGTCACCCAAGTTTCCACCGAACTCTCCTTTCCTCTGGAACACATAAAAAGATTTTAAATTTTAAAATTGCAGCTTCCCAGAGCTGTTCATTTGCAGACCCTGGGGAGAGTTAACCAAGAGGGATTTGCAAAGCTCTTAACTTTAGAAGGTCAGGAAGGCTCCTGTGGGGACTGGTGAGAGACAGCTGGTCCCAAGGGGGCATGGCAACTTGGAGGCTGAAAATGTGGACTCTGAAGTCAGAAAGCTTCCATGGTAATCCAGGCTCCAAGCCTTCCTAGCCATGTGGCCCTGGACTAGTGAGTTAACTTGGCCAAGGCTCAGTTTTCTCATCTGTAAGATGGAACTTTTTCACTGGGCTAGTGTTTGATGGAAAGAATTGACATGTGTAAAGCAGTAAGAAGAGTGTATAGCACATGCTTAACAAAAGCTGATTGATACAGAAAGGTCACAGTGCTGCAGGAAGAATCACGTTTCTCTCCCCACTTCTACCATTCTCAAGAGTGAGCTCTGGGAGACAGGGGCATGTTTATTCTCTTCTGCATCCAGCACAGTGACTTATATCTGTTGGGCATCAAGAAACAAAGTTAATAATGAAAAGTTGGGATTGGGAGCTGGGAAGTCTGACTTCTAGTCTCAGCTCTGTGGCTTTGGGCAAGTCTCTTCCTCTCTCTGGGACTCAGGGACCTGGGAGATGAAGCCTGGGTTGGAATTAGCGTTTCTTGAAGTTTGCCCTGGGACTCTAGGAATGCAATCATGTTTTATGTTTCAGGGCAAAGGAAGAGAGAAGAAGGGTTCTGTGGTCAAATAGGTTTAGGCAAGGTTAGGATAAACAGCCAAACCAAGTCTCTTTGCAGAGCTTCTCAGAGCCCTTACACATCCAGCATTTCTGAGATCCTTGAATTTGGAGCCCATCTTTGGCAGAGCATCTTGTGGAACTTACTTTGGGAAATGCTGGGCTCTATGAGATCTTCTCCAAGGTGTTTCTGCATCTGGATGTTTTATAAGGGTGGCCCAAGAACAGGTCATTCTGCTTTGTTGGGCTTATGGCTCGGTTTCCTAAGAAGGGAGGGAAGTGAGGGAACAGCTGGGAATCCTTCAGGACCGGGAGACTCTCCAGCGCAAACAGGAGGTCTTGGCAATCTCCTCCAAGGCAGGGATGGATGGGGGAAATCTTTTTATTTTTATAGGTTTAGGGGGTACACGTGTCATTTGGTTCCATGGATTTATTGCATAGTGGTGAAATATGGGCTTTTAGTGTAGCCATCACCCAAAGAATGTTCATTGTACTCATTGCAAAAGAAATCACTATGTAAAAAAGATACCTGCACTGGTACGTTGATCTCAGCACTATTCATAATAGCAGATATAAAATTAGCCTAAGTGTCCATCAGCGATGCTTAGATAAAGAAAATGTGGTGTGTATACATATACAATGGAATACTACTCAGCCATAGAAAAGAGTGACATCATGTCTTTTGCAGCAACATGGGTGGAATTGGAGGACCTGGGAAATCTTTGAACCCCTGAGCTCCTGGTCTGAGCATAGGAGTCTTTGTGGAGGACAGTGAGAACGACTTTGAGAGCCCAGGAAGTTACTTATGCCAAGGAATGTGCTAAGCCCAGCAGAAAGGCAGGCCTCCCACTATGTAGATGGGAACCCTCTTTGGGAGGCTAATGTCCATGATTTCTCTGAGACTCCAATACTGAGGGGCTTGCTGGGGCATGGCAGAGGCTGCCTGACTAGGGAGGGAGTGGAGGAGATAGGAAGAGGAGATAGGATGAGGAGATCTGGATGGAGTGAGGGAGCCATGTGATTATCCTAGGAAATCCAGTTCTAGGGAGAGGGAAGAGTAGGTGCAAAGGCCCTGGGGCATGAGTGCATTTGGTGTATTCAAGTAACAGGGAGGAGGCCATAGTGACTTGAGTGGAGTGAGCGAGAGAGAGAAAATGAGAATGAACTGAGAGATGCAGCTATAGAGCAGTGTATAAGCCCTTGTAAAATGTGTGAGAACTTGGATTGTATTTCTTAAAAAAAAAAAAAAAATTGGCCAGGGATGGTGGCTCATGCCTGTTATCCCAGCACTTTGAGAGGCTAAGGCAGATGAATCACTTGAGGTCAGGAGTTCGAGACCAGCCTGGCCAACATGGTGAAACCCCATTTCTACTAAAAATACAAAAATTAGCCAGGTGCGGTGGCATGGACCTGTAGTCCCAGCTATTCAGAAGGCTGAGGCAGGAGAATTGCTTGAACCTGGGAGGCAGAGGTTGCAGTGAGCTGGGATCACACCATTGCACTCCAGCCTGGGCAACAGAGCGAGACTCCATCTCAAAACAAACAAACAAACAACTTTATTGAGGCATATATTGCATATTATGGAATTCACCCTTTTCATGTGTACAACTCAATGCTTTTTTTTAAGTAAATTTACCAAGTTGTACAACCATCACTCAAAATCCACGTTGGAGCATTTTCATCATCCTGATACGATCCTTGGTGCACATGTACGATTAATCCCCTTTCTGCTCTGCCCCCATCCAAACAGCTGCTAATCTACTTGCTGCCATCTTTGCAGCTTTGCCTTTTCTTGATCTTCCCTGGAAATGGAATCATATAATGTGTGGTCTCTTCTGCCTGGCTTCTTCCACTGAGTATAATGTTTTTGAGGTTCATCCAGGCTGTGGCACATACCGGTCGTTCATTCCTTTTTATTGCTCAGTGGTATTCTGACTTGGATTGTGTGTTCAGTGGTGGCAGGAATCCAGAGGTGATTCTGGAGCATGAGGGAGACTTATCATGACAGCGCCTGTGCTTTATCACAGGGAAGTGTCATTCCCGGCAAGGTGAGCCCCAGGCTTTGCAAGAGTGGGGTCTGGTTCTGTCACTTAGGGGCTGGTGTCCTTGGACAAGTCCTTTCACCTTGCTGAGTCTTAGTTTTCTCATTTCTTTTCTTTTTTAAATTATTTATTTCTGATTGTGGTAAAATATACAGAACAGAAAATTTACCATTTTAATGATGTTTAAAGTGTGCAGTTTTTGCACGTTAACATTAAATACATTCACATCGTTGTGCAACCTATCTCCAGAACTCTTTTCGTCTTGCAAAACTGCAACTCTGCACCCATCACACACAAACTCCCTATTCTCTCTTCCCTCAGCCCCTGGCAACCTCCATCCCACTTTCTGTCTCTTGAAAATGATTGCTCTATGCATCTCACACAGTCTTCAAGGGCCTATCTGCTGCCCTAACAGATGAGTCTCTGAGTTGATTCTCTTTCTCTCACTTGCTTACTCCACTCAAGTCACTATGAGGTATTCCTACAGTATCATCTGTCACTTTGTGATTGTTTAATTCAGCGTAAATCCTCAAGGTCCACCTATGTCGAAGCATATGTCAGAGCATCCTTCCTTTTCAAGGCTGAGTAATATTCCATTGCATGGATAGACCACTTCATGTTTATCCATTTTCCTATCGATGGCCACTTGGATTGTTTCCACCTTTTGGCTGTTGGGAAAACTGCTGCAACATGGTATATATGCAAGTTAAAGACAGGAGTGAGAACATTCACCTACTTGATACAACTGTGGTGAGGATTAGGTGAAACAATTCACACAAAGTGCTGAGCACAGGGCCTGGCACATGTAAGTGCTGGGTGAACACCTTTCAACAATGATGCAATGACCATGGAGCCCTTATTATGAACGGGATCTGTAAGCCAAGCATTTGATAGAAAAATGTCACAGGATGGGGAGCTCAAAGAGAGGGCAAAGAGAGTTTTGTTTTTTTAATATAAACGGTAATGTGACCCTAATTTTTAAAATTTAGAAAATCGAGAAGAAAAAAACTTCACCCATAATCTGGCCTCTTTAACTGAGTTTCAATTTCCGTCTACTTCAGAAGGATTAACCAGACCTTCTGGTTTCAGAAGAACAGAGGAAAACTGGAAGGACCTGGGGTGTGGGGGCTGGCTGGGGGTGATGAGGAAACACTGCAGAAGGCTCTCCTGCCAGAGGAATCATGTCCCTGTTTTGCTTTGGAAACCCCGGGGCCCGACTGGTTCAGCCAAGAGGGGTCTGCATTTTTTGGCTTCAGCACTGAGAGAGAGAGAGGAATCAAAAAAAGGAAGTATCATTTCCTTAACTACTAGGTATTAATATCCTGTTTAATTTAATTTCGGCTTTCTGCGCCGGTGAGCTCTTTTCCCTCTAACATACAGTGTCAGCTTGGCAGGGAGTTTCTGACAGTATCAAAAGAGGATTTAGCTCTGAACCCTTGCCATGAAAGTGTCTCTATCTGCGCACAGAAGAGAGCATTGTGTCCTGCGAAGACGGTAATTGACTGAATGAGGCCTGGCACCTGGGCCTGCCGTGGAGCCCTGATAAGGACATAAAGACAGGCTTAAAGGGCTTGCTTGCCAGAGGCAGAGACGCTCACACATCCCTGGAAGGAGGGAAGCCCAGCCATCCCTGCCATCCCAGAGGAGAGCTGAGTGCAGGGGCTCAGCCCCTGCAGCCCTGCAGAAAGAGGGTCCTGGGTGGATGCAGGCTGGGAGCATTCCTCACTTCAGCATGGTGAACTGGCACTCTTCGTGGGAGATAAGCAGGGGGCAAGTGGGCAGGGCTGGCCCCAGCTGGCTGATGTGCCTATTTGCCTTCTCTCTCTTTCTTTCTTTCTTTCTTTCTTTCTTTCTTTCTTTCTTTCTTTCTTTCTTTCTTTCTTTCTTTCTTTCTTTCTTTCTCTCTCTCTTTCCTTCCTTCCTTCCTCCTTCCTTCCTTCCTTCCTTTCTTTTCTTTCTCTTTCTTTCTTTCTCTTTCTTTCTTTCTTTTTTCTTTTTCTTTCTCTTTCTTTCACTTTTTTTTTTTTGGCAGGGTCTCACTGTCAGGCTGGAGTGCAGTGCTGCAATCACAGCTCTCTGCAGCCTCAAACTTCTAGGCTCAAGCAATCTTCCCACCTCAGCCTCCCGAGTAGCAGGGACTACAGGTGCATGCCACCATGCTTGGCTAATTTTTCTATTATTTGTAGAGGCAGGGTCTCGTTATGTTGCCCAGGCCAGTCTTGAATTCCTGGGCCCCAGTGATCTGCCCACCTCAGCCTCTCAAAGTGCTGGGATTACAGGGATGAGCTACCGTGCCTGGCGTTAAGCCCCCTATTTTTTGATAAACACACCCTATTCTTATTTGGCTGGCCCCCATCTAGCAAGATCTAGCCTCCATTGTCTGGACTTGTTTGTCTTTAGTCTTCTTGTCTTGAGCTACACAGCCACTGTAGAAATTAATCAGGATCCTTGTGAGTCTGTGTGGTTCATTTCCCTAGTGATTTCAAGATGCTCTGTGCTCTGGGAGGCCCTTGCTCAGGCCTCACAACCTTGAACAGGATTGTCCATCTCTCTGAGAACTCTGGGTTGATCACATCGCTTCTTCCCACCTTTCAAGAGAAACAAATACTTTCTGGTTCTTCCTCTGTAAACTGGTGGCAATTTCGCCCGTAAGTGACCACAGGGTCATTGCCCACACACCCATCCATCCATCCATCAATGAATCTATCCATTCACCCATTCATTCATCAGTATATTCATCCATTCATCTATCCATCCATTCATTCATCCATTTATCCATTCACCCATTCATTCACCAGTCTATCCAGCCAGCCAGCCAGCCAACTTTGGAGAGCTTATTATACTTCACATAGAGGTGGACAGTATCTTTAATAGACTTTTAATGGTGAGAGCTGTTGAAGCCTGAATTCCTAACTGTGTGACCTTGGCTAAGTCACTGGCTTAGAGTTTGCCATAATTAGAGCCTGCATTAGTCAGAGGCAGGCTAACTTTTAAAAGATAGCTCCTAATATCAGTGGCTTAACATAATATACATTTATTTCTAATTCATGATCCAAAACAGATGTTTTTGATTAATGCACGTCATTACTCCATGCAGTGACTCAGAGATCCAAATTCCTTCGATGCTGAAACTCAGCCCTTCTCTAGTCAAAGGAGTCTTTTCATTCTGCTGGTGCATTGAGTAAAAGTGAGGATTAGCTATGGGAGGCCTAGACATGGTGCACATTCACTTCTGCTCACCTTCCATTGGCCAGAACTCAGTCAGGCCACATATGACTGTAAGGGTGGCTGTGTACCCACGAAGAGGAGGAGAGTGTGGACATTGGTGGGTGCCAGCTGTCTCTGCCACTGGGCTTCCAGACGGCTTTTAATCACAAAGAAACAGTAAAATGTTAGAGACCAAGAGAAAGAGGTTAAAAGGCTTTCAGATATCCTTTATTCCCTAAGCAGAAAGTTAGGTGTTATCTACATTGCCTCTGACTGCTGCCAATACAGGGAGATTCCTCAACTGTCCAAAAAGCTTGAGGAATCGCAGCTGGTGGAGTCAGGAGTGGATAGCAGAGTTTTTCTGGAACCTGAACCCAGAATACAATATGACCAGAATACTACTCCAAAATGGAGATGGGGAGGTCAGGTTCTGACCTCTTTAAATTTTTGACATTGGGAGGAAATGAAAGGCCCACAATACAACCTGATCATAATCTTCTGTTATCTTGTGTAGAATTCTGATGGACAAGATTACACCTATTCTTTCCTAGAAACACATAAAAGTGTATATTTCAAAATCACCACCACCACCACCATCATCATCATCAGATTTACTGAGTGTTTACTATGTGCCAGGAACTGTTCTAAGAGTTTTATATAATTATCTCATTTAGGCTGGGCACAGTGGCTCATGCCTGTAATCCCAGCTCTTAGGGAGTCTGAGGTGGGTGGATCACTTGAGGTCAGGAGTTCGAGACCAGCCTGGCCAGCATGATGAAACTTCGTCTCTACTAAAAATACAAAAATTAGCTGGCATGGTGGTGCACATTTGTAATCCCAGCTACCCAGGAGGCTGAAGCAGGAGAATTGCTTGAATCTGGGAAGCAGAGGTTGCAGTGAGCTAAGATCACACCACTGCACTCCAGCCTGGGTGACAGAGGGGGACTCCATCCCCACCCCAAAAATAAAAATCTCATTTACTCCTTGCAACAACTTTAGCAGGCAAGTATAATTATTATTCCATTTAAGGAAATTTGCAACAGGAAGACTCTGCTCTAGGTCCTGCAGCTCCTAACTGGGAGGACAAGCAAGAAAGATCTTGGTGATCTTACTTGAGCCCAATAGTGTCATGAGTGCCATGGGTGCCTCGGGCCCAGTGCTGGAGGTTCCCCTTAGGGTCTTTTTTATGGCCTTTTAAACTCTGTGTGTCACTCATGTAACAAATCTACACACATACCCCTGAATCTGAAATAAAACCTAAAATTGTTAAGAAATTAAAATAATAAAAGTATTCAGATAGAAAAGACAAATTACTTACAAAGAATAACAGGTGGGTTGACAATAGCAATAGCAATAAGAGTTGCATATTGTAGCAATAAGAATAGTAATCAGAATCCAGAAAATAGTAGAATAATATCCTCAAAGTTCTGGGAGAAAATAACCGCTCATCTAAACACATAACAAGCTAAATCGTCTTTTAAGAATGAGAATGAAGCAAAGACATTTTTAGGAAAACAACAAAGAAAATTTTCACCTTTCTCTCAACTAAAAACTTCTAAAGGTTATACTTCAAAAAGAGAGACTATGAGATATGCAGGGAGGGGTGGTTTCAGAAATATTTGAATTTTTAAATTTATTTGTCCATCTTTTCCAACATATTTATGCATATATGAATTAATACAGTATTTGCCTTTCTTGTTTCACAATTAGCAGCGTACTATATATACTCATCGTCACCTTGTTTGGTTGCTGTTGCTTATTAACATTACAGCCTGGCAATATTTTCATAGCAGTATAAAAATTGAATTCACAAAAGAAGAAGGAAAAAAAAGCCAGGTATGATGGCACATGCTGTGATCCCAGCATTTTGGGAGGCCAAGGCGGGAGGATTGCTTGAGCTCAGGAAATTGAGACCAGCCTGGGCAACATGGTGAAATCCTGTCTCCACACACATATACAAAATTAGCCCGGCATGGTGGCATGCACCTGTAGTCCCAGCTACTTGGGAGGTTGAGGTGAAAGGATTGCTCAAGGCCAGGAGGGCAAGGCTGCTGAGAGCTGTGATTCTGCCACTGCACTCCAGCCTGGCTGACACAGTGAGACACTGTCTCACAAAAAAAAAAAAAAAAAAAAAAAGAAAAGAAAAGAAAAAGAGAAAACTCTGTATGCCAGTTAGTTTTCTCATCCATAAAATGGGGAAATGGGGATGCCAGTCACTGTCCTGTCTTTTGGGGTAGCTCTATTGAAGGGATCATATGAAAATGTGTTCGGAAGCATTTGTCCCAATAGATGATGTCCCAAATGTGTAGAATCATCGCTTTGGATTTACTATCATTTGTTTGCAGGACTGCTTCTGCCCCTGGCCTCAAAATTGCTAAAAGGCATCAAGTGAGTTATTCAGCAAAGAGCTTATGACAGAACATGGTGTTCAAATGAAGTCCTTGCCCTTGGAATATTAACCTCGGGAGGCTGGGGTGAGCTAGGAAGTTCAGAGCCTTCCCCTCGGTCTTTGGCAGCCTGCTCAGCTGTGTGTGTTTTTCCAGCTCGAGGAGAGACAAGCCTCATCTCCACACTCCAGATGTTCCCAGCCCTGCAGAGCCGTCATCACCTAAGCCAGCTGTCGGGCACTGACTCTCTGGGCTACATTCTCCCGTGGGTTCTCTTTAACCCGCTTGGTTTCACCGCAGGGGAATGCTGAAGAGACACAAGTGTTTTTGTTTTCTCTCTTAAAAAATACAGAAACTGTAATCTGTTTTACATCTGGGTCTGACTGCAGACAAGCAAGAGCGGGCGGAATGGAGTGATGGGCAATCCAGCTGCAAGAAGAGGTGCATACCCCTCTGTAGACAGCACATCTGTGCAGGTGTCTAACAGCCGCCTCATGGAAGGAGTCATGGAAGACGTTAGGCCCCTCCAGTTGGGGTAAGGGGATGGGTTGCTTTTCTTTTTCAGTGATGCTGGAACCTTTTCTCTTGGAGCATATCTGGTTCTGTCTAGGTTCTCTGGAAACAGAAGAAACAGCCGGATGTTTGAGGGAAAATGTCTAATGTGCTTAACATCTTTATAAAGCCGGTTCACATTTAGAGAAATGATTTATCTGAATTGATTCTCCCAAACCAGCTCTATTCTCCCTGTGCAAAGGGGCTTTCTTGAAACTCCCAAATGTTTATAGGATGGATGAAACAAACTTGAGGTCCTAAAGTGCAGCTGCTATTTAAATATAAGCGTCTAGGGCCCAGGCAGCTGATTATTGATGGGTGTTGAGTGCCACATTGCAAAGTGCGCAGCCGGCCTGCCTTAAATAACTCTAACTAGGCCCAAACAGTCCTGAAGAGGTTTCTAGAATTAGGTCACAGCCTGGAAAAAGCAGAGAAAGTCTGGAAAAATCCTAGGAGGATTTAAACAGTTTTTTCCTTTTGTTTCAATCTATCAGATCAAGCAACTGATGCAAGCTTTGGACCAAATGAAACATTTCAAGAACTCAGATTGTAAAATCACAATCAGCTGGAGGAATTCGGATCTGCATCTGGCCCAGAAGAACATTTTTGAGGATCTTTTGAAAGTATCACTAAGAGCAAGGCTGGTGAATTGAATTACTGCCATTATTCCCCAAGGAAAGAAGGATTCATTTCATTCCTAACTGCAAGGCATTCAGCAGGTTAACTGGCAAGTGGAAAAGAGCCTAACCAAATTATCCCTTGGGACCATCAAAACATTTAATAAACCAAGACACAAATGCCTCCCAAAAATTCCATCTGCAAGAAACATTTTCTGCATCAAGAAGCACAAAGGAGATAAGTGTTCTATTCATCCACGCAGGCAACGCTGTCACCCAGGAAGTGTTGCTCAGGGGGCCTTACTCCACAGCTGGCCTCCGATGTGTAGGCAGGCCTGGAACAGAATCAATTGCAAAAAAAAAAAAAAAAAAACAGAAAAAAAAAAGAAAAAAAACAGCATCGTCTGTGGGATTCTCCCTCAATGTCTGTTCCGTGAAAGATGCATTTTGTCCTCTGGAGCCTGGTGTTGGAAATAAACTTGGCTGCACAGGTAAACTCTTAAGAGGCTGGCTAATGCCAGGTGATACTCTCAGCTTGTGAAATCTCAGCCTTTTACTTGGTCATATTTTCAAAAGAGAAGACAGCTAATGGGAGTAAGTTCCTTACATTAAAAACATACTTCCAGTTAACAGCACCAAACCACTTAAGTTGGAAGCAGACCAATTATTAATTAGATGAATGGCCTTTTATAAATCCCTCTGCAGGCTCAGGACAACTGATGGGTTTATGGTCCATGCATTAGAGAACATGGTTCCTCCATGGTTATAATTATCTATAGTTGCTGGCAATTGGGGGTTATTGCACCAAAATCAGATGCCCCATGAACATGCTGGCCTGAGCTACCATGGGGTGATGGGGAGAAAGCTGAAATAGCAGAGGATGGTTTATTCTGTTGTCCTTCTTAAGCTGTTTGATCTTGGGACAATTCCTAGAGGTTTTTTTCTTGGTTTCCTCATCTGAATGTGAATGTAATTGATATCTCTAGTTTTTCTCTGCCCGGCATCCATTCCCCCTTTCTTTTGATAGCAATCTCTTGGTTTCCATGGAGAAACCATCCCTTCTCCACTCCCAGTGCATTTGGTTTGGGGGAACTGGCTGCACTCTTAGCTCTAGGGATGGGCATGTGGCCCAAGCCTGGCCAATCAGAACACTGCATCCTTCTAATCCCAGCGATTGGTTCAGATCTAATCAGAAACAAAGAAAGTCAATTTCCTGGCACCACATAAACAACCATTGTTCACGGAGACCAGATCTGACATGTTTTGACTCCGGCGCTCAGCTTCGTTCAAGTCTGTGAATGTTTGTAAGTTGAAAGTTTGGGGAGTTCATACGTTTTCTGTAATTCTTTTAAAAATATTTGGAAGACTGTAAAAGAAATCCCTTGCTTTTATAATGCAAACTACAGAAAGTAGAGCCACACAAGATCTTGGTTGGTGGGGTTGAGAAACACTGATTTAATGGAGAATCCCCTGGACATGGAGACATTAGTCAAGAGTATAACTACTGCTGGAAAGTATAGCTCACCATGCTCAGTGGCTTCAGATGCACACAAAGTTTAGTTTTCCTTCATGTCACCGTCCTGCTGACAGTGGGTAGGAGGGACTCTGCTCCCCCAGACATTCAGTGTCAGGTTCCTTCCATCTGGTGGCTCCAGCATCCCCTGTACCTGCTGAGCTCCCACTGGATCTTTGCAGTCTGACAGCAGGTGGCAGGAAGAGAATGCTGGGGTATTGTGCTGAGGTTTGATGGGAAGACTGGCAGCGATGCATTTATTCTGCCTACGTGCCATTGGTCAGAACACAGTCACATGGCCCCCTAACTGCAAGGGATGCTGGGAAATGTAGTCTAGCTGGGTGCCCAGGAGGAAAAGGGGAAAGTATAGGTGGACAGCAACCAGATCGCCTCTGCCCTGCCATGGTAACACAATTACAACTTGGTGGTTAAGTCAAAAGCATGCTTTATTTTTGTGACTATGGATACCACAGGTGTGCTGTCTTTTGGGGATAGATGATATAGAAGAAAATAACAAAAACTCAAATCTGGCTGGGCCTGATGGCTCATGCCTGCAATCCCTGAACTTTTGGAAGTCAAGGCGGGAGGATCACTTGAGCCCAGGAGTTTGAGACCAGCCTGGAAAACATGGCAAAACCCTATCTCTACAAAAAGTACAAAAATTAGCCACTCACGAGGGTCCACTTGTAGCCCCAGCTACTCGGGAGACTGAGGTGGGAGTTTAGGGTTGCAGTGAGCCATGATTACACCACTGCACTCCAGCCTGGGTGACAGTGAGATCCTGTCTCAAAATAAATAAATAAATAAAACTCAAAGCCAGCCATTTCTGGTGTATTCTGCCTCTATAGGATGGAAATTATTTAGACATAACAAGCTTCTTGTTTATCATTTAATGTCACCTTCGTCTTAAGTGATTTATTTGATGTTAGGAAACAGAGTTGAAGGGTCCAGTGTTGCTCTAGTCAGAACTGGGTTTTCCTATAACCAGGCATAAATCTAGTATCCTATCTGGTTATTTGTTTGTGACTGTCTCAAAATCTAGTCCCCAAGAAAGCTGAAGTTTTAAATATATCAAATCATCTTAAGGCTCCACACTCGTCCTATGGGTGACATTATACGTGTTCATGAGAAAATCATTTCAAGGGCTACAAATGAGTCCTTTAGTAATACCCAGGAGTCATAATGTCTGTGACATAATGAACCTTCCTAAATTACAACCTACAATAATTAGATCACTTATTGCTGCATTCCAGGCCCTGAAACAATTTGCTTAAAGTGATAGTTACGTCTAATGAAAAGATACATAACGGAAAATGTCAGCAACCTTTTAAATCCTCCACGACTTATCATGAGAACTGTCTTGTGCAAAGTGCCCATGGAGAAACATCTGTGTCACCATCTCCTCCTAAATTAGGTGAGCATTTTATGGCCGCTTGGAAATGGAGAGAATTCCCTAGGGTGGTAAGAAGATTAGGTAAGGGTTAGCTGCCTCTTTCAGCCTTTTTCCTACCCTGTTCCACCTCTGCCTCTCTCTCTCCCTTCCCCAGCATTCACTGTGGCTGAAATGCCTCCAGAATCTTAACTAAAAAGATCTACGGTTGGGCTGGGTGCTGTGGCTCATGCCTGCAATCCCAGCACTTTGGGAGGCCAAGGCAGGAGGATTGCTTGAGCCCAGGAGATTGAGGCTGCAGCGAGCTATGATCATGCCACTGCACTGCAGCCTGGGTGACAGAGCAAGACCCTTGTCTCTTAAAAAAGAAAAGAAAAGAAAAATAGATGGGATGGTTATCAGCTTCTCGTGAGGTGGGGTTTCCTTGAACTCCTGGAGTCCCTGGCCACGTGGCAGATGGGAGGTTCCTAATCTCCCTCCAAGCCCTTTCCAAGTGGGCATACTTCATAGCCACCTCTCTGATGAGGCTGGAGGGGGTGCTCCATTCTGGGGGCTGGTGGAGAACGTTGTCTGGAGATGGCTGGCTATGTCTAGCAGTCATGCCCTCAGCAGGAGACAGGATCATTCGAGGAGGACTTCAAAAGGCACTGTTTACGGAGATGTGGGCAGGAGGCAGGGAAACCAATGACAGTGGAACCGTTGCTCCCCTCTAGACCTAAAGCCACAAGGGGAGGGAGCAGTTATCAGAATCCAGAAGAGACAGGCGGATAGAGGGGGCCACCTAGAGCCATCTGCTAAAGCCACAGCCTGTCCTAGGTGCCCCAGAGGGAGGGAGCCCGGGAATAGACACCCGCTGGCTTTCCTCCTTCCTCTCTGCCTCCCTCTACTCTCTTATCAGGGCTCCCTGCTGGCTCTCCTGTAAGCTGTGTGGGGAGATGGGGTGGGAGGAGGCATGGGAACTCTGATTCTTTCCAGGGATCAGCCTCCTGGGCCACGGAGCAGGGGGAGAAGAGGGGAGAGCAGATCTGGGGCAAGGGACACACAGATGTCTCCAGGTCAGGTTCTGCCTAGAGTCCTGTTTGGGAAACCATCTTCCCTGCCTGCCACAACTCTGACTTCTCCTCCATGCCCTAGGTCCCCGGGCTGTCACGCTCCTCTGGGTGGGTGGGAACCAGCCTCTGGGGGCTCCAGCAAGGCCAGCAGCTCACTGACTTGAGGTCCCTGACCCGGGGCTATGTTCCCACCCTCAGCTTTGGCTCTTTCTGGAGATCAACAGGGCTGCATGTCAGGGGCATCTGATGACAATTTATGGTGCTCCCCTGCCCAGAAGGCAGACAGATTTTGTTTGTTTGTTTTTGTTTTGAGACAGAGTCTTGCTCTGTCGCCCAGGCTGGAGTGCAGTGGCATGAGCTCCACTCACTGCAATCTCCATCTCCTGGGTTCACATGATTCTCCTGCGTCAGTCTCCTGAGTAGCTGGGATTGCAGGCATGCACCACCACAACTGGCGAATTTTTGTATTTTTAGTAGAGACAGAGTTTCACCATGTTGTTCAGGCTGGTCTCCAACTCCTGACCTCAGGTGATCCACCCTCCTCAGCCTTCTGAAGTGTTGGGATTACAGGCATGAGCCATGGTGACTGGCTTAGCAGCCAGAATTTGAGGCTTCCTTGACTTTAAGAGCCCACCCTAAAAGTCTGAGGATATACCCTCATGGGAATGAAGGAGTTCCACCATAAAAATAATTGATAACCACAGCCTTCTAGAAAAGGAGTTCATTCGGCTACACTCCTAGTTCTTGAGAAAAAATAGGAACTGAAAGGAAATTATTATTGTTTAGACCTTCTGGCTTCCAGAAAATTTATTTGAAAGCACCTAGGGTGGCATCTGGCACATGGTGGGTGCTGAGAATTCGTCAGGGGGATCTGAGTTCAGGGCCTAAAAGCTAGTTCTCGGAGCAAAACCTTCCTTGACGCCAGCCATCCAGCAGAAAAGAACAGGATCCATTTTGCAGCTAAAAATCATTTATTTGCCTTCAGGCTTAAGCGTCAATAACAATTGTGCCAATAATAACAACTCATTTTAATGCAATAGGTAATTTATTGATGTGTTCCCATTGTGAGCCTCAGGACAACTCTGTGAGGGAGCTAGAGATGAGGAACAAGCCTCGAGAGCCAGAGGCACCAGGGCGCTGGGAGTGCAGCCTGCCCTGCTTGACACGGAAGCTGGTGCTCCAAGCCACCATCCCTGCTTTGCAAGCCTAGCTGGGGAAAAGAAAAATCCAGAATTATAAGATGTCATCCCTCAAGGGGCCAATGGCCTAGTTGAAGAAACAAGCAAACCCTTAGGGAGGAGTTGCAGATACTGTAGGACTCAGATGTCAGTGTAAATGTGTGTGCGAGTGTGTGATAGTATGTGTATGTGAGAGTGTGTGTGCAAGTATGTGTGTGTGAGAGTGTGTGAGTGTATCTGTGTGAGTGTGTGACTGTGTGTGAGAATGTGTGACTGTGAATGTGTGTGTGAGACAGTGTGTAAGTATCCGTGTGTGTGTGAGAGTGTGTGTGCACACGTGTGTGTGTACAAGTGGGTGGGAGCAGGCTGCCCCGCTGGGAAGAAACAACTACATCTGTTCTCTTTTTCTCCCATCCTCTGTGACTTCACTCAAGATTCAAAGTCCCAGGGAAGATTCTGATTGGTTGATCTGGAGTCATGTACACACCCATTGGGCAGGGAAGGGGTGTGGCAACTTGATTGACTGTCCTTGAAAACTACACACAGTGGGGGAGTGTTAGGTAATTCCCCCACACAAATCCAATTACTGTTATGGAAAGAAGATGGAATTTATTAGGGGAGGTTGAAAAATAAGCAAGCATCCACTATGCAAGACATTGTCATGCCTGCAGATGTTTACCCCACCCTCTACAGCCCCACAAGCCAGGCAGAGCAGGTGGCATTGGAGAAGTGGAAGCCGAGAGAGGGAAGTGACTTGCCCAGGTAACACACAGCATTCACCTTACTCCCATGCCACCACCTGCCCCACCTTGCTGTCTCTCAGGCTGCACAGCCTGTGTGTACCTGCTCTGGCCACCCAAGGCCTGCTTGGCAAGGTAGGGGCTGAGGTGAGCCCAAGACAACAAGGGACATGCCTTACCCACCCCAGGCTGGAGGCAGAGTGGGCCATGGGGTCAAGGCAAGAAGAAGGCGTTCTTTTTAATAGCTTCCGAACAGGGACAGGCAGTCACCTCCTCCCACCTGGAGACCATGGATCTCCGCCCAGTGTGGTACCTGCTGTGACTCTTACTTGCTGGAAGAAGAGTCTGGAGATGAGGGCATGGGTGACAGTGGGCTGGGGCTCCAGGTGAGCAGAGCAGGTTAGGAAGGTCTGGTTCCAGAACCCAGGAGAAGAGCAAAGTTGACCTTCCATCCTGCAAAATTATCAGCAGCTGTGAAATGTTGGCTTCCTAAGACAGGGAATGAACTTTCCAAAGTCCCTGCCTATCTAAAGCAAATAGCCCTGAGTCGGAACTTCTTCCTTCTCCTGGCTCCAAGGGTGGGTCAGAGGCCAAGAGAGTTCTGTTCCAATTCTAGTTCTGTCACTGACTAGCCGTAACCTTGCGCTCAACTCCCTGGATCTCATTTGTACAATTGGAAGGTTGAATTAGAAAACAATTACAGTTAAAATAATATTAATATTAATGAGTAACACTGCCCTAAGTGCTTGAGGCGGAGAACAGCTACCTGTCCCCCAAAAAGTTGAGCTTTTTCTGCCATAGTGTAGAGTTCACCCTGGGAGGCAGTAACCCAGCCAGGGTCTCCATTTCCCAGGCCCTTGTGTACAGGCGCAAAACAGTAGCGTTTTCTGGCTTTTGGCTACTATGAACAGTGCTGCTATGGACATTTGTGTACACATTTTTGTTTGCACATCTATTTCCCATTCTTTTGGTTATATATCCAGGAGTGGAATTTCTAGATTGTATGATAATTCTTTTTTGGGGGTTGTTTTAGTTATTTATTTGTAGTAGTCCATTTTCTTTTATTTTTTTTTATTTTACTTTAAGTTCTAGGGTACATGTGCACAAAGTGCAGGTTAGTTACATATGTATACATGTGCCATGTTGGTGTGCTGCACCCATTAACTCGTCATTTACATTAGGTATATCTCCTAACGCTATCCCTCCTCCCTCCCCCCACCCCATGACAGGCCCTGGTGTGTGATGTTCCCCACCCTGTGTCCAAGTGTTTTCATTGTCCAATTCCCACCTATGAGTAAGAACATGTGGTGTTTGGTTTTCTGTCCTTGGGATAGTTTGCTCAGAATGATGGTTTCCAGCTTCATCCATGTCCCTACGAAGGACATGAACTCATCCTTTTTTATGGCTGCATAGTATTCCATGGTGTATATGTGACACATTTTCTTAATGCAGTCTATCATTGATGGACATTTGGGTTGGTTCCAAGTCTTTGCTATTGTGAATAGTGCCACAATAAACATACGTGTGCATGTGTCTTTATAGCAGCATGATTTATAATCCTTTGGGTTTATACCCAGTAATGGGATGGCTGGGTCAAATGGTATTTCTAGTTCTAGATCCTTGAGAAATTGCCACACTGTCTTCCACAATGGTTGAACTAGTTTACAGTCCCACCAACAGTGTAACAGTGTTCCTATTTCTCCACATCCTCTCCAGCACCTGTTGTTTCCTGAGTTTTTAATAATCATATGGTAATTCTATGTTTAACTTACTGAGGAACCACCAAGTCCGATTACCACTTTGTTCCAAGATGCATACACCTTTATCATAAGATATTTAGAAAATGCATACACACATAGCAAAACATTAAACATTTGCAAAAACAGGCAGTGGGCTGAGTTTGGTCCACAGGCCACAGTTTGCCTCTGGTATAGGGAACGCCTACAATATTCTTTCTCCAGATTGCCAAGTAGTAACATTTACTCATCACTCATTTAGGAACATTCACTAATCTGTACCTGCCCTGTTGGGGAATGCGGCAGGGTCCTGGATTTTACTGTTTAAATCTTCCAGCCAATATTTATCGAACCTCTCTTGTGTGCCAAGTGCTGAGTTCTTCTGTTCCGTGAAAAATGGAAGTCCAGGCTGTGCCCACAAAATTACATTCCAGGGGCCGTGGCTGATGCTGGTAAGCACAAGGCTATGGCAGCCAGTAGGAGGGCGTCTAATTCCAAATGCAAATTTTTGGCGGGTGGGAGGGTACAGACACACACAGAGCAAAAGAGGCCGTTTCCTTAACTGATCTCTCAAGTTGGAGTAACCTGTGAAATCTTAATCATCTCTACGTTCAGAGGACCCAGCCCACTGCCATTTTCTCCTTCCTGAGACTAGAAGCAGAGACATTTAAACCCTGGGAGATGACAGTCGTGGAATGGATGGATTCCAAACCACCCAAATCATCACAGGGAGAAAAGTTGCCTGCTGACTAGGAACACCCTCCTTGAATTGTCAGGCGAGGGAGAAAGGTTTATTGTGTTCAGCCACTGAAACTGTCAGGACTATTTGTTACAGCATCTAGCATTACTCTAACTAATAAAGTGCTTTTTGCACATTGTCTCACTGAAGTTTCTCAAAAATCATATGAAAGGGCGATTTGAATCATCCCAGGTTTACCTACAAGGAAGCTGAGTCTCAGAGAGGTTAAGTGGCTTGTCCAAGGTTGCACAGCTAGTAAATTCAAGAGCCTGAACTCTAACCTGGAGAAGTCTATCCTCAAAGCCCATGCTTTGGGCGACTCTCTCTGTTAACAAAGGGCTCCACTGGCTCTGATTCTGATCGATATATCACCCAGCCCTGCTGTCCAGTTCATGCAGTGGAATCCAGGAAGAAGAAGGAGGCAGCCCTGTCCTGGGAATTGTATTAATGGGATGAGACAGGATTTCCCCAGGGCAGGGGCCTGAAAGCCAGAGGCCAGGCAGAAAGGGGCAGTCATCCTGGCTTAAAGAGCCAGCTTTTCCCGGGGTTTGGAGACTGCTGTCTGCAGACCTGGGCAGAACCACACACCCCAGACCCCAAACTCTTCCTTTACAGGCTGTGGGAGAGAGATGGCAGGCAAGCTCCAAGCAGGAGGACTCCCAAGGTACCTTCTCAGTTCCTGCTCCCTTGAAAATGTTTTTCTTTGCAGGTCGGAGAGGTACCTCTCTCTTTGTAGCCAACATGTCCAAGGCTGACAGGCTAAAACTGCTTGCTTGCTTTTAAGTGTCAGGAGATGTAAATAGTTTTAGTCTTCAGTGGTTTCTGATTGAATATCCTTTTGAAGTAATGATAGCTATAATTTAAAGCAACAGTTACCATATTTTCCTTGCTGGCTGGCCTTCTTTGAAGCACTAAGTATAAATCTGCTTAAAATCTTAAAATAGCTGTAGCTCTGTCTCAATATTCTACCAGGAGCCAGAGAGATTCGGCCCCTAATTGCCATCATCTGTAACTAATATCAGCAGCACAGCGGGCTTGTGACAAGGTGGCTGGGAGAATTGCTCTGACATAGACAGGAAGGTGGAGGCAGAGACATGGTCTCCCTTTGGGGATCTTGGCTTCGGTTGGAGTTCGGAAGAAACCCGTTCTGAAATTAGGGCCAAATGGGCTCTGGCTGTTGGAGATTTTTCAGGATGATTTTTTCCACCGCCAGCCCCCTGCCCTTCTGGGAGCCTGGGATGGAAATGACGGGGCCTCCTTGCAAAATCAAACTCAGAAAGCTCAAGGATTGGTGATGACCTGGTTCTAGCCAATAGGATTCCCAGGGACCATATTTATGTCTCGGATAAAGCATTTTGAAAAAGAATGAGGGCCGTGGAGATTCCAGTGCGGATGATCACCAACAGGAAGTAATGCACAACCATTTCTACTACACATCGGCAAATGCATTTGAAATCCAGTTTAAATTTTGACTTGGTTGCCTTTTCATTCATTTAAAAGTATTAATTCACTTGACAAATACTTACTGCATCTCTGTGTGCCAGGCATTGCACAAAACAGTCAGCAATCCCAGCATTCCCAGGGTTTATGATAAGCATGATATAGATGAGATGGAGGATGATAAATGCCAGGGAGTAAAATCATACTGGGAAGGAGCAGGAAGTAGTGAGGTTTGGTTTTAATCAGGTTTGTCGTTGAGAAGGTGGCATTAAAGTGTGACATTAAATGGCATTTCTATAATCCCACTTTTGTACAAACTTTTAATTATATAGTAAATGTATATATTTAGGCATTCTAAACAATTCTAGTAGGAAACATTCAGAACAGTTGACAATGTTTATCTTTGAGTGCCATGACTATTTGTGATTTAATGTTTTCTTATGTGTGTATGCATTTTCTAGATGTCTTATGATAAAGGTGTATGCATCTCAGAACAAAGTGATAATAGGACTTGGTGGTTCCTCAGTAAGTTAAACATAGAATTAACCATATGATCCAGCAATTCCACTCCAAAGAGAATTGGAAATAGATGTGCAAACAAAAACGTGTACATAAATGTCCATAGCAGCGCTGTTCATATAGCCAAAAGCTAGAAACAATACAAATGTCCGCCAATGAATGAATCAATGACTTGTGGTATATTCATACAATGAAGTATTATTTAGCCATAAAAAGGAATGGAGTCCTGATTGTGCTACAACACAGAAGAATCTTGAAAATATTAGGCTAAGTGAAAGAAAGTAGACACAAAAGGTTGCATACTGTGTGATTTTGTTTCTACAAAATGTCCGGAATAGGCAAGTCCATAGAGACAAAAAGCAGATCAACAGTTGCCTAGGCTGAGGGTGGGAGTTAGGGGAGGGGCGAATGGGAATGGGGTATGGGATTTCCTTTTGGGGTGATGAAAATATTCTGGGACTTAGGTAGTGGTGATGGCTGTATGACATCGTGAATGTGAATGTAGATGTCACTGAATGATAGACTTGAATGAGAGATAATGGTTATAATGGCACATTTTCTGTCATATATATTTTACTACAATAAAGAAGTGGTCATTGGAGCAGTTACTGGAAAGACTTGGTGACTGTAGATGGCAGGTAACGGTTGCCCGGGAGGTCTTTGCCAGGTAACCAAGTGTCAGGTGCAGGGAGACTTGGCAGAAGCCCCGTTAGAAACATTCATGACTCCATTGAACCAGTATTTACCAACCACCTCCTTGATGCCATGCAGGGAGGCCACAGCCGTGGGCACCCATAGGCCTGCTCTGCTGTGATTCCAGTGGGGAGCTCCCCTGGGGACCAAGAAGTCACCCCATGTGGAGGCGTGGAGTTGGAGTGAAGCTATGTGGGGCTGAGCTGTGGACTCGGCAGCTTCCACCCTAGCCCTGACATGCTTCTCTCGGCTGAGAACACACATCTTAGAAGAGAGTCCAGACAGACACGCTGAGAGGCCACACAAGTGCATGATGGGAGCCAGCGGGAAGAATGCTGGGTGGCTGTGGAGCCCATTCAGGCGTGGGTCTCCAACCTCCGGGCCACGCGATCGTTGCTTCTTAGGAACTGGGCCACACAGCAGGAGTGAGCAGTGGGTGAGACAGCAAAGCTTCATCTGTATTTACAGCTGCTTCTGATCACTCACATTACTGCCTGAGCTCTGCCTCCTGTCAGATCAGCAGGCATTCAATTCTCATACGAACTTGGACCCTATTGTGAACTATGCATGCGAGGGATCTAGGTTTCCTGCTCCTTATGAGAATCTAATGCCCGATGATCTGTCACTGTCTCCCATCACACCCAGATGGGACTGTCTAGTTGCAGGAAAACAAGCTCAGGGCTCCTGCTGATTCTACATTATGGTGAGTTGTGTAATTATTTCATTACATATTACAATGTAATCATAATAGAAATAAAGTACACAATAAATGTAATGCACTTGAATCTTCCTGAAACCATCCCCCCACCCCAGTCTCTGAAAAAATTATCTTCCACAAAACTGGTCCCTGGTGTCAAAAAGGGTGGGGACCACTGCATTAAGGGATTAATGTTTTCCCCAGGTGATTTGCAGAGAGGGCAATCTGGACATCAGTAATTGAGAAAGAGCCTGTGTCCCTAAAACCAGGGCACTCCAGTCTTCCTTAGAAGACGTTTCCAGGCTTTTTAGCATGGTGGCAGTCAAGATGTGTTTTTACATGCAGAGGGAAGGGAGAAGACAGGCCATTTCTTCTCCCCCAGTGCATGTGGCCAAGCCCTCTTTTGATATCTGCCTCCTTACTGTCACCTCCCCAAGAACCTGGACACCAGTCCCTGTGACTCTGCCTCCTCTGTGCACCCTGGGACTTCGCCTGTGCTCCTGGCCCACGAGAGCTTTCTGGGTCCTGCTTATTTCATGCTGAGTCAGGCCAAGATACAACAGAGTGAGGCCCCAGGCAAGCTGAGAGCCCTTGGCCCATTCCCCTGTTGTCAGGACTCCTAGAAGGCCATGGTGCAGAATTCATTTATGCAGGGGCAAAACACTCAGCTCCAATGAGAAAGGGCAAAGCCTTGCTCCCATCTGGGTTCCACAGATGTGGGCAGGTGCTGGACCCAGTGGGGGCTTGAAGCCCGCTCTGGCCCCAAGAGAAGCCCGCTCTGGTCCCTGTCCTGGGACGTAGCTGGATGAAGCTGTCCCACCACACTAGGGGTGCTCCCCTGTTGGCCTGTCCCCAGCCAGTGCCTCTCCACACTACCTTCTGTGTACGTGCTCTGTACCCCAGCCAAAGCCAGCTCTACACTGTCCTGGAACAGCCCCTGCCCTTTCCTAGCCCCTGGCCCTTGTACTTCCTGTTCCCTCCTCCTAGCATGCCCTCCCCCAAAGTGCCACCTGTTGAAATCCTAGCTGCTTCTCGTCTCATCTCAAATGCCACCTCCCTGTGCGCTCTTCCTCCCTCCCAGTGTGTTCTTGCTCCTGTGCCCCATCCAGCGCACCTCTTACGGATGCCCCAGGACTCTGCCAAGTACAGACTTCATTTGTGCTATTCTTGGGCCATAAACGAATCCCACAGAGCCCCGTGGGTTAGAGCATAGCTTTAAAGTTGGATGGCCTGGGGTTTAAGTCTGGACCTCAACTTAGGCAAATCAAATCACTTTACCTCTCTGCACCCCAGTTTTCCCATCTGTAAAATGCTAATGATGATAATCACGATACCAGCCTACAACACAGGCTTCTTCTGAGGATTAAATGAGATGATATATGCAGAGTGGAGCCACGACTAGGGTGAGGCAAGCGAGGTGCCTGCAGTGCAAAATGTAAGGATGCCCTCCATGAAAGCACCACCTGAAGGCGCTTGGCCACCTGAGGGCACATGAGGATGCCCTCCCCCAAAAGCATCCTGGGGATGTGAGAGTGCAGAGTGCCTTCTGAAATTTTGCATCTCAGGTGCCTCACTTGATGCATTTGGGCAGCAATTTCATGACAGTGTTGATGACTGGAGATGGAGAATGGTGCCATATTCCACCGCAGTGGTGGGTCTGGCACGGTGGAGGCAGCAGGTATGAGCAGGACTATTAGAAGGCCATGGTGCAGAATGCTTTTATGCAGGGACCAAGCACTTAGCTTCTGATGCGGTATTTCCAACCTCAAATCCTCCTGCCACCGCTCACGATATATGTGACCTTGGGCAAGTCACGTAGCCTCTCTGTGCCTCAGTTTCTTGATCTTCAAAATGGGAATAATATTAGAATTAGAATTAAACAAATGCCTGGACTGGAGCCCATGAGTGACGGAAGCACATATGTGCATTGAGAAATCTTTCTATTTGCAGGGAGTAAGATGAATTATAGAGAAATAAAGGCAGGAAGGTGCCTGGGGGCAAGAGGCCAGATTAGTCACAGGGAGAAGGAACAGGGTGGGAAGTGTTGAAAGACATAACAGAGATAAGATCTAATGAACTTGGCAACTGATTAGATGGAGAGGCCAAGGCAGCGCAGGGATGGGGTGGGGTGGGGGCCGGGAGGGGTGAGTAGGGGATTAATAAGTGGGGGAGGGAAGAACCTAGGAAAAAAGTGGTGATGTTATCAGAGAGCCGCATTCTGTAATGAAATTGGGCTCAGCATATTGAGTTTGAGGGACCGTGGGAATTGAGGCTGAAATCCTGGAAATAGGAGGGTGTGGCTCTAGTTAAAGGTAATTGGTATAAGCTTGCCTGTCACCTTTAACCTAGGCTTCTGATTTGTACATCCTGAGGTCTTGGAACTGGTTATTAAAATGCAATCTCATATTTTGCACAGCTGCCTTATCCTAAAGATGAGGTAAGGCCGGGCGCGGTGGCTCACGCCTGTAATCCTAGCACTCTGGGAGGCCGAGGCGGACGGATCACGAGGTCAGGAGATCGAGACCATACTGGCTAACACGGTGAAACCCCGTCTCTACTAAAAATACAAAAAAAATTAGCCAGGCGTGGTGGGGGGTGCCTGTAGTCCTAACTACTCGGGAGGCTGAGGCAGGAGAATGGCTTGAACCCGGGAGGCGGAGTTTGCAGTGAGCCAAGATTGTACCACTTCACTCCAGCCTGGGCGACAGAGTGAGACTCCATCTCAAAAAAAAAATTGTTTATTGTAAAGATGGAGTCTTGCTATGTTGCCCAGGCTGGGCTTGAACTCCTGGGCTCAAGGGATCCTCCCGCCTTAGCCTCCAAAAATGCTGGGATTATTGGTGTGAGGCATGTGTTGGCCTCAATGAATCAAATCTGAATGAGCAGCCTCTGAAATGACATGCTGACTGCCCACCTGTCCTGTAGATGGATTCAAGGTTGTGGGCAGATGTGAGTGTGGCACCGGGTTGATATCGAGCTCAATTCTGGAAATGGTGCAGAGGTTCTGCCTAGGGCGGAGGGGTGAGTGTGTGTGTGTGTGTGTGTGTGTGTGTGTCTGTGTGTAATACTTTTTTCAAAATGCAAAAATCATCTTAATTAAATTTAACAGCCCTCCCATCCCTTATTTAGAATGGAATGTGGGGCCCAGGCTCTGCTTTCTTCCAACATGGGGAAGCAGGGCAATGAAAATAAACTTTGCTTTTACTGTGGCTGAGAAGCAAAGGGGGAAATCTGCATCTCAACCAGTGGATGCTGTGCGCCAGCAGCTGTCTTTGGACATGATCGAGTCTTTTGTAGGATGAAGGCTTCTGGGGACTTGTGGAAGACCCACACCAGAGGACACCTTCCCATGCAAGCTGCACTTTTGAGCTTTTGAAAGACCTTCTGCCAAAGGACCTGACTTTTTTTTTTTTTTTTCTGAGACAGGGTCTCACTCTATTGCCTAAGGTGGACAGTGCAATGCAGTGGTATAATCATAGCTCACTGTAGCCTTGAACTCCTGGCCTCAAGCAGTCCTCCTGCCATGGCATCTCAAAGAGCTAGGATTACAGGTATGAACCACAGCCTCTGGCCCACACCCAACTTTTTAAGACTATAGATTTGGGGTCAGACAGCACTATGTTTGGATCCTAAATCTGCTATTTGCTGACTCTGTGACCTTGGGCAAGCCTCATAACCTCTCTGAATCTCATCTACAGCAAAATGGGGATGATAATAGCTGCTTCTCACACCCATGGAATGGTTGTAAGGGTGAGATGAGAGAATGCATATAAAGTATAGGAACATAGTAGGTGTTCAATTAATGGCAGGTTTTTTTTTTTTTGGTCTTATCCAAGAATTTAATGAGTAAGAGCTAAGATGCTTACTCAGACACATTTGTTTTGTCAAACTGACCACTTTCTGATACTTCAAACATCCAGAGAAGAGCTTTTATGGGCATCTCAGCACACCCCAAGGGGAAAGGGAGGGCAATTTCCAGAGACTGAGACGTGTCCAGGGCTGCACAGCCAGTGGTCACTGGGACAACACTAAATTATAGGTTGACATCACTGGAGTCCTGAGTGTAAGGAAAGTGATTCCTTAATGAACAGCCCTTTGGGGACAAAACTCCTTTAGACCCAGCATGTTAGGGCATGAAAAATGGAAACTTTCCATATCTTGATGTGCGGTGGCCTCTGTGGGCCCCTGGACCTGTCATGCTGTCTGGTTCTACCTAACAAACGGTTAGGAGGATCGACCCTAAGAAGCGTGGAAAATCCCTTACCTGTGGTTTTCTACCCTTTCTCCCTGGGGGGCTGCAGCTCGGCATCTCCCAGAAAGGTGTTTGCCCTCCTCCTTTCTCTAATCCTCCGTCCAAGTGGGAGAAGGGTCTGGTAACCAGACATGAACACTTAGGGAAGGACTGACTGAGAACTTTCATACTAAACGATATGATAGTAACTATTTTTTTAAAAATTGAGGCAGGGTCTTGCTCTGTTGCTCAGGCTGGAGTACAGTGGCATAATCATGGCTCACTGCAGCCTCAACCTCCCGGCTCAAGCAATCCTCTCACCTCAGCCTCCTGAGCAGCTGGGATTACAGACGTGCACCACCACACCTGGCTAGTTATTTTTATTTATAGAGATGAGGTCTTGCTGTATTGCCCAGGCTGGGCTTGAACTACGGGGCTCAAACGATCCTTCAGTCTCAGCCTCCCAAAGTGCTGGGATTATAGGAGTGAGCCACCACACCCAGCCATGGCAGTAACTATTAATGATTAATAAACGCCTTGCTGAATCTTTAATCTATCCTTTAATTCTCCCCACAGCTCCATGCTAGAAAGAAGACTGTGGATGAGAAAGCTGAGGCCCAAGAGGAACAAAGTGACTTTATGGTTGTCACACATAAAACTGGGGTGTGAACTCAGCTCCATCACACTCCAAAACCCTAGCACTTTTCACTGAGCCACTGTGAGAGTCCCATTTTCCTTGTTCTGGAGCAGAAATCCAACAGCTCAGTCCCACTCCTCCTACCCAACTGAACCACATCCCTCTGCAGCCTCCACTCCCAAACTCACACATAAGCAGTTTGCCTTTACTGGCACTCCTGACATCATTCTTTTTGTATGTAATGCCATTTTGTAAGACAGTTTCTATCCCCTCTGGGATTAACCTGGGCACTTTTTAAAGTCTCTTGATACATTTGCTACTCTAGATGACATTGAGTACATTGTTACTTTCATCTCTGGTGAAAGACAGTGGCATCTGGCTTTCGGGTTTATCTCCTTTGCTTGTTGAAGGATCATTGCTATGGTTTGGCTGTGTCCTCACCCAAATCTCATCTTGAATTGTAGCTTCCATAATTCTCATGTGTCATGGGAGGGACCCAGTGGGCGGTAATTGAATCATGGGGGTGGGTCTTTCCCATGCCGTTCTCGTGATAGCGAATAAGTCTCACGAGATCTGATGCTTTTATAAAGAGGAGTTTCCCTGTACGAGGTCACGTCTCTTGTCTGCCTCCACATGAGACATGCCTTTCACCTTCCACCATGATTGTAAGTCCTCCCCAGCCACGTGGAACATTGAGTCCATTAAACCTCTTTCTTTTGTAAACTGCCCAGTCTCAGATATGTATTTAGCAGCAGTATGAAAACGGACTAATACAATCATTGTATTTTCCCTTCTCTTGAAAACACCTGTCCCTCCTTGTGGCTTGTATAACAGCGTGGCCCTAGTGAATGCATTCTCCTGGACATTTCCCGTGGAGCCGGCGGCCATCACTCCAACTGGTCCCCAAGTGGGGAGGGCCCTATACTGGTTCAGAACTATGAGAATGCACCTCAAATTATCCCAAAGTACTCCGGGGAGAGAGGTGACTTTTTAGGTCACCCTCATAAACAAAAGGTATACTGGTTGTATAGTAGTGATGGAAGGAGTGAAAATTTAATTGTAGTAACGTGGTAGGGATTGCTAGTTGCCCAACCAACACACATTTTCCCCCTCCTCCTCAACTAAAGAACCCTAATCATGGTTCACACCTGTAATTCCAGCACTTTGGGAGGCCGAGATGGGTGGATCACAAGGTCAAAAGATCGAGACCATCCTGGTCAACATGAAGAAACTCCATCTCTACGAAAAATACGAAAATTAGCTGTGCATGGTGGCATGCGCCTGTAATCCCAGCTACTTGGGAGGCTGAGGCAGGACAATTGCTTGAACCCAGGAGGCAGAGGTTGCAGTGAGCCAAGATCGCACCACTGCACTCCAGCCTGGTGACAGCAAGACTTCGTCTCAAAAAACAAAAACAAAACCAAAAACCAAAAACCAAAAAAACACAAAAAAACCCTAATCACTGAAGGTAGTGGTGTGACCAGCTACAAGACTATTTTCCCCAATCTCCCTGTAGCTATGTGACTGAATTCTAGAAGATAAGACGTAAGTGAAAGTTGTTGGGAGACACTTTCAGAATGTCTCCATAAAAGAGTAACAGCTGAAGAAAGCCCTTTTTGATCTTACATCCTTTCCCTTCCTGGAACACGAGTGTGATGGTGGGAGTATCAGCAGCCATTTAGATCATGAGGTAATTAAGTATGGAAATAACATACTAAGAATGGAAGAATAGAATGACAGAAGGAGCCAGGCTCCCTGATGAGTCACAGTGACAACCTGGACTTCCTGCTTCTGGATCTTTTTTTGTGTGGCTAGCAGTAACCTATTATATATTTCTGTTATTTTGAGTTTTCTATTACATAAAGTTGGATCTAATCCTTACTGATACGTAACATTTAAAAGTAGCTAACCTTCCCATAATGTGAAAATATGTATGTGCAAGGTATTAATTGCTACATTGTTTGTAATTGCAAAACACTGGAGACAATCCAAACACCCACACACATGAGAGTAGTGAAGTGATTATAGTGTATTCACCCAATGGAGTTCTATGCAGCTGTAAAAAAGAATAAGAATGATATCTATGGACTTACCTGGGATGACTCCAGGGCATACTGTTAAGGTAGGGTGCTACCTTTTGTGTAAGAAGGGAGGGGAAATAAGAAAATATACACATATTTCCTCATTTGTGCAAGAAAAAAACCCAGTAGAACTAGAAGGATATGACAGAAATAATGAGATTGGTTAGTTACAGGGGTAGGTGGTAAC